>NC_000010.11:130662589-130974069 GCF_000001405.40 Homo sapiens | reverse complement strand
GTGACCGTATTTCACCAGTTTTGTGTCCAACAGAATTTAGGGGGAGAGTTGGCAAGCGGAGATCATGGCTTCATGTCTCTTTCCGAGCAACTGCGTACAGATGGCTCAGTAAATTATTTTTATACGGAACTTTTTATTCCATCCCCCTTCTATCATTTGCACATGTCTCAGCTGCAGACAAGTATCCATAAAACCCACCCCTCTGCCACGAGGCAGCTCAGTCTCCCTCACCCTGCACTCTGAAGTGGTTCAAGAAACCGTGGGCTGAAACCAGGATTTGAGACGCCTTCTCTCAGCTTCTGGCTGGCACAGAGGGCTGGGCAGACTCACTGTGCCAGTGAGGAGGGCTGTCTGGGCCCAGCCCACACCTTCTGTGGAGAGTCCATGGAGAGGCTTTCCCTGCCCCCGTCAGGGTCAGGGGTCAAGGCAAGTTGCCCCTCTTCACCCTGCAAGCACAGCATGGTGGGGGCAGCAGCCCTGGGTTTGTGGAGCTGGGCAGAGGGACCACTTGGCAAATGCATCGAGGCATGGGCCCCACTGCTCCTCGGAAGGACAGCATGGTGACGGCAGCAGCCCTGGGCTGGTGGAGCTGGGCAGAAGGACCGCTTGGCAAATGCATCAAGGCCTGGGCCCCACTGCTCCTCAGAAGGACCCACGACAGGGGCCATTATAGTTCCTTGTTTGAACCAGGTCCTGTTAAGCATGAAAGAGGAGCCACCAAAAATGAGGCTGAGGAAACAGGCGTCCACCAGGGCCATCCTGGGGAACCCAGGCTGGCAGCTCCAGCTGTGCAGCAGGGCCTGGCCGCGCCTCAACCTGCCTTCTGAGGAGTCGGCTTTGACCCTCTGCATGTGCGCAGAGGAGGCCGCCAGGGAACGTGAACATCTACGGTTCCCTGTGACATGACAAAGCCACCCACAGGGCATTACTGCTGAAAGCACCAAGCATTTGCATCAGGGTTTATGACTTTCGGGGTCGGAACCCCTGCAGGCTCGGCTTCAGGCAGGGATCCTCACTGCTGTGCCAACTAAGGGGCCTCGAGGCATTCATGCTGAGACCAGCTTGGTGGAGGAGACCCTAACCCAGTGGTACTAGAGGAATTAAAGACACACACACACAGAAATACAGAGGTGTGAAGTGGGAATCAGGGGTCTCACAGCGTTCAGAGCTGAGAGCTCCAAACAGAGATTTACCCACATATTTATTAACAGCAAGCCAGCCATTAGCAGTTTCTATAGATGTTAAATTAACTAAAAGTATCCCTTATGGGAAACGAAGGGATGGGCTGAATTAAAGGAATAGGTTGGGCTAGTTACCTGCAGCAGGAGCATGTCCTTAAGGCACAGATGGCTCATGCTATTGTTTGTGGCTTAAGGCAGGCAGATCACAAGGTCAGGAGATCGAGACCATCCTGGCTAACCACCCCGTCTCTACTAAAAATACACACACACAAAAAAAATTAGCTGGGCATGGTGGTGGGTGCCTGTAGTCCCAGCTACTCAGGAGGCTGAGGCAGGAGAATGGTGTGAACCTGGGAGGCAGAGCTTGCAGTGAGCTGAGATCGTGCCACCGCACTCCAGCCTGGGCGACAGAGCGAGACTCCGTCTCAAAAAAAAATAAAAAATAAAAAAAATAAAAAATAAAAAAAAAGAATGCCCTGGGCGGACCAGGTGTTCCTTGCCATCATTCCCGTAAACCCACAACCTTCCAGCGTGGGCATTATGGCCATCATGAACATGTCACAGTGCTGCAGAGATTTTGTTTATGGCCAGTTTTGGGGCCAGTTTATGGCCAGATTTTGGGGGGCTTGTTCCCAACACACTCACTCGTGCGTGGCTTCCCCCGCGTGTCAGGCGCCATAGCAGGGGGCCTGTGAAATCACCTCCATGGGGCTTTTGACAGGGTTCCTAGGTTGTGCTGGTCTCAGGGTAGGAGGACTTTTGTGGGCACCTGCACGTGGGGCTTCTAGAAAGAACATTCTGGCCAGGCTTGGTGGTTCACACCTGTAATCCCAGCACTTTGGGAGGCTGAGGAAGGCGGATCACCTGAGGTCGGGAGTACGAGACCAGCCTGACCAATATGGAGAAACCCTGTCTCTACTAAAAATACAAAATTATCCGGGCGTGGTGGCCCATGCCTGTAATCTCAGCTACTTGGGAGGCTGAGACAGGAGAATCGCTTGAACCCGATGGGCGGAGGTTGTGGTGAGCCGAGATAGCACCATTCCACTCCAGTCTGGGCCACAAGAGTGAAATTCTGAGAAAGAGAGAAAGAGAGAGGGAGAGAGGGAGAGAGAGAGAGAGGGAGAGAGGGAGAGGGAGAGAGGGAGGGAGGGAGGGAGGGATGAAGGAAGGGACGAAGGAAGGAAGGAAGGAAGAAAAGAAGGAAGGAAGGAAGGAAGGAAGGAAGGAAGGAAGGAAGGAAGGAAGGAAGGAAGGAAGGACATTCCAGGAGACCACAGGCGGAAGCTTGGCCTCGTGATGCCTGGTCCAGGAAACACAGGACATTGTATCCTCCACGTTCTGTGGGCTGCAGAAGCAACCAATCTTCCAGATCTAAGGCAGTGGGCCAGGAGCCAGCTCCAGACAAGGGGATCGAAGTGTGCGGGGTCACCCTTACTCCAGGGCATGACCCTACTGATGAGGCTCAGGCCTCCTCTATGTGCACTGTGGGACCCTCCATGGGATGTGGGCTCCTCCTGCCGATGGTCCTGGCCCCCCGTTTCGGCCTGGCCTCACTCCTTTCAGAACAGAAGTCTCCACATCTATGGCTGGTCCAGGCGTGGCCATGTGTGTGTCCTGAGGGAGGCTCTTGTTCAGTAGCTCTACACACCCATCTCCTGGGTCTACGGCTGGTCCAAGCGTGGATGTATGTGTGTCCCAGGGGGAGGCACATGCTCAGTGGCTCTGCATGCCTAGCTCCTGGGTCTCCGCTGGGCAGGGGCGCTGGAGTCCCCTCACCACCAACAGACGCCATTGGTCTAGAGCACTGTCCCTCTCCTCATGGGCAGAGCTGGTGGTGAAGCTCAGGTCCTGGGCTTGGCTACAGAAGGGCAGAAGACCATAGATCTAAGGGACACCCTGGGGCCTCAGCTCTTTCAGAGATCTGGCGTGCAGATAAGGCTCACAGCCCACAGGTTCCTGTGTAGGGGTTCCAGCCCTGGTCAGGCTTCTTGAAGGCAGAGAGGGGGGGCACCCGAGGCCCCTCCAGTCCCCCAGGGCTCCCCGACCCCTGTGCGCAAAGGGGCTGGCCCTTCTGAGACCCCATGTTTTCAGGGATGCCTATGTGTGTGTGTGAGAGAGGGTGAGACAGCAATAAACCCTCAGCTGGACCAGAGCAGGCTACGCCGAAGCCAGCAGTGTCTGCCTTGGAATGAAAAGCACCCACATCTAGTCTTTACATCCTCACTTCTTCCCCAGCCACTGTACTCAGGGGTGTGTTCCCTGTCCCTGTCCCAGCTTGCCCCTCCGGCATGGGCCACCCTCCACCAATGCCTCAGCCACAGTGGATGGCAGAGGTGGGGACCAAATGGGACCCTACATTCACATGCTCCCTAATGTGCTCCTGCACCAGCCCTGCATGGGAGCCCGGGACTGTGCTGCTGAGAGGAGCAGGCTCAGAGCTGGAGCAGTGCATCCCCACCACTCACTTGCTGGGAGCATGGCTTCCTGGCACTCCTCTTCTGGGCATTGCCGAACTCTACTCTTCTGCAGCTTATAGAGTTCACAGAAGCTTCAATTTGAAAAGAAGTCCCTCTGTTGAAGGTGCTTCCACATTCTTCTGTGATTTGGACGGGATCTCCAGGCAGTGGCTTCCATCAGTGACTCCCTTTACTGGTGAGAGAAGCAAAGCTCACGAATAGCATCTGGGGGTCACGAAAGTAATGTCCAGGGATAACATTCAAAGCAGACGGCATGAGCCAGGCTGCTGCAGGCTGGAAACAGCTCCACGGTCATCAGGCCGAAAAATATTTGATACCCCTAAGTAGAACTGTGGACATTCCAGTTTCAAGTCAGGTGTACGGCGGACTAGTTTACACACAGTAGGAATCCCCCTTTGGAAGGGTAGGTTCTGTGAGTTTGGACAAATGCACATGGTCGTGCAGCCACCCCCAAATACCATGAGGAGCACTTTCCTTCCCCGCAGCACCGGACCCTCTGCCGCCAGGCCCCGCCCCCGCCGCAGCCCGCCGTGCTGATGGACTTTCGTCCCGTGGCCCTGTCTTATCCAGAATGTCTTACTGAGGGCACCACACACACGTTTTTGAGATTTAATCGTATTATGTCATGTAGTTTGTTACTTCTTATTGCAGAATAGTGTTCCATTGTGAGGTCTTATTGCAACTTGTTCACCCACTTACCAGTTGATATGTGGATTGTTTCCAGGTTTTGACTATTGTAAACGAAACTGCTGTAAGCCTTTACAAACAGATCTTGTGTGAGTATTTCCTTTTATTTCTCCTGTACAAATATGTAGGAGTGGGGTTGATGGATTGTACGAGGTATAGTTTATAATACAACTCACCTATTGTATGAGTACAATTCAACTATATTTTATCTAAATTTTTAGAGTTGTGCAACCATTGCAACAATCTGGATTTAGAACATTTTCACCCCAAAAAACTCCCTGACACCCATTTTCCGCTTAATCTCTGTTCAACCTCCAGCCTTTAGCTGGGCACTGGTCTGCTGTCTGTGCTTCTAAACGTACTGTTCCTGAATATTTCTCATAAACAAAATCATACAGTGCATGTAGCTTCTTTTGCACCCAGCTTCTTTCGTTCAGCATGCTTTTGAGGTTCTTCCACTCTGTAGCGTGTCTCAGCAGTGTCTTCCTTTTTCTCACCAAGTAGCATTCCAGGGCATGGATGCAGCTCATTTGTGTTATAAATTACCCAACTGATGGACATTTGGATTGCTGCCTGCTCTGGGCTCTTATGAAAAATGCTGTTATGAACACTCATGCACATGTCTTTACATGAACATATGTCTTCATTTTTCTTGGGTAGATTCCAGGGAGTAGAATGACAGAATTGTATAATAAGCCTGTGTTTAACTTGTTTGATTTCTTTTATTTAAGAACTCTGCATGGGCCAGCAATAATCTACTGGGTTAGGTGGCAGGAGTAAGTGTCCTAATTCTCTGATGATGTGTCCCTGGGAAAAGGGTGTATTTAGTGTCTCTGAAGAGCAACCCTGGCCTTCCCATGAAGCCAGAGTCCTTGCTGTCCTCCTTAGAAGATACCTGTTTCAGCCCCAGAGATCCCTGAGAAGGGCTTGGGAAGGAGGGGTTCTGTGTCTAGAGAATATTCGCAGACATTTCCAGGCAAGCTCACACCAGTCCCTGGCCCCAGCAGGCTTTTTAACAAGTGGGCCTTCCAGGGGCCAGCAACAGCCACTGGTGTGAAGGACATGACTGGGTTTGTCAAGGAGCTCAGTCAAAACTCCGTGTTCCCTTTACACTTCTGGACCCCAGATCCACCATGGGAGTCACAGAGAACCAAAAAGCGTGGAAAGCCTCCTGCTCAAACACTTTTCCACACCACCAGTGAGGGCAGATAAAGAAGCTCCATTTGAGAGGGAGAAATGTCCATTGAAATGGATGGCTTTGGAGTGCCTTGAGTGTTATTGCTATAAACAAATACCCACATCTCTGATATGAGTGGCACTTAAGTATCTGATCCTTCAATTCAGAATGAGCAAGGAACACCGTAAGATGGAAGGGTCAGTGTGAGGATTGATTGTGAGGTATTTGAAGAACCATGAGAGTGGTATTCACATCTTAGTCCATTTTGCATTGCTATAAAGGAATACCTGAGACTGGGTCATTTATAAGGGAAAGAAATTTATTTGGCTCACAATTCTGTAGACAGTACAGGAAGCATGGTGCTAGCATCTGCTTCTGGTCAGGACTTCAGGAACAGGCAGAAGAGGAAGAGAAACAGCATGTCACATGGTGAGAGAGAAGAGAGGAGAGAGAGAGAGAGAGAGAAGGTGTCAGGCTCTCTTTAATAATCAGCTCTCTTGTGAACTAACAGAGCAATAACTCACTCAAGGACAGCAACAAGACATCCATGAGGTATCCACCCCCATGACCAAAATACCTCCCCACCAGGCCCCTCTCCAACACTGGGGATCAAATTTCAGCAGGAGGTTTGGAGAGGACAAATATACGAACTGTAGCAGAGCCTTTAGACACTCCTCTCTGGACATGTAGACTTGATGTTTCGCCCCCGAAATCTGGGGGCTGTTTGTTACTGCAATATAACACATCCTGCTATGACTGATACTGATACTATTTACAATAGCACTTAGAAAAAGACACAGAATTAACCAAAGAAGTGAGTCATCCTTTATGAGAAAATTATTATTCTTTTCTGAAAGACATTAGAGGAGACATAAATAAGGGAGAAGAGATGCCAAGTTCATGGATAATAAAAACAAATGTTGAAAAATCTGAAAACTCTCTGAAATTGGTCTAATTTTTCAATACAATTCTAATCAAAAGCTCAACAGGGTTTTTCTTGGAAGTTTACAAACTGAATGTAAAATTTACATGAAAATGCCAAGGGCTAGGAATAGATAAGAAACTCCCAGAGAAGAGTCAAGCACAGAGAGTGTCCAGCCACATGGTAAGACATTTATATTCTAAGGTTATAGTAATTGGACAATGAGGGAAGGTGCAAGGAAGGGCACCAGGCCAACAGGAGGAGAGAGCCCAGAACCAGACCCACACAACCAGGATGGCATCCCGCAGCACCAGACGGTCCCACGGTGGGTGGGGAAGATGAACTTTTTTATTCAGTCGTCCTACGGCAACTGGTCCCACCTAGTAGAACAACATTGAAATGGGCTCTCAGTCATTCTAGAGAATGTAGTTACTATGAGACTAGCTCTATATACACTCAGTGTTATAATTTTAAATTGTGAAATTATCAATACTATTTTCTTTACGAAAACATACATAGAAAAGCTACAAATGGAAAAATAAACACAAAATCCAGGAAGGCAGGAGGGCAGGAAGACGGAAAGATGTGCTCGAGGAGGGAGACCCAGGGGCTGCATCGGAACTTCTATTGCATAAGCAAGGTGAGGGGCACATTGCTATGAATTATAATGTTCTTTCTGCCTTAGACAGTTTAGGTGTATTTTCTTAAATGTATGAAATACTTCAAGATGAAACTTTCAAACCCATCCCCATCATCTCTTTACTTTAGGTGCTGATCTGGTTCCACTGCCATTTCCTTCTGGTAGAAAAAGGAGAAAAGTGAGAAAGCAAAAAGCTTGGAGGAAATGCGTGGTGGCTGGAAGGTTTCTGTATCTTCAATTCTCTGGAGAACTTTTTACATAAATGTTAAAGAATGAGGTATTTAGAATGATCACGTATATGTCCACAGTCTTATTTGGGAAATTATCTAATTAATTCAAAAATTCATTTTGAATATAATTTAAATACAACTAAGCTAGCCTCCTGTCATTAGCAGAGCACCTGTCTGGGGCATTGCAGACTTGGGCTCCTAGCATCTCTGCTTTTCTATAAATTGAACTTTTCCATCTTGGAAATATGTACGCAGGCAGGCAGCATGCTCGAGTTTCACTGATGATCTGTGCTGGAGATGGGGCTGGGCGGGGCCGTAAACTTCTGTTTGGTACCTTGAAGGTCTAGTCCATCATTTAATGACTGCGGTTTGGTGATACTAGATATCAAGATAGAAATGAACTAATTTAGTAATGTACAAAAGAGATATTCCAGAGAAGCCCAAAACTGGCATGCCACTCATGGTCCAGAGGATGCCCTTGCAATAGACAGAGATGGACCTCAGAGCCCTTTTGTGGTCCAAAGCAGCAACAATAAAGGTGAAATAACTGAGCAACCTGGCAAGTGCGGTTTGAAGGCAGATGAGAGGCAGGTGCATTAACACAGATAATCTGAGTCTGTTTTTCAGATATCCATTGGTTTTAACCTTGAGGATGAGGACAAGATATTAGTTGAGAGATGTAATCATATGTAGAAGATATTTCTCTCTCTCTTTTTTTTTAAAACAAGGTCTTGCTCTGTTGCCCAGGCTGAAGTTCAGTGGTGTGATCTTGGGTCACTACAGCCTCGACCTCCTAGGTTCAAGCGATCCTCCCACCTCAGCCTCCCGAGTTGCTCAGATTACAGGCATGAACCACTGCACCTGGCTAATTTTTTGTATTTTTATTAGAGACAGGGTCTCACCATGTTGGCCAGGCTGGTCTCGAACTCCTAGGATTACAGGCATGAGCCACCACTATGTAGAAGATACTTCAATCAAATAAGAGTAGATACCACCCTCACAGTTTGCAGGAGATTTAATTAAACATTACCACTTGATTCTATTAGTAACTCCAGATCTGCAAGGCAAATATTTCCAACTCACATTTTCCAGTGAATTCACTGAGCCAGGACTTGACCAGGACCTGTGTCTCTGGTCTCCTTGGTCAGTGTTTTCCTGCTGATGTCTCAGCTGTCTGCCATGAGAATGTCAGTCCCTTTCCAGGATGACACATCTCTGTGCAGTTGTACTAAGAGTTGAAAAGGATGAACTGGGGCTAGTTGCAGTGGCTCACGCCTATAATCTCAGCATTTTGGGAGAACAAGGCAGGTGAATCACCTGAGGTCAGCAGTTTGAGACCAGCCTGGCCAACATGATGAAACCCCTCTCTACTAAAAACACAAAAATTTGTTGGGCATGGTGGCAGGCGCCTGTAATTCCAGCTACTTGGGAGGCGAGGCAGGAGAATTGCTTGAACCTGGGAGGTGGAGGTTGCAGTGAGCCAAGATCGTGCCATTGCACTCCAGCCTGGGCAACAAGAGTGAAACTCCATCTCAAAAAAAGAAAAAAGAAAAGGAGGAATTGGATCAAGTAAATGAGTCATGGTACACGAAGAAAAGACCCAGACCCCAGGAGTTTGGTTTACAGGATGGGGACCTGGAGGCCAGCCTGCTGGGCGCCCTTCAAAGGGGCAGGTAGCTGGGTGCAGGGAAGGTCAGTGGGTTCGTGAGTCTCCTGGAAATGTTCCCTAGATGGATGGTAAGCTGCAGAACCATTTTCCCAGGAGTCCTCTAGATCCCGGGGTTAAGGTGCGGTGGGAAAGGTGCTCTTCAGCGGAAGCCCCCAGTACCCGGGCTCCACCTTCTCTTGTTTCTCTTCTTTCTTCTCCCTGGGACACTCGGGAGATGCAACGTGTTTCTGCTGGTTGGGAAAAGAGGTGAATTGGTTTTCTCCCAACTCCAACATAGAAAGTGTTGTTTTGACACTGTAGAAAATAGATAATTTCCGCTGATTTATTTCTGTCTCCTTCTGGGCCTGGCCGGCATGGGGGAAGCAGAGATGTACCTATTCAAATGACAAACATATCACCAAGATGGTGTGGTGCCCTGGCATTTCAGCATCCCAGAGCATCAGGCTGTGTTTCTGAAATAAATTCTGCCTTGACATGGTGCTAACTCTTTGTATTTATGGAGCACTTTTATTCCCAAAGTGTCTGTGAATATATCGTCTCCTTTCCTCCTCATGGGCTAATGCTTACAGACGTCTCCCCGGAGCATGGAGCCGCCAGGAAGGACAGATGGATGGTGGTCACGCTGAGGTGCGGCCCTCTGCCCCCTGCACTTTCCTACTCCTGGTTGTGAATCAGCAGGAGGAAACGCGGAAGGGCCTTCCTGGCGAGGCCAGCTGGGCTGTTCCCCGCAAGGCTTCCTTCTTCCTCACCGTGCATGCTCTCGCTGACTTAGTGGCTCTTTCTCCTGCAATCTCCAGCCCTCCCCTTGCCCAGTCTCACTCTGCAGGCTCCTACCTCTGCACTGGGCTGACGGGTAGTCCCCTTCATGTGACAAACATACTCCTTACCTAGGACCAGTACACCCAGCCTTTTCTGGTCCCCTAACAACTTCCAAGTCCCCCACTACCAATAGCCACATCCGAACTCACTTTTGGCTAGAGATCTGCATGGCCCATGGCCCAGTGAGGCTCCCTATTTTATAGCATTAGAGGGAAAGTGGCACCAGCCCTCTCCCCAGAGGAGTATCTCTCCTGGAGATGGGGGTCATCTCCCCGTTCTCCCTCCCTCCCTGGCTTCTCTGCATCACTGGGATCAGCCAGGGGACGGCTCCTCTTCAGTGGCCTGAGCTCCTGCCCATTCTGCCTCCTAGCCAGGCCTTCCTCTCCATGGCTGGCTCAGCCCTCGCAGGGCCTTCCCCCTCTTCTCTTGAGTCACTCAACTGCACCCTGGGTTGCCCCCCTTCAGTTCTACATTAAGGCTTCCTCTCTGGTTCCATCCATTGCCTTTGGTAACCTGGATTTCTGGTTGACTGGGAGACAATTCATCTTCTCTCTCTCTCTCTTTTTTTTTTTTTTTTTTTTTTTTTTTGAGACAGAGACAGAGTCTCGCTTTGTCCCCCAGGCTGGAGTCCAGTGGCGCCATCTTGGCTCACTGCAAGCTCCGCCTCCCGGGTTCACGCCATTCTCTTGCCTCAGCCTCCCGAGTAGCTGGGACTACAGGCACCTGCCACTACGCCCGGCTAATTTTTATTTTTATTTTACATTTTTTTTATGTTTATTTTTAGCAGAGACAGGTTTCACCGTGTTAGCCAGGATGGTCTCCATCTCCTGACCTCATGATCCGCCCGCCTCAGCCTCCCAAAGTGCTGAGTGAGCCACCGCGCCCTGCCGACAATTCATCTTCTAACCTAAACGTGTCCAAACTTAAAATAAATAACGCCCTTCATAGCTTCCTAGCTCTGCCTGGCCCAGCTGCCCGTCTGCCCAGAGCTGGAGGTGGGGATGTGGAGCCTTCTAGTCTTCTCTTCGCCCATGGATGGACCCTGCTGGGCCCTGCTGGGGACCCAAGGATCTTCTTTGCCAGCTGCTTCCTGGTGAAGGATGCTGCTAACAGCTCGCACCTGCAGCCTCCACCGAGGCTGCCCTGGGAGGCTGGAGCTGCCTTGCCTGAAGGCTTGTGGATGACAGGACACCCCAGCCCAACCAGGGTGGCCCAGAGCATTCAGGTAGGGCAGACGCCACAGCAATGTGGATGATCCAGGGTCCCCGCGGGGCAGATTGAGGCTGCCCTTGACCCTAAGCTGCATTCTTCAGCTTCCTCTCTTATTTTCACTGCTTCTCTCCCTCCGTCAAGGGTTTCTCCTGAGACACTGCCTTATGCGCTTGAACCAGAGCCCTTGTTTCCAGCTCTGCTTCTAGGGAAACCAGTCCCTCACATGAGGTCACCACGTGAGGTGGTCACTTCCCTCTGGGCTGCCCTGGGAGCTCCCGTCTCAGTGTACACGGCCACCCCTGAGCCTTACTGCTCCTCAGTGCAGGAGCCTCCCCTCCTGCTGTAGCTCCCAGGGCCACCCACGGAATCCTCCACCCTCCACTCGGAGGCCATCACTGGACTTGGAGTCAGAAGAGTGGAGTCGGGTCAGACTTCAACTCTGACTTTGAAGGTGGTGAGTGCCTCAAACTCAAACGTTCATGCATGGTGAGGATAAAAAGTAACTGCCCTGGGAGGATGAAACCAGGGAAGACAGCAAGTATGGAAAAGTGAGCACCGCAGATGCCACCATGCCACCAAGCACGAGTGATTTCATCTCTTGGTGGCCTCTCCTCCAAGACCAGCGGGGGTTCCCATTGCCGAGATCAGAGCCTCGGGCAAGGGTGAATGTTGGCTCCACTCACCCCGTGGGTACTCCCACTACTCAGCTTCCTGGCCCTCGAGGATGCCCAGGCCCATGGGTGCAGCATCAGCCAATGCTGTTTGCAACCAAGAGGTTCCAGTTCCCCCAGCTGCATTGAGAGGGGAGGAGCAGGTGTGCCCAGGAGAGGAGGACCCTGGTCTCAGGGAAGAGGGAGTGGTACTGGGGTCTCAGGAAGGGCTTGGAGGGACAGGACTGACACTCTGTCCGCAGAGATGTCAATGAGCACACAAAGGAGGCGAGATGAGGGAGCACAGAAGACAACCTCCAAGACGAGAGATGGGAGCTGAGGAAGCTGTGAACCTGCGAGGCACACAGAGATGGGGTAGAAGCTGCTCATGCTCATAGGAGGAGGGCAGATAGGAGGGGCCAAGGAGGGGCTCAGTGTCTGCCTCTGAATCTCAACCCCCCTTTCAAGGAAGGTGGTTATGCCCACATCCACTCATGCAAGGTGCCATGACAAAGTGCCTCTGTCTCCAGTGGGAGCAATCCTGGTATTCCAGCTCCACAGCCAGAGCACTGTGCAGAAAGACCCCCACCCCACCCCAGACTTTCTCTTCCCCGAGCTATCTGCACATGCACTGGTCTCTTCCTTGGGGGACTGCCTAAGGTATTTATCATCTAAGCTGCACCTGCATTTATCACATCCACTCACACTGGTTGTGACCCTCAAGACAGATTCTAAGTGTCTGGGTGTCTCCTGATAGGGTCTTTTGCATTGTCACCCACCTCCCAGATGTACCTCAAGATACACATGTTTAGTTAATTCTCACCATTGTGCTGATGGGCAAGCTGTGGCTCTCTCTACCTGAAATGAGAAACATGGGTTAGAAAGTGAATCAGTCTCACTGGGGTTTTCCAGAATTCCTGCCATTGCATCATGATGAAACGTGATGGGATTGTCATGTCTCACCTGGATTTTGAGAAATGATCATTGTCCAAATAAAGGAGCCAGCTAGAAAAGTGGACTGAGGTCACGACCAGGACAGGGACACTCTCAGACCTCTATTCTTGTATGTTCATGCCAACTCACATGGCTTCAGGGGAGAAACAGGGTGAAAACAGAGGCCTGCCCCTGGCACCCACCACTGACCAGCTCTGTAAAGACAACCAGGGTGGACAGATGCTGACTTGACTTGTGTCACATCTGCTGAAAGACAGAGATGAGCTATAAGGCCATGGCAAAGTCAAGTGCCATTACCAGCTAGCTGGGTCTGCTGGAAAGTTTGAGGTGCTCCCCAGCTTTAGAAATATAAAAATCAGATGATTAGCTTTGCCATGCATTCCCCCACTGATACCCCTGCTTCAGGATGTGGGAGGATCAGGTTTTGGGGGGACAGACTGTGTTCTGTGTGAACCCCTCAGAGAGAGGGGGCCCAGCTAAGGCCTCAATCGGAAGAAGAGGAAGTGGCTACACAGTGACATTGGGCCTCAGCAGAAGCTCAGAATCTGACTGAACTCCCGCCAAGGCCAAACGTGAGCATCACAAAGTGAGTCAAGGTAAGTGCATCATGCCACATGCCTTCCAGAAGATGGCATTGCCACCATCTGCCCCCAATACCCAGCCTTAGCCTCTGGGACAGAACCCGAGGACACAGTGCAAGAACAGGTCTTGGAGGCACAATTCTCGGCCACAGGCAAATTGGCTTTGAGGCTTTGGTCCACAGGCCACCACGTCTACTCCTGTTCCCACACAATCATCCCACGGGCACAGCATACCCTCTGCTCACCCCTCCTCCATGGGACCACTTTCAGGCAAATGTGTGCATATTCACAGGTACAGGTGACCGGGGTCCACCCATTTCTGTCGCTGAGGACACCCATCTGAGACCCGCACACAGTTGGTGCAGCCCCCCTTTTTAAGCAAATGAAAGGCTCTGAATGTGCAGATACATCCAGATTCCCTCTCCATAGCAGCATTCATTCCCCCACCTCAACAATCACAACCCGAAATATAGCAGAATGTCCACAACAAACTGAATTGAGGCTGCCAAGTTTTTGTCATTGTCATTCATCACATTAAAGCATCTACTATGAGTTGAGCTCTGACTTTTTGGAAATGCACAGATAAGATGTCCCTTGTCCACAGGGAGCTTTCATGAATGTGTAGGAGACAAGCTCCCTGGGCAGTAAGCAGCTCTGTCACAGCAAGTGCCAGGTGGTGTTACTGAAGCACACCGCAGAAACCAAGGAAGGCTTCCTGAAGGAAGTGAGGATGAAGCTGGGAGCTCAAAGATGAATACAAGCTCTGTAAGCCAACGAAAGAGGCATCAAGGGCAAAGAGATCAAGGCTAAGGCTCCAAAGGCCAGATGTGGGGCAGGAAGTGGGGCTGGAGAGGTGAGCGGGGTCAGGCGGGCTCGGCGATGGAGAGATGACTTTTGTGTCAGCTGGAGTGGTTTCCAAGGCCCTGTTCACTTTTCTAATCCTTAGGCTCTTGATCTGCAAACAGTGACAATATTAGCACTCATCTCACCAGAGGGTTGTGCAGTCATCAAAACGTGAACACACAGGCAACTCACTCACAGAGACGTCAACTATTGCAGTGGCTGTCATTCCAGAGCCCATGTAAAGCAGTTTTTATTTTTCTTATGACACATGAAGAGAATCCCTTGGAGGGGCCACAAGAGGAGATTTCTATTTTAGCATGGTCATGCAGGCTGCAGGGTGGAGGTGGATTGCAGGGAGCCCGGTGGCAAGGTTGTTGTGACTAGAAGACAGGACCTCATTCTGGACTTGGGAAATAGCTGGGATTGAAGAGACTTCTGATTTAGAATGGACAGAACCTGGCCACTGATTAGATTTAGGGGATTGAGGGAGGGAAAGAGCCAAAGATCACACTGAAGTCTGTGTCTTGAGTAATTCGGTGAGCAGTGGGGTGCACACTTAGCTTAGGAGCACGGGAGAGATGAGAGCCATAGCAGCAATGGGGGTGGAGTGGGGCAGCATGGGAAAGCAAGGAGAAGGGACGGCTGCAGAACGGTGCTAGGCACACTGGGCTTACGACGCGTACAGACTTCAATGAAGGGCACTGGCTCTACTTGGGAGTGAGCTCTGACCTGGACACATTCGGTCATTAACACTTCCAGAAGCAAATGTCCTGGGACTGACACAGCAGCAACCGGGCTTGCGGAGCGCATATTCACCTGTTGGCTCCCATGGACAGAATTCAGATGCAGCCGGGCTCATGGGCACCTCCCCTGCTGGTGACCACACTGAACGCACATCCACCTGTTGGCTCCCATGGACAGAATTCAGATGGAGCCGGGTTCATGGGCACCTCCCCTGCTGGTGACCACACTGAGCTCCATGTGCAGTCCACCTTCGTACTAACACCATCTCTGATGTACATGAAACCTCAGGAACACACAGACACTGGGTTTCCTGGGTCTGATCACCTGAGAAGCATGACCGAGTGTGTGTGCATGTGTGTGCACACGCACATGTATATACAGTCATCCCTAGGTATACATGAAAAACTGTTTCCAGGACCCTCCATGGATACCCAAATCCACAGTGCTCCAGTCTCCTATATAAAATAGCAAAGTATTTGTGCATCCTACACACATCCTCTCTTACACTTTAAATCATTTCCAGATTTCTTATAATGCTTAATGCAATGCTTACACATCACTCAATTTGCATGGATTCTATACAGTACTTGGCATGCAGCAAATTCAAGTTTTGATTTCTGGAGCTTGGTGCAATTTTTTTTTTCCCAAATATATCTGATCTGCGGTTGCTAGAATCCACAGATGTGGTGCCCACAGTTACAAAGGACCGACTGTGCTATACATCAAATGGTATTCAATAGTTATTAGAGTGCGGTGATGGCCATGCAGGTAACAGGACTTCACGTGTACAGCAAGGAAATTAGACTAGCAGCTATTGCATCCGTTCCTCCCTAATTTAATTTGGTCTTAGCTACAATCACTGTCCTTTGCTCTTTTCTCCAAGCATGACTGATTCCTGTAGCACCATTTACTGTAAACCCCCAAAACTGTAAAGGCCTATACTACATTCATCTTTCCAAAGAAAATTACTATGAGCTTATTTATTGTTGACTCAGACAGGCCCACAAGATATCATCCCCACAAGGTTCCCCAGGAAAGAATATGAGCGAGGCCCTTGACAGAGTTGC
Source organism: Homo sapiens (assembly GCF_000001405.40). NCBI lineage: Eukaryota > Metazoa > Chordata > Mammalia > Primates > Hominidae > Homo > Homo sapiens. The sequence continues at coordinate 130,958,213 of NC_000010.11, read as the reverse complement.
TATCGATCATTCCAAGCTCTCCACTTCCCAGTGCAGCCGGTAAGCAGGCCAGCGGGGGGCTGATGGGGGCCACGGGTCTGTTGTTAATGACCTAGTTAGCAGCTTAATCGAGAATTGGAGGGCTTATATTAGAAGGAGGAGCTCTTGTGGTAGGTTTAGCTGTTCCCTGGATTTATGGGCCAGGAGTTACTAGCCTTTTTAAAAATAATCATTGTTCTTATTACGGAAAGCAGTCTATTTTTAAAAGCTGTAGGAGGCTCTTGGAACACAAAACAGCTTTTGCTATTCTTTTGTCTATGCTTTTGTCTATTTATTCATAAGGGAATATCGTTTTTCTTTAGTTGTTCCTTTGTGGGAGCTGCAAGCATTCTGAGGAATATCTATGGAGCATCAGTCTAGCTCCATGACACTGACCTTCTGACACCTGCAGAGCCCGAGCCTGTATTTGGCATGGATCGTGAATTGCTAAGAGGCAGTGTCTGAGGAGAGGAACTTGCCTTGAGAGCCATGTCAGGCACTGAGGACCACGGCCACCCGAATGTCTGGGCAGGTGTTTCTAAGGCTTCATCCAGTTGGGCCCTCCCTGGCCCTTCTCTTCCATAGCCCTGTGTGAGTCTTTTGACCATTTCCCATCATCTGCCTCTTCTTCCCTTGTGTGTTCATGCTAAGTGGGGTGCAGACTCTGGTCTTCTGGATGAATGGCCCTCCCCGTTACCTGGTCACTGGCTGATGCTGTCAACTGCTCTCACCTGTTTGATTCATTTCACAAACAGCTACTAAGCAACTTCTATGTCCAGATCACCCGTTCTAGGTGCTGTGCTATACGCACAGGTAACAGGACTTTCTGTGTACAGCAAGGAAACAAGACGTGATTTATTTAAGATCGGTATATTTAAAATTATAGAAGAAATCCAAATGGAGGGTGCGGTCCCAGAGAGTAAAGGGGCAGAGCTGGTTTCGTGGTTCATCTGGTTGGGTTGTGCTTGTCAGATAAAATATTGACTGCTTTATCTGGGATGACAGAAACCCAAAGTTGAGCAGTCCTCTGGGAAGGGGGTCATTTAGGGACTGTGGGTCCTGCTGTCCCCCTCCTGAAACCCTCACTTGCTGGATTTTCCACCTGCTAATAAAGTTCTGCCTTGTTCCTAGACCTCTAAGAGATAGGGGGTCAGGGGGAGTCTGCCTTGACCCTCAAACCTGAGGCCTGGGTGCTGTGGCTCCCAAGGGTCCCATGATCATCAATATGCTCCAAAGCGAATGAAAATGCACAACGAGGCTAAGGATGTGTCTTTTATGTCCACAATCCTATTTGACTCTGTACTTTTGAAGTTAATTATCAGACGTGCCCCATAAATTGGATATCTGAGCTCCACTTGCGGCTCTAGTGTCCAAAATAGACCCCCAGTCTGACAGAGTTACTGCTTCAAGGAAACAGTCCATGGAATTGCATTGCATGATGTCATCTTTTACATACGAATATTCACACCTACACATACAGTGCACTGAACTTTTCTTAAATAACATGCTGTTTTCTCATGGCATTGCTTAGTAAAACGTAACAAAACCATTGAAAATATGTTAAGTCTTCATTATTCCTCTTTAATTGAATTGCAGCTCAAATTCCCGAAGTCCAGGACCACAGAGTGAAGGCATAGAGTGAGCAAGACTCCCGGAGCCCTCTGTGGACCCCTCCCTGAGGCCCTTCCTTGCCCAAGGAGTGCGCCTGGCTCTGCTCTGAAACAGCCCCGGCCCTTGTTCAGTGCTTCCTAAGTCCCTGGAGCTGTCCACTGCTCGGTCTTAAAGTGTCCTGGGAAGAGCGGCTGTGTCTGCACCTCCTGCAAGCCGTAGGGCATTGCATCTATGCCAACTCACACTGGCTCCGTTTCATTGTATTTTTTTTTCTTTTTTTTAATTATACTTTAAGTTTTAGGGTACATGTGCACAATGTGCAGGTTAGTTACATATGTATACATGTGTCATGTTGGTGTGCTGCACCCATTAACTTGTCATCCAACATTAGGTATACCTCCCAATGCTATTCATCCCCCCTCCCCCGACCCCACAACAGGCCCCGGTGTGTGATGTTCCCCTATTTTAATGCAAGGTTCACATTCTGGCCTCAGTCCTGGCCTAACCTGCTTTATGATGTAGGATAAAGGACTTCTGTTCCTTAGAAAATGTTTGGGCCCCAACATCAGGTTTCCATGCATTTTCATTGAGGATAAGCTGGCCATATATTTCAGAAACACTTTCTGCTTTATTTTATGTTTGCATTATTTTCCAATTTAATTAGATAATACAACTGTGCTAATAATAGAAAATAATTTTAAAATACATGAGAGCTAAAAGAAAAACGAACTATTGCTAAATCACTCAGAGCTAACTCCTAACAACAATCCTGTGTGAACTGATGAAAGCTGAAATCTACACATCACACTTTTACACCACACGCTTTTAAAAAGTTTACATATATTGGAGACTGAAATGAGACACCACACACCCACTAGGGAAGCTGAAATTTTAAAAGATGTCTGTACCAAGTGTTGGAAGGAAGGTGGAGCAACCAGAACTCTCATACATTGCTACTGGGAGTGCAGAATGATTCAACCACTTTGGAAAATCATTTGTCAGTTTTCTGTAAAGTTAACATACAACTCTCACATAACCTAGCAATTCTACTTATGAATATTTACCAAAAGAACATTTTAAAAATCGTATATTCACACAAAAATCTGTATGCAAATGTTTATAGCAGCTTTATTCAACACAGCCCCACACTGAAAAGAACCCAAATGTCCATCAGTCAGTGAAGAGACACACAGCGGCGTGTCCATACAACGGAACACTACTCTGTGATAAACAGGGACAACCTGCCTTGTAACTCTTTGGCATGAAGTAGATTCTCAATAAATACGTGTTGAATGAACGTAGTCCAAGGCAGAGTGGATGCCCAGAGCAAACGTCGAATGAGCCTGGTGTATTTGAAACAAGCAGGAGGTCAGTGTGGGTTAAATTGCATGAGAAATGAGGGTGTCAGTGCAGCTCAGTGCAGACACGTGACAGATGGCCAGGTCCCATGGCAGGTCCATGTGGATACCTAGGGACTCTCGGAGAAGAAAAGGGTGGTCGGATCCCACAGGACCCTTTAGATACTCAGGAACTTTGACTTTCACTTTGGGGGAAGTCAGGAGCTGTTACTGTGTTTTGAGCATTGAGATGACAGGTTTTGACTTACAAAATTATTCTGGCTCCTGAGTGGAAAATATATTAGTGGAGGAAGTGGAGAGCCAAGGAGCAGCAATGGATATGGTAGGAGCTGAGAGCTTTCCTGTGGGTTTTGAGGTTGGTGCAAGTATGATTTGCTGATGGACTAGATTTGGATGTGAGAGAAAGTGCAGCATGAAAGCCCACACCCAGACTTCGTTCAGGGCCACCTGGAGGATGAGATGGGAAGACCCAGATGCTGCTGAACAAGGTGGAGGTTAGCGTGGGCACACTGAGTGGGTGGTATTAATGGGATGGCCAGGTAGCCGTGCCAAGTAGGCCTGGACAGATCAGTCATAGGGAGTGTAAGTAAGAGAGGCACCTCATGACTGCTCTCAGTGTCAGGACATTTGGGATAAGAGGATAATCCAGCAGAGGAGACTGAGAGGATAAGCCCTGAGCCAGGAGGAGTCGGGCGAGCATCCAAGAGGGAAGAACGGGACTGGTGCGTTGAACACAGCTGTCAGCTGAGTAAGACCAGGGCTGATGGCGCCTACCTCTGCAGCAGCATCCCACAGAGCAGGAGGGATCTGCTGCACTCCCCCATGTGTACATGCACCTGTGCATACATGCATGCATATGTATACATATACACAGGTGTACCTATTTTACTTATGTATATACATGCTTACATGTTAATTAAACCTTTTGTTTTGACATAATTGATAATTGTAGATTCACAAGCAATTATGTGAAATAATTCTGAGATTCCTGTGAATCCTTTACCCATCCCCCCACCCCCAAGTGAGAACATCTTGCAAAATTATAATACAGCAGCGCTGCCAGGACCTGGGCATTGAAGCATATGAATACCTATGAAACAAACCTGCACATTTTGCACACGTACTCTAGAACTTAAAATATAATTAAAAAAAATAACCTACCCTCACAGCAATACCTTTATGTGTTGTTTAGATAACTTCATGACCACCTTCAAGTTCTTTCTCAGATGTCCACTTCTCAGTGAAGTCTGCTGTGACAGTCCTCCTTCACCTCTTCCCTGTCCTTACAACGTCCCACAGGACTTCTCGCCTACCAACATGCTGTACGATTTGCATGGGTATTGTGCATGCTGTCCGTGGTTTATCTCCTGGTGGAGATAAATATTCTAGGGACTGGGGTCTTCACCTGTTCAGTGATGCTTCTCAGGACCTTGCAACTCTTTGCCACAAAGTAGATTCTCAATAAATGTCTATTGAATGAATGCAGTCTGATCTGGCCTCAAATCTCAGCTTACTATTTAACTTCTCTTGATCTCAGTGTCTTCATACAGAAGCGGTTGTTACTGCAAAGGATTCTTCATGGAGATTCACTGAGGTATCATTTCCAAGGTGTGATCCTTGTGTCTGGCATGGAGCAAGCACAGAACCTGGCTCACCTGTCCTGTAACCTGCTGGACTCTCTCACCAAGGTGCGACCTGGTGTAGAAAAAGGGGCGATCATACCACCTGCCTGTCGAGTTTGACCTCACCATGAGGATGATGTCCAACCTATCACGTGCCTCCTATAAGCCAGGTATGAGCTAAGCACTTTCGAGTGTGACCGTATTAAATCTGCTAACACCACCGCCAGGTAGGCACTGTGATGAGCCCATGGTTGGAAGTACAGCGCTATCATGCGCCTGGCCCCAGTCTCCCGAGGACACAGGACCTGTCTGTCTTCAGAGACTCCACTTTTTACTGTCATACTGATGACTCCCCTAATTCATTCCACGCACCTACTCCTACCAAGGTAACATTAGAAATGCCTTCCGGCGGGGCACATTGGCACGCACATTCCCTGCTTCTCTGATTATGCATTTAAGATGAATCCCTACAAGTGATGCCAAAACTTTTTGACCACTCTTTGATGCTAGTTACCAAATTACCCTCCTGAACATGTTTTCACAATTTGCAGTCCCATCAACAGAAAATAAAGAATTTCACAACGTTACGAAAGATCAAACATTTTTTGTTGAATCTATTTTTCATGATATATTGTCAGATATTTATTTTTAATTCTTAGTTTTACAAATAAGACTCTTTCAACATCCCAGTGGAGAAAATACTTTCTCTTTTGAGAATTTCCCTTCTCTTTGGATAGATTTCTTTGATCAAAAGCTCAAGACTCGTATTTCAAATTCTTTTTCAGAAGAGATAATCATTGGCCGGGCAGGGTGGCTCACGCCTGTAATCCCAACACTTTGGGAGGCTGACGCGGGTGGATCACCTGAGGTTAGGAGTTCGAGACCATCCTGGCCAACATGGTGAAACCCTGTCTCTACTAAAAATACAAAAAATTAGCCGGGTGTGGCAGCAGGTGCCTGTAATCCCAGCTACTCAGGAGGCTGAGGCAGGAGAATTGCTTGAACCTGGGAGGCGGAGGTTGCAGTGAGCTGAGATTGTGCCCCTGCACTCCAGCCTGGGTGACAGAGACAGACACCATCCCCCTCCCCCGCTCCCCACAAAAAAAGAAGAAAAAAAGAAGAAATAATCATTTCTTTATTCTCTCCCAAGTATTGACTGAGGACCTACCAGGGGCCTGGCCCTGTTCTAGGGCTGAGAGCCTCAAATTGGCAACTGATCCTATTTGAAATGAGTTTGCCCTTTGGCTCTCCTATGAGGCTGCCTTGGGGGATGTCCCCCTTTCTCCTGGCAGAGGTGGAGACCACACAGCCCTGTCTCAGCCCCTATCCCAGACCATGTGTGTGCCCTGGGCTTGCAGGAATAGAGAAGAGAGCCAGTCGCCGCCCCGTCAGGTTTCTAGTTACAGACACGGAAAGGTAAAAAGATATGTTTTTCAGATGGTCGTGTTGGTGATGTGAATGTAAGTTTTGTTTTACATTTTTACTGCTATGAATCACTGACAAAGTTAAAATAAAATACAAACATTTTTTATTTAAAAATATGGTGAGCTCTTTGAAGAGGTAGCACCCTTTCTAAGGCCTGACCTTCCACATCTAAGTGTCTTCCTTGGGAGTGGACACTGAGGTTTTTTGCTAGTGAGATGAAGACTCTCTTGGGAGGAAGGCCACCTTGTGACTTTTAGGTTATGTTGCAGGGCTGTGTATTGAGCACAGCCCTTGGTGACTAGAGTAGCAGGCAGAGCCGCCTCTGGGTTTTAGCCAGCAAGTGATGGCTTCTGGGACCACTGAGGCACCAGGGTGGGGACCATGGCTTGTGGGTTATGCTTCCATTTCCTTCTCCAACTCCACAGCCTCTGTCCTTGACTGCCTTCAGTTGCAAGCCCAGGGATCCTCACTCTTATCTCCATATGGAGGATGGCAGACAGGTTCTGACTCTGATATGATTCTCCTTCCATTTTGCTGATAAGTCCTCGGGATTATTTAATCGGGTAAAAACTGCAAAGATTGCAAGATACGATTGGCTGAAAAACAGGTGGTATTTCTCTATATCATGGAATCCAGCTTGTCTTGCCCTTGCAAGAACAGTTGAACTGGCGTCACCGCTACTATTTACTTGGGCAGCACTGAGTTGCTAAATACCCTGTAACTGTATGCTGGCCGAAGCTGTCTGAGGTGTAATTTTCTTATCCTGTGCTCACTCTGGTCATCCAACTGCTCCTTCACAGAAAGTTTTCTTTGCTCAGAGTGAGATGGTCTCGGATAAAGGCTCTGTGGCGGCTTTGAAGCCAAGGGTAAGGGCATCTGTCCAGCATGACGCAGGGCAATAGCCCTGGTTGCCATGGTATTTTCTCAACACCTGCATCTCAGCTTTTCTAGATGGTGCAAACAACTGACATTCACAATTTCAGAGTCACAGACACACACGGTTCTATGGGGACAGCAGGTGCTGTTCCCGATGGCAAGGTAGGGCCTTGTCACCCTAATTCTCAACATAGCCACAGTTACCTTGTAGCTATGGTGAGATGGAAGGACCATCTGGTGGGAGCTGGGAACCCTGCACCACTGTCCAGGGCTGGACCTGCTATCACCCAGGGAGGTCCTGTGAGGATTCTGGCCCCCACAGCGAGCATGACAGTGACAGGACCCCATATCTTCGGTGCGGGGGCTCTGCCCTCCCACTAGTGGGTCTTGTTGGAGCAGCACCATCAGTGTCCATGGGGGGGAAATGTTAGAAACGCAGGCTCTCCGGGTTTGTCCTGGACCTATTGAGCTGGAGTGTGCATTTTAACCAGATCCCCAGTAAGCTTGCACACCCCACGCGGTTTGGGACGTGCTGGTGTGGCTGAAAACCCTCGCTGTGCCACAGAATCACTTAGGAAATCAGGTTTTCAATTCTCAAACGTGGTACCCATTGCAGAGGTTTGCTTTGCGTTGTTCAGGGAAGGAGACCTGTCGTTCGATTTTTAAATGTCCCTTTTGTAGCCAGAGGTGAGAACCCCAGGGCTAGATACCCATAGCCGTGTCTATTGCTTGTCAATACCTTCTAATTTCTATACACGTCAATAACCGCGCCCAAACGAAGAACAGTTTGGACCATCAAGGGATGACTCAAAACACTTGGGGAGAAATATTTACATGAACTGTACTGATGGGCTTAAGCCAGGGAGCAGAATTAACTGAGCATTTTGGTATATTTAGGAAACGGCAGCCATTTAATTTCTCAATGTACTGGTGGTAAAATAAAACCAACAAATATGACTCGTCCCCTCCCTGGCTTTCTGTCTTGCAGTGTGGATAAATTTAATGTCACAGTGCTTTCAAGCCCTGATAGAGTTTATAACTATGATAAAATTCTGACATGAAATAAATTTTGATCCAGGTTTGTTTTATTTGGAGGTTGTAACTGATAGTGCCTTAAAGTGCCTGGAATTATGTTACCATAGATTCTGTGGGTGTCTTAGGTTTATAGTGAGCTGCATCACTGCCTAAGAAGGCGGTGTGATACCCCCAGAGGGCAGCTGGAACCACAGGCTCCAGTGAGCCCCAGTCTGGTGTGGGGGCCTGTCCCGGGGACACTGCCCCACCACCAAAGCACCATGTTGCCCCTGGGGGCCGTGTTCTGAGCATGGCTGGGACAGTCAAGAATCAAGGACTTGTCCCTTATAATGTCAAAATAAGACCAACTGGGGGAGGGAGGACGGAGCCTTTTCGTGCCAGGACTCACCGACCTAACTCTACTGTCACTTTTGTGGGCATCTGCTTTCACCCGGCCAGGGTGCAATTACAAGCTCTTGTTCTTCCCAGGGGTCCCCACCACGTCTTCAGTCAGCACCGTTCATGCTCTGATCAGCCCAGGAAGCGGGGGAGGGATACCATCTGGTGCGGGGCAGAGGGAGGCTGGTGCATAGTGGGTCTCAGGAACACTGGGAGAGCAAGGCAAAGCCTAGTGCATAGTCTTGTCAGGTGGAATGGCCTAGGCAGGGGAGGGGACAAAGCCAGGGAGGCACTTTAACTTTGAATTGGGAGGAGGTGAGTCCCACGCTAAAAGGCTCTGGGGCGACAAGAGGCTCCCAGCACAGCCGGCCTGGGGCTTGGGCCTGGGCTCTTCTCTCTCTGGGTGGTCATGCTACCTCTGTCCTGCACTTCCAGCCAGGCAGTCTCAGGTCCATGGGTGTCAGTTTTTGTCTGGAGAAATTCCAGGGATTCACAGGCATGAATAGCAATGCAATTCCAGAGGAGCACATGAGGTTCTGTGGGACCCTTCAGACAAAGAGAAGTTACAAACATGGAGGGGGTGATGGAGAGCAGGCTGCTGGCAGAAGGAGGGGTGTCTATACCACCCCACAGGGAGCTCATACGCTTTCTGTGGTTGAGCTGGTTGACCCTGGTGGTTGGTGGCAGGGCAAGACAAGCTTACATTTTTGCTTGAGGATTAGTAGAATTGGTAATGTCTGAAAATTGATATTCGTTTCACCAAAATATATCATGAACATTCTAGAAAACTAAATGCTTCTAGACAGGGGAAAACTAAGGAGGGAAGAAAGAGAGTGGTTCCATTTCGTAAACTAAGTTCAGTTAGCAATCTCAGGCTCTTCTTAAGCATGTGTCCTGTATTAGTTCATTTTCACACTGATACGAAGAATAGCCTGAGACTGGGTAATTTATAAAGAAAAGAGGTTTAATTGACATACAGTTTTGCATGGCTGGGAGGCCTCAGGAAACTTACAATCATGGCAGAAGGTGAAGGGGAAGCAAAGCACATCTTACATGTTGGCAGGTGAGAGAGAACAAAGTGGGGAAGCACCAGACACCTTTATCAAACAACCAGATCTCATGAGCACTCACTCACTATCATGAGAACAGCATGGGGGGAACCACACCCATAATTCACTCACCTCCCCCAAGGTCCCTCCCTCCACATGTGCAAATTACAATTCAAGATGAGATTTGGGTGGGGACACAGAAAAACCATTTTAGGTCCTGTACCCTCTGCCATGCAGATTGGGTTGATGGAGACGTGTATTTCATCCCACCCCTGAGAGCTCTTGATCTCTTTGGGTGGAAGGCGGCAAGCAGAGCTCATTCTAGAAATCTGGAAGTTCATGGGTCTGAGCCAACATCATCTGTAAATCAGGGTAATGCTAGTACTTACACGGGGAGTTGTGGTGGGGATATCATAAGGTGACATGACCGCTGTCCCAGTCCTTGTGTCTGGCGTGGAGTAAACAGTATCTGTTGTAATCAGCTGATAGGTGGCCTGGACATAGGGGACTTGACTCTTAGCTCTTTCTCTAAAGCATGTATTTAATTCCTATTGCATGTATTGAAGGTGTACAACATGGTGTTTTGATAGACATATACATAGTGAAATGATTACTACAGTAAGCCAAATTAACATATCCATTATCTTCCATAGTTACTTGTGTGTGGGGGTGGTAGGGGTGGGTAAGAGCACCTGAAATCCACCCTCTTAGCAAATTTCCAGGATAGAATACAATGTTATCCACCACAGTCCTCATCTGTACATTAGCCCTCCAGATGGATTCAGCCACATTACCGCAAGATCATACCCTGACCCATTTCTTCCCTTCCCCATTCTTGGTAACTACCACTGTACTCGGTTTCAATGATTTGGACTTTTACAGATTTCACATATAAGAAAGCTCATGCAGTATTTTTCAGGAGGGGTGGACCTGGATAGGAAGCCTTCAGGGATTCCCAACACATGTGTGGCAGGGGAGATCGGAGCCAGTTCTGTCTCCCGGCCCCTGGACCCTGCTGCCTCCTGGGCTCTCACCCCATAAAGTCCCATTCACTCTTTGTCCACAGGGAAAGGTGTTGGATCTCCTCCTCCTCCAGACCCAGCATCCCCCTCATGATGTCCTCACATTTGGTGATTCTTTGGATGCTGGCTGTAAAATTCCACACATTTTAAAAATTAATGATTTTCATCTGACATTTCATTTTGATAAGACTCCTTAAAGTTACTCAAGTCACCTTTCCATAAAATATCTGGCTCCCTTGTAAGAACCACGGACAGATGGTGATCCTCACTTCTTTGCTTGATCTTCTGTGATGGCAAGAATCTCCTTGTTAGCAAGAAATGACTCTGATGTTTGCTAGAAATCTAATCCTCAAATTAGATGGAAGTGTGTCTCTCTTCCCTGCATTGGTCAATTAGCCCTGAAGAATAAGTTGGTGTTTTCCCAGATGGCAGCACTGTACGTATTTGAAGCCAGGTCTTCTAGCTTCCTCGGTCACCTCTTTCGTGAGCTACACATCCATGGTCCTTTCAGTGGTTCTTCAGAGGGAAAAGTTATGGTCATCCCGGGAACCGATGCCTGACTAGCTTGGCTCAGAGGTGGCTCCCGTGCCCTGCTGGGGATCAGAGTTTTAATGGCTGTTTCCTCAAAGAAGACAAATTCCATTTGATTTGACTTGTACTTAGTGACCTGATTTTATCCCTTTTTGTGAGGAGTTATGACTCATGCTTTTAAGGAATTCATTGTTCAATCATGCTCAGCATCAGTGTTGGCCTTGCACCTCTGACTGGTTGGCAGCGCCAGCCTTCCCCGTCAACATTGCAGCGCGTGCTGTTATGAGAGTTTCAGCATCTTCTGTTTGGCATCTTGTCAAGAGTCTCTAACAACAGCAAAGAGGGTTTTCTCCCTCTCTCTAAGGATGTGAACCCGCTAAGGCTGGAGCTTGTTAGGAAGAGCTACAGCCTCCTGGTCATCCCATTCCTCATCTTGGGCTTCTAGATCTTAATCTGGTTGTTTGTAACTCTTCATTCAATACAGTGATGGAGGGAAAGACATAGATTCTCAGGTCAGGGCCACCAGGTTCCACATCTCAGCTTGAACCTCTCTGAGCCTTGGTGTCTCCCTTTATAAAGTGACATGGTGGGGTCCACCGTGGTGTTTGGTGAACTTCACAGGCACTGACCTGGAGATGTGTTCTGGCCTCTGCACATAGGCGAGTATCTGGGGATGGCGTTTCACGGGTAGGATAGTGGGCTGTTAGCCATGCCCCTGCGCCACCTGCTCCCTCGACCTTCCTCCATTCTCCACCTTCTGAAATCCTATTTGTGCCTCTAAGTCCAGCGCAGGTACAACCTCTTCCAGGAAACCGTATGCTGTTCTCATACCCAGAATGATGCCTAGCAGGCATATACCTGTGTCTGCACACACTCAGCCATGATGGACCCCTTAGGACATGAAGCAGAAACTTGTGGCAGTTTGTTTTTTCAGCTTTTACTTTGTTCTGTTACACCCCTCACTAGAATGAAGGGCAAAGGCCAGCTTTTATCTTCTCTCGCCAGCCCAGCACCAATCAGAGTGCCTGGGGCCTGGAAAAAAAATAGATTGAGGAATGAGAAGAAAGAAGCAAAATGTGCAAGCCTCATTGCTCCACTGAGGTGACAGAAGCATGGCAAGGACCAGGGCATAGACCATGTGCAAGCTCTCTCTGCTCCAGGGTGGCACATCACATCATGTTCGTAACTATCTGCCGTGAACTGGCTTCATTAAGGGCAAACTGGCATTTGTTCATGCCAGCCCCTTCCCTGTAGGTGTAAAGTAAGATAAAGTTATTTTAAAATATAACGTAGTGTAGAAACAAAAGCCATGCAGTTACAGGTACAAAGTAAACATGTGTTTGCTCATTGGTAAGCCTGGGAGAGCAGCTCACCCTCTGTCTCTTGTATTTTTCCATAAATCAGGGTAACTGTGCTACACACGCAGTTGCATACATCAGTTCTGGGATTTCTCATAAATCCCATTTTGGTATCAGAGGGAATTTATGAAAGCCTCTTTGACTGAAAAGCATCAGTAGTAGGAGAATGTTTTCACTGAAATGTCCCGACAAAACCACAGTATCAGCAGGGAATACTCCCAACCCCACCCCCACCCCTCCAGGGAGGAAATCCAAGCAAGTTCAACTCCAAATCCAATGAAGACAACCTGGTGCCAGACTCCGCACCCAGATCAGTGCTGCTTTCTTTTACTGTCATCAGCCCTGGAACCTGGAGGTGAGGACCAGAGCATAACCTCTGTGCTCCCCCTACCCTGGCTTCCTTGAAAACAGGGAGCTGCCCTTTTATGCCGTGCCTCTATGACAGGGCACCTCCAAAACCAAGTCCTCCCTGCAGATGGCCAGGAAGAAGAAGGAGCCATAGGGTTTCCCCCTGAAACTCAGGCTTTTGGTTTTTCCTGGCTGAAAGAAACCTACTTTGCATAATTTCCACTGAGTGTGCAGCTACACTAAGGTCCTGAATTAAGACTATCATTTATTGGATACTGTTTCATATAATATTTTACCAATATCTCTGATATAGATTTCTATTCTCCAAATATCTGGGTGAAGCAAATGACTGCCAAGAATATTTTCACACTCAAAAAAGTCTGTGTTAGTCTCAGCAGAATTCCACACAGCCCAGATCCATGTCCTCTGGCTGTGGAAGGCTTTGAGTTGAGCTGTGGGTGCCGTGCTGTCCGATGCAGCATCTCCCATCAGTGAGAGATGTGAGCAAAGAAGAGGAGACAGGCAGAACTCACCTCGTCCATGAATTTACACATTTCTACTGTTCTCACTTTCCATATTTTACTGTACTGACAAAAAAGTACCTGAGGTTCATTGTTAAAAAAAAAAAAAAAGAAGGAAATATGAGAAAATAATCAATTCCCTTGGAGTCTAGTATTCTGGTTTCCCTTGTGCCAGGACATTATTAGTGAGCATTCCTAAACAGGACTGTTGGCTACTGTGGATAGGTTGGGAGGGTTTTGCAACAGCAGAAGCACACAGCCACATAGTCCAGTGATTTCTGCACAGTACAAACAGGCACAAGGGCAAGTCAGAAGATGAAAAGGCCAGAATAGAGGGCTCACACCCAGCGACAGCTATTTTTCTCACTGTCTATTACCCTGGGAGAGAAATTTTTCAAGGTAGTGAAAAGAACAACCTAGAAAAGACATCTTCCTCCTAAGGCCAGGAGATTGTGTGTGATTCAAGGTTGGGTCTTCAACTCTGAGCACAAACCCCCCCTAGCACACGGTAGCTGCTTGTGGGCACAGTGGCTACTGAGTGAGGGTCCTTAGGCATGGGCAGCTCATGAATAAGAGCTGTCCTGGAAGTGGATTCAACACTGGAATCCTGTGCGGGACAAAGGCATAAGGATGGCTCTCACTGAATCCCTCCCCTGACGCTGGCTTCCTGTAAATGGCCAAACAGCACAAACATATGGAAGAATACCATGCTTCCATAAGAAATCCCCTGGGACTTTAGTCAGAGGTAGACAGCCAGAGGGATGGGGAGTCCATGTTGTCAACTGCAGAGACACTTGTGGAAGCTCAACACCACACATGGATTCTGAGGGAAAGGCAATGCTGGCCACTGCCGACCCACCCCACGTGGCTCACAGCATCACATGTGAGGGTGCACTACTGAAAAAAATGTTATAAATCAGTAGAGCAAGCCAATGACACCACAGTTCACAAGGATTGGACCACTGTGAAAAGTCAGGAAACCCCTTTCTCTGAAATGCATTTCCTGCAAGAAACAAAGCAAAAGCCTCGTTTGAGGCCTCATCTCCTCTGGGGACAGCGCTGAGACAGTGAGTGTAGGATGAGCATCCTGCTCAGAGCTCCCGGTGAGCTTAGCTGAGCCCTTCCTTGAGACGTCTGCACATCTCACCTTCTCCCCCGACTCCATGCCTTTCCACAGGGTTTATCCCAGGACCATCTGAGTACCCAGTTCAGGGACATCACCTGTGAGAAGAGCTGTTGCTGCCCTGAGAAGAATGCATTGTAGTAGTAGGACAAAGAGAAGCAGAGGGTCAAAAGGCTCTTGGGGCTAGTCCAGGAAAGAGAGGAAGTGGGCCTGGCCCTGAGTGGTAGTGGTAAAAACACAAAGCTGGAATATACTTTAAAAGTGGAGGAAGGCCAGTGAGGTGGCTCACACCTGTAATCTCAGCACTTTGGGAGGCCAAGGCAGGCAGATGACTTGAGGTCAGGAGTTCAATGCCAGCCAACATGGTGAAACCCCACCTCTAATAAAAATACAAAAATTAGCCGGGTGTCATGACGAGCACCTATAATTCCAGCTATTTGGGAGGCTGGGGCAGGAGAATATCTTGACCCTAGGAGGCAGAGTTTGCAGTGAGCTGAGATTGCATCACTGCACTCCAGCCTGAGCAACAGGGTGAGACTCCATCTCAAAAAAAAAAAAAAAAGGTGCAAACAGGGCTCACCCACTCCAGTAGTCTTCCAGCTGTTCTTAATGCAAAGAAAATTTAATCCAAATCGTAATCTGGGTGAGGGTCTGAGGTTCCACTTGGCTTATTACACCTTTTACCAAATGGGGCTTCTGAGGGCATCCTAGAATATGACCAGGTCTCAGACTGCATGCCCCCAAGGGCTGTGACAATAAGCCCCTGCATCTCCAGACTTTGGCATGAACTAAGGCTTTACAAATGTTCAGAGTCAATCTGTGCCAAACCACACCATGCTTCCCTCAAGGTGACCTCCAGGGCAACGACCACCCTGATTTGAGCTCTGCGTCTCCCTGAAGACCTCTGCCAGCTCCTGAAGTCCAGGGAAGCACCAGGCCAGCCTTGCTTGCTCAGAGTTGGGACCCACAAAAGAGGATTTTTCATGTGTCAATTTCACTCAAATCCTTTCTAGCTGTGATGTTTGAAGAAGCATGGACTATTGAGTACAGAAAAACATGCATAGAGAAAATAAAGTTAGATCTGTCAATTTGTAATTGCAGAACTGAGGTCCGGGGAGCTTCAGCGTGTTTACCAGCATCCCTTGGCTAATTGCTGGTGGAACTTGCATGAGACATCTGTGTCCTGACTTCCGGTCTCCTGCAGCTCTTCCAGATGCCCTGTTCCCCTCGGCTTCCCTCCGGGTGCTCTACAGGCTCTTGTGACCAGAAAAGTAGACGGAATGCAAAGCACCAAACTCCACAGGGTTGGGCGGGGGGGGTTCTTGTTGGAACGTTTTAATTGCTTTCTCTTATAGAATGATTCCATGGGTTACCAGGTAACTGGTTATAGCTGCAGCACCTCTTTCTATTATTCCATAAAATGCAACGATATGTTAAAAGATAATTTACCAGTCTTTCAACATAGATGATCACACTCGATATGTATGTTACTTCATGTATCTGAAGAAGGTGAAAATCTCAAAAATACAGTGAGATTTAAAAAGAGAGCAATGAAAAGCAGAATATGGGGTGGGCGCCCTCAACAGCCTCTCATCCAAGAACAGAGCCCATATTTGCCTCTTTAGTCTAGAGTGTGGGCAGCTGTGGCTCAAGGGCTTGCTGAGATGCAACCTCTCCCATGTGTCTCGATGCTGTGTAGATGTGTGAGTCAGGAACACACGGCATTGTGGGCAAGACCCTGGTGTGCTGGTCACAGGGAGCCGTGCACCGCCCTGTCTATGCCTTGGAGGCTGCAAAAGGATCCCGCAGAGAAGGAGGGTTGAGTGGGAAGCTGGGTAGCTCCACATCCTGACAGCTGAGTTACAACCGTATGGCACCAGAGGAGAAAAACGGCGGCGTATTTCAAGTGACCAGAAGCACTTCCTCTTTTTTTGCAAAAAGGCATACAGAAAATGGCCCCAGGACCAGGCTGGGGCTGCGTTGGCTTCCAGAAGTGGGAAGGGCCAGGAGTTCCATCCTCTCTAAAGTCCACTGGGCACTGAGCTGGGCCTCTCTCCCTCTGCCTCTCTCTTTCTCTTTTACCCTAAACTTTTTTTTAAATAAGCATTTTCAAATCTATGGAAATAAAGATGCCACATTATCACGTACAAAACTTCCATTTTTACTAGGTTCCAATTCTGGAACATTTTCGGTTCCACTAACCCACCCACTCATGAACCAGCCTCTCCTCATTTTGATCATGGAAATTTCAGGTTGATTTTAATATCAGCACAGCTTGTCCTCCTCATTGCTATTTCTCAAGTGTTTCTGAACGTTACTACATGTTGTTTACTTTTTCCATATAAACTTTAAAGTTAGCTTGTGAACAAAAACAAACAAATAAAATCAATAAACAAAAGTTCCTCTCCAAGTACGTGGCTGTGTTTTCAAGTCTACCTTAGCGGCTTTTTTGATTGACGCTTAAATATTTTTCTTTTACAGGTATCATATATTTTTTGTTAACTTTAATCTCAAAAATGTAATGTTCTGCTCCTTGTTATTGATGATAGGGTTTTCTTTCCCATTGCTTATTTTATTCTATTATGTGTTCCATTATTATTTAATATATGAAGGTTTTAAAATGTGTATATTAACTTTATACCCTGCTACGTTAGTGAATTATAATATTGACTTTGTTTACTGATTTTATTATTTTTTCCAAGTATCCTATCCTATCTTCTGAAAATAGAAATGGTTTCATTTTTCTCTAATAATTATGCTTCAAATTTTTCTCCCTTGCTAATTGCATTGGTTGATGCCTCTAATATAACATTAAATAGGACTGGGAATGGTGGATAATCTTGCTTTTTCCTGACCTTAGCAAAGTGCTTCTGGTGCTGCGTATCAGGTTTCCTCTCGTCTTGTGTCTGTGTTGAGGACGTATGTGTCTGTTCACTCATATGCCACTGAATGTATTGTCAGGAATGAATGACATTGCCTTTTGTTAGAGGGCATTTTAATATCTGCAGACATAACCATATAATTTTTATCTTTAGGTTTATTAATATGAGTAATTATAAAAGATTGAGCCATAATTGTGTTATTGGAATAAATCACATATGTTTAAAATATGTTATTGTTTTTTCTTAAAAGAATGTTTTATTCTATTTGCTAATATTTTATGATTTTTTATATTGATATTTGTGATATTGGTCTCTTTCTTGTACTGCCATTTTTAACAGTTATAGTTCTCAATTGTATATTTCCTTCATGCAAATGATTTAGAAGATTTCTTTTATTTTAATATGTTTTCTCCTTTTTATTTGTACTTTTTAAAGAGTTTATAGAATTCTCCCAAGATACTATTTTGGGTCTGGTAATTTTTTTTGTGTATAGTTTCTTCATTGTTTTTTATAGAAATTAGCCTGTTAAATCTTTCCTTCTCCCTTGGGTTCAATTTTGGTATGCTGTATTTTCCTGGAAAATTATCTTTTCCATTCAAGTTTTTCAAATATATTTTCAGAGGGTTATGAAAAGTAGACCTTTGCAATTTTTTAAAGCCTATGTTTCAAAGATTTTTTTCTCCCTTGTAACTTATTATGTTGTATATTTTCACTTTCTCATATTTTAAAATTAGGCTATCTAGTTTGTCTATTCTTTTTTCCCACAACAAACTAATACTTTTTTAAAAAGTAAATTCTACTTTTTTTCCACTTCACTGATTCGTTTCTGTTCTGAGTTTTTGAAATTCTGATTCAATTTTCTTTTTTCAGATCATCAAATACTTGTTTAAGAAGAAGTCATTGAAGTTGGCCACTGTGTCATGGTTTTATTCTGCTGTGTAAGTTTTGACTTGAGGAAATTCACTTTTATGGATATTGTCTGCTCTTTTTCATTCCATTCGAAGTGTCTTGTTTTACTAAAGCAGCACCTGTGGGGCTTATACTAGGCAGAGGTGAGAGGTTTGGGCCTCTCTCCCTGGGTTTCGCAGTCCAAGAGCACCTGCTCCTCTGTGTATAAGGAGGTGTGTCTCCTCTAATCTGTGATACTCTTCTCTTGGGGAGTAAAGGGGCAGGGGTAGTGTCTGGTTCATCTCCCCTTGTTGAAAACATTGTCACTTGTTTGTTTTTCCCTCCACATACCTCATTTTCTCCTTGGTACCCTCAGGTCTCCTGGTCCACCTGCCTCCTCCTCCAGCCTCACCCTCCATCTCCAGCATCCGTGCCTTCCCAAGCCTGAGCTTCTGTCCGGCACACTCCCAAGCCCTGTCTTTGCCTTCCCAAGAGTCGGTGCTTGATCCACCAGACTTCACCCCTGGTCTCAGCATTTTCCCACCCAGTGGAACTTTTATTTCTGGATATGATTTTATCTGCTTTTCACAACCGCAGGCCTCTGCTCCCCTCTCCTCACATTTGTGCCATCAGCCTGCTTTCAAGTGGGTCTGGGGTGACTCTGAAGGACTTGGGTGTTTATTCCATACTTGTGATTTGGTGGAATTCCACGCACCAATGCAATGGTGAATATTAAGTGTCAACTTGATTGGCTTGAAGGATGCAAAATATTGTTCTTGGGTGTGTCTGTGAGGATGTTGCCAGAGGAGATTAACATTTGAGTCTGTGGACTGGGAGAGGCAGACATACCCTCAATCTGGGTGGGCACCATCTAATCAGCTGCCTCTGCGGCTAGGATAAAAGCAGGCAGAGGAACGTGGAAGGACTAGACTGGCTGAGTCTTCTGGCCTCCATCTTTCTCATGTGCTGGATGCTTCCTGCCCTTGATTATCGGACTCTAAGTTCTTTAGCTTTTGGACTCTTGGACCTACACCAGTGGTTTGCCAGGGGCTCTCGGGCCTTCGGCCACAGACTGAAGGCTGCACTGTCGGCTTCCCTGCTTTTGAGGTGTTGGGACTCAGACTGGCTTCCTGGCTCCCCAGCTTGCAGACAGCTTATTGTGGGACTTCACCTTGTGATCGTGTGAGTCAGTACTCCTTAATAAACTTCCTTTCATGCATACATCTATCCTATTAGTCCAGTCCCTCTAGAGACAACTATTACAACCAGTCACCAGCTATGCTCTGGGCAGGGGGCTGGGTGACTTCCTTGGCTTTCGGTGTTGAGCCCTGAAGGATTTGGGAGTGTGTGTGGAGAGGCGAGGTGTAAGCATGTGCTATTGTGATTTTGGAAACAGAATACCGCTTCCTCTTTTTATTTAAAGTTTCTTTTCTACAGAATTTTGTTCATGCTGCCTAGGAACTTGTGTGTGTTACTTTACACTGTAACAGACTTAAAAAAATGCTACACTGTGTAAAAATGTCTTCAATGACTTTTTAATATTTCCTTAGGTGGATTTATTTATTCACTTATTTATTTAACTGTTTCTCTACTACTGAACACCGATAGAACTATTATTTTTCTTCATTTAGAATTATTTTCTTAACCTACATTTCCAATAGTACAATCAATTGGCAAAGTGTTATAAATATTTTAAGATTCTTTGTACAGTTTTCGAATCATTTTCAAATCCACATATCAATTTGAACTCCCCTGTCTATAGCTGAAAACCTGTTTGCGGACGTCTCTCCAGGATTTGACTCTTGTGTGTCCACACTGTGTCAACTTTGCTGCCCACATTTCTAGAATTCCCTTCCCTGCCAGTGCAGGTGAGGGCTGGCCGCAGAGAGCTGTGCGTGAGAATCGGACACCGCAGTGCGGCAGCGCTGTCCTGAGGCACTGGGGCGGCGGAGGGGCCGGGCACTCTGGCCCCTCCATTCACAGTTACTGGCCTGCCATCTCCCTTGCTGACATGGGCAGCACCCAGTCCTGCAGACCCTCTAGGTCCCAACAGGTCTTCTCTTTCAACTTCTCTGACTCTTCAATGATTGGGGCAGCTCTCTAACAAAGGATCAAGCTTCTTCTAAAGGCGGTCGTGTCCTTGGGTCTAGAGACAGTGTGAAAAAAAATGCAAGTTCCGGTCAGTCCTGATGGGGTCTAGCTCATCTTCACTCTCTCCCACTTCAGTCTGACTTTTCTTCTCAGCCTCTGGCATGGAGGATCCTACGAGACTACAGGTCCAAACCAGATGCAGAAGGAACAGGCTTGCACCGGTTTGCACACTCGCAGAAGCTCTATCCTTGATAATGAGCCTCTTATTGTCTATCCCTCCTAGTAGTTCTTCTTCTCTGATGAAGCCCTGGGCATGGTGCCTGCTGCACACATTGATGGTGGGCTTTGGGAAGGGGCTCTAACACCACGAGTCCACGCAGAGCACAGGTGGGAGGGTGCAGGGGTCAGTAGGCAGCTGTGGTCCTGGGAAGCGGTGTGATGGGCAAGGCTGCAGCTGGAATGATCACACCACTCAGTGCCCTTCATTAGGAAACAGGGGTCTCCTTTCAACATCGACAGCCCACTCTTGAGGCCAACTGCTGTGTCTCCCCAGTCTCCACGCCCGCTCCCGTTTCTATAGAGTGCCTCAGATACAGTAGCTGCTCAATTAATACTCACTGACTCTTCCTTTAGGAACTTGGCAGTTAGCCCCTCTGCCTTAACCTCCCCTTCCTCACCCCAGAGTTACTCTGAGGCCTACAGCATCTGCTTTACCTGCTTTGAAATGACTGGAGAACTGTCCACCATAACCTAGGCTCTTTGGGAGTCACGTGAAACACCTAGCCTGTCCTATCCTAATGATAACCGATGTAGTGACAGACAGGGGAGACAGGATGATATACCCTGTGCAGTAACCAAAAACCAAAGTATTTATTGCAAAGTTTTTAAAAGTGTCATTCCTACTTGCAAACGTTGTACTGCAGACATATGTTAACTGACTGTGCCTCCAGCACAAAGAATCAAGTGAACAAAGATATTTTAATTTGAGCTACAGTATGCGTCCTGGTTGACAGTTTTATGACGGGCCTCATAGCTTCCATATGCTGCAGTGATGACTAACTGTTTACCTTCAGAAGCAAAGGAATGCAGGAAGAAAAGGAGCAAAGGAGAAAGGAAGCACATACGCATTTAATACCTATTGTGCGCCAATCACTGGGCTGAGTGATTTTTTATTTCATTTTAGTAAAATTCATAAGACCTGTAGGAGAGGAACACTATGCCATTTTACACACAGAGAAGCCAACTCAGAAAGCGTAAGGCACTCGCTGAATGTGCACAGCTCAAGATTCACAGAGCTTGGGCTTCATCTCTGATCTGTTCAGAGGTAAAGCCATTGTTTATGTTACTTATGTGCAGAAATAACAAGGCCATTCTTGGCAGGTGGACAAGACCAGATAGAAAAGTTACAGCAGAGCTAGCGATGGCATCTCTGTGTTTCCCTCCCCGCCGGGACGTCCTATTATGATTAAGAGAGGGGAGGACTGAGAGGCCTCTCACAGATCTTCAGGCAGGGAATGTAGAAGCAATTGTCTGTCTCCTCTCAACTCTAGGGAGAAGGTATCTGTTTCTCAAGGCAGGGGCTTGAGGAGGGAAGGGAGGACCATGGACAGGACAGCCCAGCACAGCATTGATAGGGCTGCTAAGGGGGCTTTGGATGAGACAGATTTGGCCTTGAGTCCTGATCTGTCACTCACCATGTGACCTCAGACAAGTCACGTGATCACCCTGGGCTTCAGCCTCTGCAAAGTGGAATATTCCCCACTGGGTTCTTCTGAGGGGTGTGGGTTTCACTGGGTGCAGACTATCTGCTAGTGTAGACAGAGGGAATGAATGAAGTCAGCTACCTCCGCTGCAAACCCAGAGGTGTCCTAGTGC
This sequence comes from Homo sapiens, assembly GCF_000001405.40. Taxonomy (NCBI): domain Eukaryota; kingdom Metazoa; phylum Chordata; class Mammalia; order Primates; family Hominidae; genus Homo; species Homo sapiens. The sequence goes on along the minus strand of NC_000010.11, from coordinate 130,936,202 downwards.
ACGCCCTGGTAGCACTGAACCCAGTGTCAGCAGAGGCATATGGGGGAGGAAGCAGAGGGTGGTGCTGCAGCCGCTGCAGGATGCTGCCCGCAGGGGTCACCAGTGCTTGCCTGGGCTCTGCCATGCAAGACCCTGCTCTTGAGCACACAGAAGTCGTGGCCCTCCATCCTCAGGCCCCCAGGAGGAGCCCTCCTGATCCGTGCCCCATTGGACGAGTTTCAGGAAAGTATCACTGCCACGACAAACTAATTATTTTTCTTCTTTGTCTAATCCAATATTCTTCTTTTTGTTTATCTTACACAACAAAAAGCTTCAAGATAAAGTCCCTTCCAAATTACCATTGCATTTTTATCACAGAAAGCTGTTTACATCTCTTGTCTCTTGTTTCTTCTTATTTTTAGAATATTATGGGTTCTTATCCTGGGGTCACAGGGTTCAGGAAATTCACAAAACTTTGGACTCAAATGTACAATTCAGTGTGTGTGTGTTTGTGTGTGTGTGTACATGCATGTGTGCATATATTTGAGTGTCTGTTGTATTTTTGGGAAGGGGAGATTCATAGCTTTCATCGGATTTCCAAGAGCAAAGAAACCCTGCTTTAGATGGTCTATAAAAGCATCCTAATTGTATTATTTGGCAGTGCTTGTCCTAACCCTTTATGGATCACTGGGGTATGAGCAGAGAATAAAAGCTTCAATACCAATACAGGGATATTGTATGTTGGTCTTGGTCCTTCCACCACAGGCAGAAGAAGCAAAGGACTTCAGTTTTCTCTGCCTTTCGGCCAAGTTGTCAGATGAAGGAACATGGGTATCCTAAATTGGTGGTTCTCAGAGTGGAATGCCCAGTCGCCAGCATTCTTTCCACCAGGGGATTTGTTTAAAAAGCAATTTCTTGAGCCCCAACCCTGACAGGCTGAATCAGAAACTCTGGGAGTGGGGCCAGTCATTGCTGGTTTATCTGCATCCCCCGCCCCTCCCGGCAACCCTGACATGCTCCTAAGCGCAAGAGCCAGATTTTATTGTGTACAGAAATGACAAGGACACAGCAGGAGGTTGGGGGAAAGGAATGAGGCCACTCCCTGGGCCTCCTGCTATGCACTGGGCTCAGTGCTTATCTGAGTTACCGCATGCCAAGTGACCTCTTTATATTCCTAAAATGTTTGAAACCCATCTGCTGATTTGGCCTGCGGACGGAATTTGTTTTTATAGTTAATATCAATATATTGAAGCTATGTAGCCAGATTAAATGATTTTCATATTTCAATCACATAACAAATGAGGAACCACAACTAGGAGCTGCATCCCCAGAGGGCGGCGCTCCGCATGCAAACAGTGATCTGTTTCACGGGTAAGTATTTGTCAGCCTGCTGAAGAGCTTGCTGCTACAAATCTTAGATCTTGTTTGGCAAGTGCTCTGAAGTGGTTCTGGGCTGGAGAGAATTGTGTCTCCTGGCCAGGGCCTCTGTTTTGGCTTCTTCATGACAGAGACTCTGTCTGAGCAAACTCTACCCAGGATCCTCGGAGCCTTCCTTTAGACCAGGCCTCAGCCTCGGGCCCTGTCCTTGGCTGTCCAGCGCAATTTTAGCAAGAATCAGGTGACATCAGTTTCCTAGGAATCCCCCACTCTCCATATCTGATCAAATTCCTCACCCCTAGCCCATGCCTCCTTAGCAGGAGCCCTGTCAGACCGGTTTAGCAAGAACCCCTTCCCCACTGTCTCCTCTGAGTGGTTTCCATCTGGTGACCACCCACTGCTTCTTGGCCGCACATTCCAGCTGCCCCTGCCATGGTTGGAGTCTAGCCTCTCTCTCTTGCTGGAATCATCCTGTGTAAAGTCTGTCTTTCCCGCCATTCATCAGTGTCTGGCTCTGCCCCTTCTGACATGACAAAGACTCCACCCCTCTTGCTGAACATTTGTTGCACATGATATAAACCTTCAACGTCTGTCCTTAAGCAGGCCAGACTCCAGGGAAGCCATGGCTCCAGGAGGAGTGAAGAAGAGCAGAGTCCCTCCAGGTCGAGGCCCCTTTGTTCAGGAACTGGAGTTTCTTTGGCAGCTGTGTTCCAATGTTCATTCATGCCCTCATGCACCTGGCAGATAGGCTGAGTGTAGTGACAAACATTCTCCAAACCCTAGTAACTCCACGCCATGGAGATTTATTTCCTGCTCAAATCACAGTTTTATGGGTGACAGCCAAGTCATTCAGGGGCCCTCCAGTGGCATTGTCCCCACAGAAACTTTGGATTCCCTGCTTCAGTGTCTGTGTCCTCAGCAGATGAGGACAGAGAGGGGTGTGCTGAGCACTTCTGCATTGAACCACCCAGGGCAGAGGAGAGGACGCACCCTTCCACTGATGCTCCAATGTGGAGAGCCAGTGCCATTGGGGCTGGGGCCCAGCTCTGCTCTCAGGAGGAGAAACAGAAGCACCATTGCTGCTGGTGGAAGCCCTGCACAGTCTCTGTGAGGACAGCCTCAGCACAGAGAAAATGTGCACATGTGCAGAGACAAAGCTGGGTGGGTCCCAAGGGTCAGGGGCTCACATGGCAATACCGCTTAGATCTGAGACTGGGTCCCTGGCGAAAGTGTCTCCTGCCACCCTGAGTTGTGCAGGGCCCACCCTGGTGAGCACCCATGGTCTATACGGAGCCCCCCTTGCGTGCAGATGGTGCATTTCTGGATGTCAGGTTCTGCCCCATGGTTCTCCTGCCATCCACTCCTGAAGCAGGCCTTCTTCTGACTTTCTCTCTGCTCTGGGCTTTGCTTGCACTCCAAGGAGAGCTGGGGTATCCCTTGCTTCCCAGCTCAGGATATCCAAGCCCCATTCGAACTCCTGGACACAATGGAAGCTGCAGGCTCATAACCCAACACCTCCCTGGTCTCCCAGGGAGCCCTCCGCATCCACGCTCACCTGAACCCAGGGCCTTTCTCCTGCCTTGTTTTCTCCTCCAGCTTCATGCTTCTCTCTTGGGCTTCACTGGTCCACAGCCTCCCAGTCTCAGAGCAGGCGGGGACTGGCCACATGGCCCATGCCCCATATCTGCCAACAAATCAAGTCCCTGGTGCCAGAAACATTTAACACTCTTGTTTGTTACCAAATAATTATTCAAAGGCCCCGCATCTTTCATTAAATTTCAGAAATGAATAACTGTGCCCTTGCTTTAGAAAATGGCAAGACTAAATGGGAATAATCTCCCCCCAGGCAGCCCCGTGCCGCATCAGGCCTACTCTGTGCTGACACTCGTGCTGCGAAGGGACCTGCCACCCTGAATAACCCACACGGCAAGGCAGCAGCCACTGTGACATGGCTGTGCATGAGTGCTGACTCCACACTCAGGAAGCCGACTGCGTTCTCTCTCCTTGCCAGTTTGTTCTGGGTTAATTCAGTCAAAACTAATGACTTTAGACAGAAGTTTGTGTTGCCCTGGCTTTGGTATTTGGGCTTGATGTGAGTCTTCCAAAAGCTTCACTCCAGAGCTGACATCTCTTGTGATCTGAAGGTAGATGTTTCCTTCCCGGGTTTCCAAGCCCAGGAGAAGCACCCTGCCAATTGCTTCACATTTAGCGTCCTGTGTGTTCTAGAACAAGAGTGTTGACAGCAGCGGAGGGTCGGCTAAGTCTGGAAGTGAGAGTGTCAGAAGAGCCAGAGGGTCAAGGACGAGATGCGAGCACAGGAGACATCTGGACCCCAGATTGAGAGCAAGGGCTGGCAGGTGGAGTGGCAGCATGGAGCAGGATCTGGGCACAGGGATGGGGTCTGGAGGACTCTTCCAGGAGGCTGAGATGCATCCAGACTGCCCAAGTCCATCCGCTGCTGCCTCCTCCACTTTCGTGTTAAATGGGGTGTCTGATGCCAATGAGGGACCCTCACCCACTGGGGGCCTTTCCTGGCTTCTGAACTCCAAAGAAGCATATTAAAAGTTTCCTTCCCAGAGGAAAAAAAAAGTAATAATACTTAGACCCTATATGGTGCTTTGCCTCTTCAAAGCAGTTTCACACAGAGAGCTATAAAAATGAATGTAAACTTGTCAAAGTAACACTATAAAGATGCCTGGGAATCACGAATGTGCCGCAAGTAAAATTAAATCGTGGTGATAGCAGAAGCATTATTTTTCTGCCTTGAAAACCTTAGTTACAGATTGACTATAGAAAACACAACGACTCCTATATATTTAAAGTCTGTATTTTAAACAGTTTTCCGCTATGCATGTGTCCTAGTCTGGCCTTCAGGGAGAGATGAACAGTCCCGGTGATGTTAGGTGTTATGTGTTAGGTGTTGGTGGTGTTAGGTGTTATGTCAAGTTCTTCAGGCAGAGACCCCATCCCCTCCACTGCCCACATCCCTGCAGGGGCCATGCCTGCCTGTGCCATCTGCAAAGTCCGATAAGAGTCCCTTCCTTTCCAGAGTCCCCCTTTGGATTGGTGAAAGACCGCAGTGCTCAGAAACTAGAGATCTGCCCTCTGTTCTCTTTGAGCTGTGAGAACGGGCAGGTCAGGGAGCCTCTCAGAGCCGCAGAGCTTTCGTCTAAGCTGTGGGATGTGCAGCAGGCGTTCTTCCTATCTCCCTCGTGAAGCTTTGGGAAGATCACAGCAGGAACAGGCCTTGCAGATCTTAAGCAACCCACAAGCAGTGACAGCCATGCTTCTCCCTGGTTCATCTGTCCTGCCTCCTTCCCTCTCATCTCTTCCGTGATCAGCTCTTAAAACCGGAAGAATCCTTAGCAACGATCTCATCTGGCACCATGCCCAAGGAACAAGAACCATCTGCACCTTCCCTGCCTGTAGGAATCACCCAGTCTGGAAATCGCAGCACCACCATGGACTTGGTGAATGGGCCCTCCGCCATACTGTCCCCAGATCCAACTCATTACTGAGTGCTGGAAGCTGGGGACACTGTGGTTGTTAGCTACCAAATAGTTGCTCAAAACTCCCATATCCAATTTCAGGAATGAGTCCCTGCACCTGATATTTTATAAAATGTTACAGCTGAATTAGAATAGCCCCACCCCAGCACCCCCTGGACTGGGGTCAGCTGTGTGTATGGGATTTCTGACGGGGTCTGCTCTTACTCTCCCAGACCTCCTTCCAGGGCTGAGGCCACGTTGAGACTTTGGGCTGGCCCTGTGGGGTGCAGAGCCCAGGCTCCCACTCTCCCTGAGGCTTTCCAGCACAGCATCCCGGGTCTCACTGGAGCATGTGGCAAGGAGCTCATCCGCCCCACCTGGAACAGCAATGAAGCCACAGGAAGAGGAGGAGAAGGAGGTGCTCATGACAGAGCCAAAGGAGGAGCAGGTGCTTATGACAGAGCCACAGGAGAAGGAGAAGGAGGTGCTCATGACGGAGCCACAGGAGAAGGAGGAGGAGGTGCTCATGATGGAGCCACAGGAGGAGGAGGAGGAGGTGCTCATGACGGAGCCACAGGAGGAGGAGGAGCAGGTGCTCATGACGGAGCCACAGGAGAAGGAGGAGGAGGTGCTCATGACGGAGCCACAGGAGAAGGAGGAGGAGGTGCTCATGATGGAGCCACAGGAGAAGGAGGAGGAGGTGCTCATGACGGAGCCACAGGGGAAGGAGGAGGAGGTGCTCATGATGGAGCCACAGGAGAAGGAGGAGGAGGTGCTCATGATGGAGCCACAGGAGAAGGAGGAGGAGGTGCTCATGACGGAGCCACAGGAGGAGAAGAAGGTGCTCATGATGGAGCCACAGGAGGAGCAGGTGCTCAGGACGGAGATCTGGTCCCACCCCACCTGGAACAGCGACGAAGCCACAGGACGGGGAGGTGCTCATGACGGAGACCTGGTCCCGCCCCACCTGGAACAGCGACGAAGCCACAAGAGGAGGAGGTGCTCATGACAGAGCCACAGGAGGAGGTGCTCATGACAGAGCCCTGCTCCAGGCCAGGTTCCCGGCGTGGGGCTGTCCACTGCAGCCCATCAGCTCCTCACACCAGCTATGGCAGGAAGAAGGCACAGGCTGTCATGCCGTGCTCGGCCAGCATCAATGCAGGGAGTTGGTCTGTGGCGTCTCTGCTTCCAGGGAGGGGCAGGAAGTGACTGTGTCCCTTGGGCAAGGCTGGCTACCCGCACCTGCTGGAGCTGCCGGGAGTCACACACCAGTCAGGCTGGCGTTCGTTCCCCGGCCCAAGCAGTGTGCATGAGTCCATGCTGCCAGGGGCTCTCTGGCCTGTGCATTGCAGGGGATGGCTCAGCAGGTCCTGGTGTCAGGCTGGGACAGTGTGGCCTCTCAGGCTCTAGGGCAGCTGCAAAGGCTCTCTACTCCATGGCTTTGGGACTCCTTGCAGGGATTAGGGAGCCCAGCCCATACACAGAGGGAGCAGACACCCTGGGAGTCCCAGCCACACCTTCACCGAGGCTGCTGTCCATTGTCCCATCAAGGATGCCTGAGGGCAAACACTCCTTTTCCATTTAGAAACATTACAGACACACCTGTGTTTGTATTAAAGACATGCAGTTTCCTTCTGAAAACTCGGAGCACGGCTCCTCTAAGGGAGTCAGCCACCCGTAGAGCCAGGCTTGCTCCAGGGAGGTTCAGCCTCTGTCCTTAGATTTGTTCTCTGGAACAGTCCCCAAGGGGAGCTGAAGATGGCCATGGCAGGGGGTTCATAAGGGGAACGGAGGGCTTTGTTAGGGCTCCAGGAGGAACAGCTCTACCCGAGCAAGCTGCAGAAGCTTCCAGTCCATGGCTGCCTGGCATGGCTGAAGGCTGTTTCTTTATTAAATAAGACAACATCGAGAGACAACTGAAGAAAACTCACATTTTTTATGTCAGAACAAGCAGTGCACTCCTGGTCAGGTGTGTGGGCATCTGGATGGGCAGAAGGAGGCTCTCAGGACTCCTGTGCTCCTGAGAGTGGGGCTGCCAAGAACTGGATCCACAGGACAAGGAGAGCAGCCTCCCAGGCACATGAGATGTCCATGGAGCCCACAGGGCTGATAAGCACAGCACACAGAGGAGACGGCGATGATGGGAGTGTGAGAGGAAACCCCGGGATCAGGGGTCCTGGGGAGAAGTGACAAGACCAAATCCTCATCTTGGGGTGCCTAGGGGAGTAAACAGGGCCTCCTCCTCCAGCCATCCCGGATCTCTCTCTCTGTCACTCCCTCTCTTCCTCCTCATCCCACCTGCACCTCCATCTCAGGGCACTCACAGCTGGTGAGGGGCTGCTCACTTTTTGGTGTCTCCCTGTCTGTCTGCCTCCCTGGTGTCTCTCTGGGTGTGGTGGGCTCATCATGTTTGCCTCCCAGGCCCTTCCAGCAGAGCTGGGCCTGGGGTCTGTAGACCCCACACAGTACTGGGGGAGTTGTGGAGCAGCCCAGCAGCCCTAGTCTTTTTTCTCAACATCCCTGAGAAAGAGATGAAGCATGCTGAAGTCTTTCTAGAAGGAAGAAGGCTTCTAAAAAGCCAGGTGCCCCAGATGCCAATCTCAATGGGTCCTCCTGCCTGGAGGAGCATCTCCTCCTTGAAGTACTGTTCAGCCCAGAACCAGCTTTCTCCCGGGATGTTGGCTTCAGAACTTGGAAGATATTGTGGAAAGTTCTTGAGGGGGAGAACTGTGCTGGCTGTTCTCTGTGCCCTGCCACCTGGACCTGTTTGAGTTTTTGCTTTGCTTGGTGCTTGGCAGGAGCGAGAGACTGCTTCACCTGGGCTGCACCCAGGGCTCCCCTGCCTTCTGCTTATGACTGGATCTGGCCAGCAGGAATGCTAAAGGGGCACAGAACAACAGTAGGAGAAAATTTCATGCCCCTCCCCACTGTCTCACGTGGGCACCATGGCTCTGGCATGCTGTGCCCCCATGCCAGCCTCTCTCTCCTACAGCTCCAGTTTTCTCCCATTTCTAGTAAATGACAGCATTCTTTTCCACTCCTCTTCAGGCCTGGAAGGACTGATGCGTTCCTATATTTGCCAGTCTGCTGCCCTTAACCTTGCCTTTACCCCTCCAAAAAGTTGATTCATTAAATTTCTGCAATATCCCAGTTCAGTGTGTCTTTCATTCTGGGATCCTGTCTGATACAAATGTTTGCCTCTTTGTGATCAGTTTCATCTTGGGAGACAACTACATGTCTTTATGATGCCATGAAAGGACGATTTGCCATATGGCTGACTGCACATCCCAAGGATTTTAAGAGATGAGTAAACTGAATGGCTGCAGATATACCCCCCAATATTTCTCCTGAATAGGTAAAGCCTGTGTATTTATGGCAAAATTCAGCAGCATTAGGCAATGCTCATGTTTCTAATTTGCAGGCTTCTGAGTGCTGCCACACATTTATAATGTGGGGTGGGAGGGAGGCTTCTTACCCCTCTGAAAGGCTGCCTCATTAAGCGGAGGTTTCTTTGTGAAATAATCTGATGTGCTTTCCTCCCATTATAATAATCCCAGCTCGAGGCTCACCCACTCCAGCCTTCTCAGAATTCGTTGTCAAAAGTAACCATTCCTTCCTTTAAACTGACAACTTGCATTTAAGATAACCTAATAATCCAAATTTCCATAGGTAGCTTGTCTTCCCTACAGGTCTACAAACATCTCAAATGAGTTCCTTGTTTATGTGCCTGGGTTGATTAGCAAAAGCTTGCCAAGAGTGAGCTCAGAGGTGCTGTGCTCGTCCAACTCATTGGATGGACGGCTTTTGTACAGTAGTTTCAAACACACAAGCTCGTCCCTGCATTCTGAGAACACGAAGATCAATCATACATTGTCTTAGCAAGCTGGTGAAAGATCTGCATTCCATGATCTTAAAAAACAGCAGGGGGATTTTCACTTCCCTACAGTGGGTACAGTTACCAAGCATCTGACTTATTCTGAAAAGAAGGGGAAAATTCAATATTCGTGATTACCTAATGTTGCCATAGCTTGAATTACAAGTTAGAAAGACTTGGATTAGTCAGAATGGAATTCCCCACTAAGAAACAACCTGTTCTCGCCAAAGTAGTTTTCATTTTCTCTGTTTTGAATGTGAATATAAGTATTAGGTAGCTTTTTCTTACCAAAGGACAGAGGCTCTTCCCCTTTTCCTCCATGGACCCATGGGTCTTGATTCTACCAGCTGCTGTAAGGGAGCAGAACGCCTGCCATCTCCATTCTTCAGAGACTGCTTAGTTTTGAAGTTTGGAATTCTTGCTCTGTAATAAAACAAAATGAACTAAAATCATTTGGCCTCCTTATACCACAGGGGAGTTCTTGAGCTAAGAGTTACCCAGAATGACACTGGGAATGAAGAGTGTAAGCCGGCAGGAGAGGGTCTCACCTCCAGCACTGGTGCAGGTCTCAGCTCTGGCTGCCAGACGAAGAGGAAGGCCTGGAGAACTTAGGCAAAGAAATTGTAAAACATGCACCTGCTCACCCACATACACATAAACATACACTCACCCACACAGTCACATTCACACACAAACACACATACACAACCACACTCACACCCATTCACACATGCACACACTCTCACAGAGTCTCACACATTCACCTCACACACGCTCCCAGAATCACACAGACACCTCACACACACCCACACAGTCACATTAACACACACCCACACAACCACACTCACCCATTCACACAGGCACACACTCTCACAGTCTCACACATTCACCTCAGACTCCCACAATCACACAGACACCTTACACACACTGACCCAGATAGTCACATTCACATATATACAACCACTCTCACACCCACTCACACATGCACACCTTTCACACACATACACCTCATACATGCTTCCACAATCACACAGACACCTCACACACAGTCACACAGTCACATTCACACACTCACATATACACAACCACACTCACACCCATTCACATATGCACACACTCTCACACAGTCACACAATACACCTCACACATTCCCGCAATCACACAAGACAACTCATACACACCCAGTCACATACACACACTCATCTATACACAACCACACACCCATTCACACATGCACACACTCACACAGTCACACACATACACGTCATACACGCTCCCACAATCACAGATACCTCACACACACTCACCCAGTCATAGTCACATATACACAACCACACTCACACCCATTCATATATGCACACACTCTCACAGTCACACACAGACATCTCATACATGCTCCCACGATCACACACAGACATCTCTCACACACACACATGCTCCCTCAATCACACACAGACACCTCACACACACTCATACATACATGATCACACAATGGCACATAGACACTTCACACACACACACACCCACAAGATCAAACACAGACACCTCACACACACTCTCACACACACAGACATCTCACACATACACACATGCTCACACAATCACACACAGACAGGTCACATATGCCCAAACTCATACACCTAATACACATGCCCACACAAATACACACAGGCACCTCACACACACATACACCCACACAATCACACACAGGCACCTCACAGACTCACACACACTCACACAATCACACGCAGACACATCACACACGCTCACACTCATACACATGCTCACAACCACACACAGACACCTCACACCCTCACACACATGCTCACACTCATGCAGACACCTCACAATCACACTCATACACACGCTCATACAATCACACAAGAACACCTCACACATGCTTGCACTCACACAATGGCACAGGCACCTCACACATGCTCACACTCATACACACACACAACCACACACAGACACCTCACATGTTCACACACTCACACAGACATGTAACAATCACACTCATACACACGTTCACACAATCACACAAACACACACTCACTCATACACACACACTATCACACAGAAACCTCACACACATTCACACTCATAGACATGGTAACAATCACACAGAGACACCTCACACACTCACACTCATACACACTCACAATCACACACAGACACTTCACACATGCTCTCACACACACAGACACCTCACAATCACACTCATACACATGCTTATACAATCACAAACACCTCAAACATGCTCACACTCACACACATGCTCACACAATCATACACAGGCACCTCCAACCTGCTAACTCATTCACATGCTCACACAACCACACACACAGACACCTCACAATCACACTCATACACACGCATACACAATCACACACAAACATACTCACACTCATACACACGCTCACACAATCACACACAGAGATCTCACACACTCACACTCATAGACATGCTCACTCACTTCACACTCACACTCACATAATGACACACAGACACCTCATGCAGGCTCACACTCATACACACTGGCACAATTACACTCTTACACATGCAATCTGGACTAACTTGAAGGAGCATGGGCTTCTTTGATCCTGTGTCAAAAATCAACAGAACTGCAGGTCTGGTGACTTCAGGGACCCAGGCTCCAGCCATGGTCAGGAGGAGGAGCAGGTGGTCCCGCTCGTGAGAGCCGCCCTGACTGGCTCTCTGTCCCTCTATCCTCTGCCAGCTCGACTGCCTCTCTAGTCATCATCCCATTCCTCACCATTCTCCTGAAACCCGACCTTTACCTGCTCAGGGGCGTGGCGCAGGGCTGACTTCCAGGAGCCAGCGCAGCTGATGCCTGTTGGTGATTGTGCTTGTCCTGAGAACAGAACCTGGACCACAAACTGCAGAGAGCCCCCACGGAGGGCTGGGTGCTGGGGGTTGAAGGGTGTGAGGTGGACACCCTGTCTCTGAGGAGCTCTCCCACTGGCTGAGGGAGAAGGACCTTGCTGCAGCCCCTCACCCAGGCCATTTAGAAGTCTGCAGTGGAGTGGCAGAAGGAGCTCAGGCACCCCTGAGCCGTGCCAACACCAGGGAGCCAGTGGCAGCTGATTCTCCTTTAGTGATGTGGCCCCTCCCCAGGTCCTGCGGCCTGGGGCCGGGACTGCTGTCCATGGTGCTGACGCAGAACTTCAGTGATCCCAGTGCCCAAACAGCCATCGGCAGCACGAAAGGGAGGCAGGGAGAGGCTTGAAACGTTTCAAGATAAACCCTACCTAGCTTCGGTCTGAAAGAAACAAGAGGAAGTAAAGAAAAGGCAGCTTGAAGCAAAGCTGAAACTGCATAAAATCTTTCTAGAAAAGAAGCAATTGTTAGGGCCCTGTGGCCTTTGTACAGCACAGGCTGGGGTAGAAGCTGCCAACACGTCTAAGAAGCAGGAATGTCTTTGAACACCATCCTGGGGCAGCACTCTGAGTTCCATGATCGCACTCATTCCCTGAAGATCCAAATTCCAGTGTCTTCTGCTTTTCCCAAATCAAGTCTGAGAGAGATTTTTGCACCTACCCATCACCAAATGATTCAGGGAAGGCCACCTGCCTATGAATGGAAATGTGAGCTATAGGAAGTCAAGACAAAGCATCCGTGGAGAATCAAGGCAGCAATTCACTTTCACAAATCGCTAACACCTCTCATCGACCATCTGGCTCTGCCACAAGTTAAGCGAGCTTGTTAACTTGTTGGAGATGTGACTGCCAAATCAAGACATCCCCCAAGGGTGGATGGGGAAGGGGGTTTTCTCCAATAAGGGCAGACTGTGAATTAGGGATCCACGTGGAATCTAGCAAAGGAGCTACAAGGGGAAGCTGCTGAGCATGTGAAGAAGTGACCCAAGCTCCATTTTTCCCGGCATTTATTTACATAAATAGTTTACTTATATTCTAGAACGGGTTGAATCCTGTGTGTGCTGGGAATTTGAAGGAGATACTGAATTCAGAAACCCTTTAAAGAACAGATTTGGTTCAGGTATCAGATGATCGGGTATTGGAATGCTTGTACCTGAGCTCCTCCAAATCCCAACTTTACCCCTGCATAGGTGGTTGCTCCAATACTCTGGTATTAGCAAGTATTGCAGCATCCAGTACCACATGTACCGGGTTATTGATTTGTCCAATTCTAGCACAACAGGACAAGGTTCTCAGCATCTCAACCTTTCAAAGCTCAAAGGACATTTTACAAATTAGACCGTACTGACTATGCTTCCGATGTTCTACTAATTTGGTTCCTATGTGTGATTTCACATATGTGTACAGTATGGGAAAGCCAGAGGCTCACAGGATGGAACTATTTTGCTAAACCTATTGATAAAAATGTCTTTCCTTTACTCCTGAGGAGAGATGATATTATAATCCTCTCTGATGCTAAGTGAAAAAAAAAAAAACTATCCAAGCAGAGTGTTCCCCAGGTATTTGTGCTGACCTGAACCTCTACTCCAGGGAAGGTTTCTATTGATCAGACTATATGAGCCTCTTTATGGTTCCATGTGAAGAACATACAATAGGCCAACTTTTCATGGGTTTCTTTAGAGTCCACAGCCCCACCTGAATGTTGAATTGCTCAGAGAGTTTCTACCTGGAAAACAAAGGTCTTTATAATAATAATCCATTCCAAAGAGTTCAGTTTTTCTGTCCAGAGTTCGGTTACTGACAATGGTGTGACAGAGGACATATTTTTTCCCAAGAACGTTATTAACTTAGCCCTGACTTTCAGGTTTTATGCTACTCATATTAGTCACCCAATTTTCAATACATCTTGGTCAAGTTAAATATAAGAAATACATCCACATAAAACCAAAAAGCAATCCAAATGATAGATTCATAAGCAAGGCAGAATTTTCTCCTTCTTTATGAAAATGATAGTATTCTGTGAAGGAAGTAGGATAAAAACGATTGCTTTTACTGCAAATGCAATGGTCTAAGAGTTTGGATAGTTTTACGTAGGATCTGCTGATCACACAGCTTTTAGTAATAATGTTCAGAGAGGAAATATCACCATCCAATATGATGCTTCTCCCGTAATGTATCTAGCATGTCCCTATGTGGCATTGCTAGTGGAGAAAAATGCCTACAGAAAAGCAGCTAAGAAGGGCTTGTTTCACCTGCAAGTTTTGCTTTATTGATCTGTACGGCCCTAGCGGTCTCTTGTCTGTGGCGCCTCTCCTTGCAAATGATGTATGTGCGTTTTTACAGAGATCATCTGGAGACAAAGCCATAGCTTTAGAGAAGTGGCACTAATGCGCAGTTGCTGTGCAGCTTCTCTTGTCAATATGGCATCACTACCACCCTTTCTGAATACATTGCAAATGCAGTTGCTACATTGCAAACGCAGCCAAATTTTGTGTGAATTTCCCAGGAGTCCCTTCTCTGTACAGTGCTGAGTTAGAGTCATCCAAAGAGAAATATGTGCATGAGATTTGCAATATGAAATAGAGGAATGGACTTTCTTCTCCAAGGCAGTTGGAGACAGGATGTCGACAGAAGTGAAGTTCTTACCATCTCTAGCCATTGAATTTTTTGTGCTTGCACTTTGGGGTCCTGAAGCCTGAATCAAAATTCTGTGGCAGGCTCTAAGTGCCCATGGAGATGTGGAAATAAACACTATAGTTACTGTCCTCACAAAGCCCAAGCCTGTCATCAAAGGGGACCAATAACAACAATAAGTCCATTACCATGTGGCTTGTGCTACACACCTTGATGCAGGTGCTGAAGGGGCAATTGCCTGCCTTGTAGATGACAGTAGGCTTCCCCGGGGGTTGGGAGGTCCAATGCCTTGTAGATGACAGCAGGCTTCCCCCGGGGTGGGGAGGTCCAAGCCAGGATGGAGGGGTGGAGAGGGAGCTGTCACTCTTTGAAATCCTCCCAGAGAGTATGCTGATGCAGGGCCCTGAGAAAGGTAACCAGACTAACAAAAGATGTACGGGAAATACACGTGGAAAGCTACAAAACTCCAATAAAATAAATCAAAGAACTAAATGAATGGAGAAAACTTCCCTGTTCATGGGCTGGAAACTTGATATTTTTAAGATGCCAATTCTTCCAAAATTGATCTATAGATAAAGCACAGTATTATTCACAACACCAGCAAGTTACTGTGTGGATACTGACAAACTGGTCCTAAAGCTTATATGGTAAGATGAAAGACCAAGACTAGCCAACACAATACTTAAAAAAAATATATTGGAGGACTGACGGTACCTGACAATAAGACAGTAATCAAGACAGCACAGTATTGGTGAAAGAATAGACACATAGATCAATGGAACAGAATAGAGAGCCCAGAAATAAATCCACACAAATACAGTCAACTAATTTTTGACAAAGGAACAAAGGCAATTCAATGGAAAAAAAGCATAGCCTTTTCAACAAACGATGTTAGAACAACTGGATGTCAATGTGTGAAAAAAAATCTAGGCACAGACCTTACAACTTTCACAAAAATTAATTCAAAATGTATCAGAAAGCTGATAAAATGCCGTATTATAAAATATGTTGAAGAAAACATATAAGAAAAGCTGTGCGACTTTGAGTTTTTGGACACGACACCAAAAACATGATCCATGAATGAAAAAATTAGTGAGTTAGACTTTATTAACATTTTAAAACTTTGTTCTGTGAGAGAAACTATTAAAAGAAGGAAAAGCCAAGCCACAAGCTGGGAGAAAATATTTGCAAGATACACATCTGATAAAGGTTGATATCAAAATACACATCTGATAAAGGTTGATATCAAAATACACATATGATAAAGGTTGATATCAAAATACACATCTGATAAAGGTTGATATCAAAATACACATCTGATAAAGGCTGATATCAAAATACACATCTGATAAAGGTCAATATCCAAATACATAGAGAACTCTCAAAACTCAATAATGAGAAAAAGAAGCACAGTTTTTAAATTAGGCAGAAACACCAAGCAGACACTTCACCAAAGCAGATATACAGATGGCAGATAAACATATGAAAAGATGCTCAAAATCGAATCGCTTGAATCCAGGAGGCAGAGGTTGCAGTGAGCCGAGATCACGCCATTGCACTCCGGCCTGGGCAACAGAGTGAAACACTGTCTCAAAAAAATAAATAAACAAATAAAAAAAAGAAAAGATGCTCAACATCATTTTTTTTTTTTGAGACAGGGTCTCGCTTTATCATCCAGGCTGCAGTGTGGGGGTGCAATTATGGCTTACTGCAGCCTCAATCTCCTGAGCTCAAGTGATCCTCCTGCCTCAGCTTCCCAAGTAGCTGGGACCACAGGCATGCGCCACCATGCCAAGCTAATTTTTCAAAATTTTTGTAGAGATGAGGTCTCATTATGTTGCCAGGCTGTATCAAACTCCTAGGCTCAAGTGATCCTCCCACCACAGCCCCCCAAAGTTCTAAGATTACAGATGTGAGCCACAATGCCAAGCCTCAACATCATTTATTAGTGAATTGCAAATTAAACAACAACAAGGACAACTACACACACATTAGAAGGGCTAAAATCCAAAACTGACAATGCCCAGTGCTGACAAGGATGTGAAGCCACAGGAGCTCTCATTGGTTGCAAAATGCAAAGTGTGCAGCCACTGTGGAAGACAGGTTAGCAGTTTCTCACAATGCAAAACACAGCCATGCCACAGAGTTCTGCAATCACACTCCTAGGAACTTACCCAACTGATTTGAAAACTTATGATTAAGCCCAACTCTGAATGCAAATGTTTATAGCAGCTCCATTCATAATTGCCCAGAACTGGAAGCAATCAAGATGTCTTTCAGTAGGTGAATGGATAAACAAACTGTGGCCCATCCATTCATTCACTGTAATACTATTCAGAGATGAAAATAAGTGAGCTATCAAAGCGCAGAAAGATGTGGAGGAAACTTGAATGCACATTACTGAATGAAAGAAGCCGATGTGAAAAGACTACAGACTTTATGACCCCAATTAT
This sequence comes from Homo sapiens, assembly GCF_000001405.40. Classification (NCBI taxonomy): domain Eukaryota; kingdom Metazoa; phylum Chordata; class Mammalia; order Primates; family Hominidae; genus Homo; species Homo sapiens. The sequence continues at coordinate 130,919,497 of NC_000010.11, read as the reverse complement.
ATGACATTCTGGAAAAGGCAACACCACAAAGGCAGAAAAACAATTAGTAGTTTCCAGTAGGAAGGAGCCACTTCAGGAGGGAGAAGAGAGCTTTCTGGAGACAGAATAAGTGAAGTACAGGAGGCTTTTAGAGTGGTAAACGTGTACTGTATATACTCTAATAGTGATGGAATAGGTGAAGTACAGGAGATTTTTAGAGTGGTAAACATGTACTGTATATACTCTAATAGTGATGGAATAGGTGAAATACAGGAGACTTTTAGAGTGGTAAACGTGTACTGTATATACTCTAATAGTGACAGAATAGGTGAAGTACAGGAGATTTTTAGAGTGGTAAACGTGTACTGTATATACTCTAATAGTGATGGAATAGGTGAAATACAGGAGATTTTTAGAGTGGTAAACGTGTACTGTATATACTCTAACAGTGACAGAATAAGTGAAGTACAGGAGGTTTTTAGAGTGGTAAACGTCTACTGTATATACTCTAATAGTGACGGAATAGGTGAAGTATAGGAGGTTTTTAGAGTGGTAAATGTGTACTGTATATACTCTAATAGTGACGGAATAAGTGAAGTACGGGAGGTTTTTAGAGTGGTAAACGTGTACTGTATATACTCTAATAGTGACGGAATAAGTGAAGTACAGGAGATTTTTAGAGTGGTAAATGTGTACTGTATATACTCTAATAGTGATGGAATAAGTGAAGTACAGGAGATTTTTAGAGTGGTAAACGTGTACTGTATATACCCTAATAGTGACAGAATAAGTGAAGTACAGGAGGTTTTTAGAGTGGTAAATGTGTACTGTATATACTCTAATACTGACGGAATAGGTGAAATACAGGAGATTTTTAGAGTGGTAAACGTGTACTGTATATACTTTAATAGTGACGGAATAGGTGAAATACAGGAGGTTTTTAGAGTGGTAAATGTGTACTGTATATACTCTAATAGTGACGGAATAGGTGAAGTATAGGAGGCTTTTAGAGTGGTAAATGTGTACTGTATATACTCTAATAGTGACAGAATAAGTGAAGTACAGGGGATTTTTAGAGTGGTAAACGTGTACTGTATATAGTCTAATAGTGATGGAACAGGTGAAATATAGGAGGTTTTCAGAGTGGTAAACCTGTACTGTATATACTCTAATAGTGATGGAACAGGTGAAATACAGGAGGTTTTTAGAGTGGTAAACGTGTACTGTATATACTCTAATAGTGACGGAATAGGTGAAATACAGGAGGTTTTTAGAGTGGTAAACGTGTACTGTATATACTCTAATAGTGATGCATAACATTATGCATGTGTCAAAACCCATAGAACTTCACAGAATAAAAAGTGATCCTTAATGAATGAAAACTTAAAAAGTGACTGAGGAAGTCAGGGACCCCAGGAAGAAATGCAGACTGTGATAAGACATGGGTAATATCTGCTGCATTACAAATATATAAAGCAACCTCACTGAACCAGGTGGGGAGGGGCTGACTTAAGCAACTTTAGAAATGAGTGGCCACTGTGAGACCATAGGCAGAGGGAACTCTATGGAAGAACCAGACTCTAGTTGATAATGTTCCTCCCCACACAAGAATACCTGCTAGCAATTCAGATACTTTCCCAGATACGCTGGAACTGAACAATTAAGTAAATGACCGGTGGATGGGAGCACCTGATTTTTCAATACTGGAGTGGAAGGGAGGAGTTTAGAATGATCCCCTTGCTACAGATTAGAGTTGGAGGCATCACTAAGAACTCATGTTTAACTTAAAACAGAGAAGTGTGTTTTCATGTCTTACAGACGTAGAAATATGTGGATATATGTTTATATACATGGATTAGTATATGTGTATATATTTCCTTGCTCCATCAGCTCAGAGGGTCTAAAAGAAACAATACTCCAGCAGCTATAAGCACACTGAGCACCCAGCCTTTGTTCCTGGCACCATAATCCAACAGAAGGACCCAGGGCTTCTTGGAGAAATGGCTAATTCTATGGAGTGAGGTACCTTCCAGATCAGCTGGAAGCCTCTGATAGTGCCGGAGAGTAAGAAGGCACAGCAACCGCCACCATCACTAGCACCACAAACCCCCACAATGATAGGGGTGTGTCATGGGGGCACATGAGTGAACTGAAGGAGCACCCAATGGCCAAAGCTCAAGCCATTTCAGCAACAAAAGAGTAAAGGAGTATTGGATTATAACCCATAGTCTAAAATCAATACTCATGAGTTGATGCTAATGTACTCAAGGATGACTGGTTTCTTGTGGCTGTTGTAACAAATTACCACAAACTTGGTGTTTTAGGGAAAAACATTCTTATCTCACAGGTCTGGGGCCCAGATTCAGTATCGCTGGGCTGAAATGCAGGTGGTGGCAGGTCCTCTTCCGGCAACCCATGGCTGCTGCATTCCTTGGCTTGTGGCCACTTCCCTTTAGTCTTCAAGCCCAGAATCTGCAAACCTCCCTGTTCCATCCTTATGTCTCTTTCTCCACTGCATAACTCCCCACTCCTTGGGCTGCCAATGGCAACTTCCCTCAAAAAAGTACAGTGTGCAAAGGAGGAGAAGCCTCAGAGCACTTCAGCCAGGTGACCAAGGTCAACATTGAGAGGCGTAAGTCCCGATGGGACGCACGACGGATGTGCTGTGATAAAAGTGATACTCTCTCTCTGTGACCTTTGCCCAGTGCACAACCCCAGTTACTCATGCAGACAATACCAGAGAAATTTCAACAGAGGGGCATACAAAAGATGCCTAATCAGTACTCCCTGAAATTGTCAAGGTCATCAGAAACAAGGAAAGGCTGAGAATCTGTCACAGACAAGAGGAGCCCAAAGAGACATAAAGAGACATGACAGTGAATTGGGATGAAGCATGTTGGGTGGCATCTTCGTACAGAAAAAGGACAAAGGCTAGGGAAATCTGAGTAAACTACGGACTTTAATTAACAGAAATTTCCTGTTACTTCTTCATTAATTGTGACAAAAGTGTCATACTACTTCAAGATGTCAGTAATGGAGGGGACTAGGCATGCAGCGTGTGGAAACTCTGTGTCTTCTCACTATTCTTTAAATCTAAAACTATTCTAAAATATAGTCTACTTAAAAAAATCAGCCAGAAAAGAAAAATAAGAGGAATCCCCTTCAAGGAGTCCCCTTCAGTCCTGGACCACCCACCCGGGAAAAACACCTGTCTCTCTGGGTTCTCATTCATTCTCAGGATGGAAAGAGCAAATGCACAGGGCTGTTGTATGGGCAGCTCTAGAAGCAAATCCTTCTAGTTTCCTCTGCTCCAGTTTGTTCTGAAATTGCTCATCTCCAAATTTTGATGTGAGATTTGGAGAGGAAAGACTTTCTTTCTAAATGCACATGTTGTTGTACATGTTGCTAGAAGAGAAGCAGTTGTTAAGCAGCCCAAAAACTTGAGAAACGCCCTGCCCTGAGCAGGTTCCATGGCTGCCCCTGCTCTGGGGAAAACTGGCCAGGGAGCTTTATTGCTGTGTAGCTTTTCTTTCCCCATCAGGTTCAGAAGTGGGATTAACCAACCCCTCATCTCCTGCAAACAAGCCTTGGTCACTTAGAGGTTGTCAGACGTTGAGCTGCACGCTTGAAGTTGTAGAGCCAACCTTCCAGCAATCATGGCAGAGCATGCCTTTCCTCCCTCACTGGCCTCACAGCCCATCTATATCAGCCAGACAGCTCACAATCCTCACCCACTTTGTGACTCCCTCCTTCCTTCTCTTGGAACTCTTGCAGTATCTCTGTGCAAGAACATCTTCCTGGCAGGCCAGCAGAGTCCCAGTGCACAGAGTGAGGAAGCATGTCTCTACTCCCAGGGCAGACCTCAGTGATGGTCCTCAAGCCCAGCAGCATCTGGGCTTGGCCTCTTGCTAGCTGCAAAAACACCTAAATTCTCTAAGCCCCAGTTATCTTGTCTATAAAATGACCCCATAGAGTTGCTGCAAAAATTGATGAAAGTAAAGAACTTAGCAGAGATATGGGCATAGATCGTGTCAAAAACATCCCCAATAATTTTGTTTTCTTTGCATTAAAAAGAACATGCAGCTTGTATTAGCTTGATATATGAAGCTGGCACTGAGAGAATTCATTGTAAACCATGTGTTATCTTTAGTCTTTGTTATGAGCCAATGGTCTGCATGCCTTTTGAGGACAAAGATGCGTCTGTCCCTGCACCTTGACCCAGGTGCTCCCTAACTTCCCACTGGCCTGTGGGGCAGGCTGGGGAGGTGGGTTCAACGTCTGGATTGACTTGTTGCTGTCTTCATGCTACTCAGGAGTCTCTTTACAGACGACGGTGAAATATTGGTGTGTGTGTTTGGGGTGTGAGGAGGCAGGACGGAGGATCGTCTATGCCACTTTGGATGTAGAGTTTTGAACATTCTTTTTTTCTGTTGGAACATGACTTCATTTTAGTTTCTCTCCAGTGAGCTCACCAGCTTCAGAACCTTCTTCTCAATCTAGCAGCATGAGGAGGGGGCTCTCTGGCCCCTAGTGAGAGTTTTGCAGCCCCTTCCCTGCAGGGTATTTTGCCAGATCCCTCGTTTTGCTCTGTATCTTCCAGTGATTCTACCTCCTCTCCCTCATGCCTGGGGAGGCCTCCTCTCCCTCATGCCCAGGAAATTCCCTGTCCCATTCAGGTCATCCCTCTGTAGGGGACTCCTGTACCCCAGACAATGACAGCTTCTTCGTCCATGCACTGGATTGCTGACTTTCCATCCATTCGTCGGCCATTTATCAAAAGCTTAGAAACTGCAGGTTCTGGCTGAGGTTGGGAGCTAGAGTGACCCCACAAATTCATCCTTGCCTTGCTGGGCACAGGGTTGAGACAGAAACACAGACATGTAAATGGTTCATGCTGCTTTGGGGCTGAATTAAGTAAGTGCCACAGCCTGATTACAGCAGTGTGTCTGGGGAGGGTTAATTCTGGCTGAGAGAGCAAAGACAAAGGTTTGATTCAACAAACACTTTCCTGAGCTTGCAAATAAGGAGCTGCCATCTCCACAATGAAACGGGAAAAAATGATGTTGAATATGGCAAAAAATCAGGGAGGCAGAGATATAGCTTCCACCTGTGAGAGAAGTAAAATAAATCGTGACATTTTGATGAAATGTCTCAATGGTGGAGAGATACAGTATTTTTACGGTGCTGCAGGTACATTGTAATTGATCAAAAAAAGCCCTTTCAACATGGAAAGCTTTCGGGTCCATAGCTGATCCAGACCATAAATTGCATTGATTGTGTCTTTCAGTTCACATGCCTGACTTGGGGAGAGTATTGAGGAAGTTTTTGATGGATTTGCTTACTTTTCCTCAGGTCTCTAAATAGAGCCATGGGGATGGCAGTGGTGCCTGGAGTGTGATTCAGGCATCGCGTCTTAGAGGTCTGAGCCCAGCTCTCAAGGTCCCACATTCAAGGTGTGCAAGGAAGGGATGTGTGGGAACCTCCCTGGGCTGGGCCTCCCCAGGGAGCCTGGGCCTGGCAGCACAGGTGACTGCATGGTGTCTTGCAGATCCGAGCCAACCTTTCTCCTCAACCCGGACTGCTGTGCCTGCAAGCAGCTCAGTGCTCATACAAATCCTGTTCAGGGAGCTGGTGCTGTGTCTTCCATGTGCATCTGCACTGTCTGCAATTGGGTGGTTGGTTCTTCCCTGAGGGCCACCCACTGGACAGACCCCAAGGGGATCTCTGTGGTCTTTTTGTGCCAGGGCTCCTCTGTAAATAAAGCATCCTAGGAGCTTGGGGATAGGTACCGAAGAAGACAAACTCAGCCTTTGACAATTTAGGAAATTTGTCCTTCTTGTTCCCATGCTTCCCTAGCCTCCAACCCATCTCAGGAAGAAAGAGAGTTTTCAGGGAAACTTAATGATGAGCCATTGACCATATATCAGCCTTACCTCCAAGCTCCGTCTCCCTAATCATAGTGCAGTCCTCACCTTCAGGCCACCGTGACAGCCCACTCGGGATAGCTTTTCAAGCTTAGCATTTCTGAAATATTTCTTTGGAATTCCTGATGTTTTAGAATCTATACCACTAATTAATTTGTCTAAATTGTTGACATTCCTACCATTCTCAGAACGAAACCTGAAGTCCCTTTGTCATCTTGTCAACATTGAGCTGCCATGTTCATGCTACTGGTGATTAATTAGCTCATTCATTTACTTGACAGTGATAGTGTGGGGAATGCTATGTGTCAGGTGCCATCCCGGGAACTGGAGGATGGAGACTGGATCAGACAAGGTCTATACCTTTACCTGCTCACCTTCTGGCTAGCATTGGAGGAGGCCACCTCTGCCAGGAGAAAGGGGGACATCCCCCAAGGCAGCCTCATAGGAGAGCCATGAGGCTTCTTCCAGGCACAGCAAAGGGCAAATTCATTTCAAATAGGATCAGTTGCCAATTTGAGGCTCATATTACAAAAATATAGTATGAATGCATCATTCCATGAACAAATATTGGTGCACAACTTTAATTTTTGAAGCAGTCTGTCACCAGTATCAATCAAGAAAGGGGGAGGAGAAACAATAAAACTAAGCCATGAGTGTGAACTATCAAATGAACAGGATGCGGGCTTTTATAAAGAGAGAGGGACCTAATGTAGGCTATTTGGCATCAAGAAAAAATAAACATAAACTCCCCAAAAGGTTTCTGATTAAAACACAAAAAAGAGACTCAGTGTCATTTACTCTAGTTCTGTTTTATTCCAGGTTACCTGAGACTCTGGAATACAGTGACACAAAGCAGGGATTCTCATGATATCCTCAATGGGAGAGAAACAGAGAGAGGCAAGAGTTAGGGGAACTGCCTATCACCCACAGCCCAAGTCAATGCCACTGTCATGTCTAGTGGGAGCAATTGAGAGAAGGCCGGCAGCTGCATATGGCAGCAAGCAAAATGGTGAGCCAGCTAGAAACCCAACAGAGAGCCACAGAAAGAGACAGTCGCAGAGAGCCCTGCTGGGGCCAGTGCAGGTCTTAAAGAGGAGACAAGAGACAACTCCAGTGAAGAGACTGATTTTAGTTGGATCAGACTGTGGAGCAATTTATGCCCCAGGATGTTGTCAGAAACCATAAAGCAATCAGGTAGACATTGGTAAAGGATAACAGCTGGCTGTGGAACCAACACAGGCCAATGAGCGAAAGGCCTAACCAGTGAGCCAGAGGAGGAGAACATCACCAAGCACTCGGCTGGAACCACCATTATCCCCGGAGAAGGGAGGTCAGGGTGGCATGGCCATGGCCAGGCTCTCTAACGAGTGACATCAGGGGCTGCATACTGCTGTGGAAAGAGACTTCACTGAGCTGATTCTGTCAAGTCATTAAAGAAAAATAAAGTCAACAAGTCAACAACAAAATAACAAGCCCTAGGTTGCTACCACATGTATATATTTTTTAATGCCCAGTTTTTTACAATATAAAAAAACAAGAGGCATACAAAAACACAGGAAAGTGTGACACATACACAGCGAGAAAGAAATAAAACAAAACAAGGCAATTAAAGCTACCTTCCAGAGTGTGTAGAAATAGCAAAAATGTCAAGCAGCTATTAAAAATAAGTTAAAAGAACTAAAAGGAGCAATGTTTAAAGAAATCCAGAAAGGCATAATGTCAATGTCTCAATAAATAAAGAATAATGATAAAGAGATAACAAGTAAACATGTGTTGAAAAATACCATATCCAAAATAAAAATGTCACTAAAGGGACCCAATAGTAGATTTGAGCTAGCAGAAGAAAACACCAGAAAACTTCAAGATGGATTGATAAAGATTGTGTAACTGGAAGAATGGAGATAAATAGTAATAAAGAAAAATAAACAAAACCTCAGGGAAGTGTGGGATACCATTAAGTGTACTAAGGCATACCAGAAGAAACTGTGAAGAGAAAGGAATAAAAAATACTCAAAGAAATAATGGCTCAGGCTGGGCGCAGTGGCTTATGCCTGTAATTCTAGAACTTTGGAAGGCTGAGGCAGGTGGATTATCCGAGGTCAGGAGTTTGAGACCAGCCTGGCCAACATGGTGAAACACTGTCTCTACTAAAAATACAACAAATTAGCCGGCGTGGTGGTGAGCATCTGTAGTCCCAGCTACTTGGGAGGCTGAGGCACAAGAATTGCTTGAACCTGGGAGGCAGAGGTTGCAGTCAGCTGAGATCACACCACTGCACCCCAGCCTGGGGAACAGAGTGAGATTCCATCTCAATAAATAAATAAATAAATAAAAATAATGGCTCAAGTCTTCCCAAATTTGATTTTTTAAAAAACCCTCTCATCTACATATCTAAGGAGCTCAGTAAATATTCAGTAGGATAAACAAACATATCCACATCTCGACACATCTTACTCAAAATGTTGAAGGAGAGAAGAGAAAATATTGGAAAGACTGAGAGAAAAATGACTCAGCATGTACAAGGGAACCCCAGTGAGATGAACAGATGACTCCACGTGAGGAACAATGGCAGCCAGAAGTCAGTAGTACAATGTGTTCAAGGCCCTGAAAGGAAAACTGTTAACCAAGAACCTTATTAAGAGAATAACACAGAAAATATAGTGAAAACTAATGAAAATAATTAAAACATTACTCTAGAGAATATTCACTTAATACAAAAGAAAGCAGTCAAGAATAATCAAAGCAATACAAAAAAATAGGAAACAGTTTAAAAAGTAAAATAGCCATAAATCCAATTATATCAATAATAAAGTGGTGACTGGATTGGTCAGTGCATTCAAAGGACAAAGATTGTCAAACTAGATCAAACAAAGAAACAAACAACACAATCCAGCTATATTCTGTCTACAAGGCAGGAAAAACATTTAAATTCAAAGATATAAGTCCGTTGAAAGTAAAAGTAATTACTTGCAAATTGCAACCCTAAGAGAACTGGAGTGGCTATGCTAATATCCGACAAAAAGGATTTTAAAACAAATGTATTGCTAAATGGAAGGAGGGACGTGGACATGCATGTGCCGAACAAGTTCCAAAATGCTGGAGCAAAAACAGACAGCACTGATGGGAGAGGTGCTCAATTCATACTCACTTCAACCGTATTAATCTGGAGACTTCAATACCCGACTTTCCCAGAATGGATGCAACCGAGCAGAAGAGCAACAGGATGCAGAAGGCTTGAACAACTTCCTCTAGCAGGCATCTAAAGAGCACTCCGCCCACCACCAGCAAAATGCACATTCTTTCCAAGCCCACATGGAAAATTCTCCTGGATAGAACATATGCCAGGACATAAAATAAGCCTCAAAAATTCATAAGGAATAAAATTCTACAAAATGTTTTTCCAACTGCAGTGGAGTAAAACTAAAGCTGGACAACTGAAGGAAATGTGTAAATTTACAAACGTGTGGAAATTGAGCCACACACTTCTAAATAACCAGGGGGTCAATGGAGAAACCACAAGAGAAATTAGAAAACGTTTTGAGGTGAGTGAGAGTCAAAACGCAACAAGCCAGCACTTCTGAGACGCTGCTAAAGCAGTGCTTAGAGAAAATTTGCTGTCAACTCCTATTTTAGCAAAGAAAAGATTCTCACCTAAGCTCCCATATTAAGAAATAGGAAGATGGTGGGTGCACAAAACATAAAGCAAGCAGAAGGGCAGACGCAATAGAGATTAGAGTGGAAATAAGTAAAACAGAGGATAGAAAAATAGAGAAAACTAACAAAAACAAACTTGGCTCTTTGGGAATATCAGCAATGTTGGAAAACTTATTACACTAAGAAAAAAAAGACTCAATAAAATAAAGAATTAAACAGCAGACACTGCTATAGACCTTACAGAAATGGAAAGAATTCTCAGGGAATACTATGAACAATTGTATGTTGACACATTAGATAACTTTGATGACGTAGAAAAATTCCTAGAAAGAAAATACCAAAATGGAATTAACAATAAATAAGAAATCCAAACAGATGTAAAACAAATAAAGGTAAAATACCCCACAAAAATAAGCCGAGGCCCATGTGGTTTTCCTGGTAAATTTTACCAAACATTTAAAGAATTAACACCAATTCTTCACCAACTCTTCACAAATTTTAGGTAAAAGAACCATGTCCTGCCCCATTCTATGAGGCCAGTATTACTCTATACAAAAAGCAAAAACTCCAATAAGAAAGAAAGCTACCACATAATATCTGTTATGAATAATCACTCAAAAACCCTCAACAAAATACATTGCAAATTGAATCTAGCAACTCATACAACGTTTGCCTTGGGTTAGGCAAAATTTTCTTAGATATGACACTAAAATCACAAGAGACTAAAAAAAATAAACTAGACTACGTAAAAATGAAAAATGTTAGGGCTGGCACTGTGGCTCATGCCTGTAATCCCAGCACTTTGGGAGGCCAAGGGGAGTAGATTACGAGGTCAAGAGATCGAGACCATCCTGGCCAACATGGTAAAACCCCATGTCTACTAAAAATACAAAAATTACATGGGCTTGGTGGCACGCACTTGTAGTCCCAGCTACTCGGGAGGTTGAGGCAGGAGAATTGCTTAAACCTGGGAGGTTGCAGTGAACCAAGATCATGCCACTGCACTCCAGCTTGGGTGACACAATGAGACTCCATCTCAAAAAAAAAATAGAGGAAAAATGTTTGTGTTTCAAAGGACACCATCAAGAAAGCAAAAACACAGCCCAAAGATAGGAGAAAACATTTTCAGATTATATATCTAATAAAAGACATATTCAAAATATATAATAAATCTTAACAACTCAACAATGAAAAGTCAAATAACCCAATAAAATGAGCAAAAGATCGGAATAGACATTTCCTCAGAGAATACATACAAATGGCCTATAAACACATGAAAAGATGCTCAGCACTGTTAGTCATTATGGAAATGGAAATCAAAGGCACAAAGGACACCGCTTCACACCCACGAGGATATTGAAAATAAAAAAGACAATCTCAAATATTAGTGAGGATGTAGAGAAGTTGAGAAAATCAAAATGCCCTTTTGTATATTGCTGGTGGAAATGTACAATGATGCAATCACTTTAGAAGTTTGAATTCTTTAAAATGTTAAACTTAGAATTACCATACCACCCAACAATTCCAATCTTAAATATCTACTCAAGAGGAATGAAAATATACACCTCACAAACTTGTACATAAATGTTCATAACAGCGTTATTTATAATAGCCTAGAACGTGGAAACAACCTAAATGGTCATCAGATGATGAACAGATAAATAAAAGGTGACGTATCTAAATAATGGAATATTATTATGCAATTAAAAAGAAGAAAGTACTGATACATGCAGCAGCCTGGATGAACCTGAAGACATGATGCTGAGTGAAAGGAATCAGTCACGGCTGGGCGTGGTGGCTCACGCCTGTAATCCCAGCACTTTGGGAGGCCGAGGCGGGCAGATCACCTGAGGTTGGGAGTTCGAGACCAGCCTGACCAACATGGAGAAATCCCGCCTCTACTAAAAGTACAAAGTGAGCCGGGTGTGGTGGCGGGTGCCTGTAATCCCAGCTACTCGGGAGGCTGAGGCAACGACATGGGTGAATCTCAAATACATTTTACCAAGTGAAGGAAGCCAAACTCAAAGGTTACGTGCTACGTGATCCCATTTCTATGGAAGTACGTGAATAGGAAACAAGTCATAGCTTGCAGGAACGGGGTGAGAGGAGGAGCTGACCACAGATGGGAAGCAGAGGGATTGCCAGGATTGGGAAGGATTTGCTGTGATCCAGGGTGTCACGGCTTTTGCATCTGCAAAATCTCACCAAACTGTCCACTAACAAGCAAACTCTGCTGTGTGTAAAGTATCCTTCAATAAACCTAACTAAACAGAAGAGAATAAAAGAAATGCAACATAAATCCCCTGCAATACCATCCTTTTCATCTCTCAGATTGGCAGAACTAAGAACGACTTCACACGAAGGAAAAACAACAAAAAGTTGGTGTGAAAACAGGAGGAAGCTGGCTGCACCTCTTAGGGTCAGTCTTTCTGGAAAAATGCATTTCCTGAAATAACACATCTGACCTGCCCCATTGGTGTGGGGCAGCAGGGAGGCCCCCAGCTCTGCAGAGGACTGAGAATGGCACTTACTGGCTTCAGAGTCACATCCAGAGGGGTCTGATCAGAAAGGCAAATTCTGGGACTTCACAAAAAGACCCCAGAGCACCTTTGTTCTGAAAATGAAACCTGGGACCATCAGAGCCTCTTTAACATGCAGAGCGTGCACCCTCCGCTATGCATCGCCCTGGGCTAGATACCCGGCCCCAGGAGGGCCTGCAGGCTGCGTTCTCACAGCCCAGCATCCCCCAGGGCTGCTTCATGCGTGAGGAGGGATAGACTCATGTCTCCTTCAGAGCCTCGGAACACACCGGGGAGCAGCTCAGAGCATGTTAGCTCAGCCAGAGCCTCACGGAAACTGGGAGGATGGTTGCTCTGTGACGGTCACTGTAACAGGTGGGAAAACTGACACTAGAGATAGGAAATCACTCATCCCAACTCACCTCACCTGACTAGAGGAGATGGCTCTGAGGGTGGTCTGTCTGGCCCCCAACTGCACTTTCTTCCCCTCACCTCGAAGGAAGAGAATGAGAAGGAACAAAGAGAACGTGAAGAGGAGGAGACGCTCTTGGCCCCAAGCCCTGAGCTCTGTGGCCCCATGTGGACAAGCTTAGGCTCCACCATTGCACAGATCAGAGCAAGCAGCGCTCCGGAGAAGCTTCAACGACCTGCCCACATTCTCAGACAGTAAATGGTCCATCCACAGCTGGAACTTGGGGGTTAGTAATCCAATCACAGGTGGCTTTCATACTATCTGCTGCCTCCTTAAACTCTGCCAAAATGTTTACCCAGAAAAGTGAGGCCTGAGAGACAGTTTTGAACAATCCATGATTAACAGTTTGCTGCTCCCTCCTCAGATTCCTAAAACTCTGTCTGCAGCCCTTTTGCAGGTATCAATGATGGACTACTTTGCAGCAGTTCTTCAATTTCCAATGAGCTGATACCCACCTCCTGCAATGCGTCTTCACTTCTCCCAAATCATTTTCTCCACCCTGTCCCCTGAAGCCAGAGAGCCTGCCTCTGACGCCTCCATGTCCATAGTTGATGGAAGGGTTTTCTCTGGAGACAAGAGAATTTTTCCTGAGCCTGTACTCCAGCAAAGGCAGAGTCTGGACGGAAACTGTGTTGGAACGGGCCAGCTTATGCTGCAGGAACAGCTGCTCCTCAGATCCTGGGGGCCTCTAGCAATGGAGGCTCACATCCCTCTCACTCCGTGTCCATCATAGGCCAGATGGGGTGGCCCAGGGACTTTGCTCTGTGGCCCCCTCTGGACTCAGCAGGTGGAAGGCCACTGTCTTGAAGTGAACTGCTCCCGGTGGGAGCTGTGGCAGGGTCTCTGTGCCAGAAGGGACTCTCCTCATCTCCACTCCTGACTTGTTGGCCAGGACACGTCACTAGTCTCCCCCACCCCAAAGGCAACCAACCAGAACCACCCTACATGGGCCCAGGTCAGGGAGAACGGGACAAATCCAACAAACGGGACTGACGTGGTGAGCAGAGAGGCACATGGAGGCGTCACCACGAGCCTGCTGTGGAGCAGACATGTGCACTTATCAAAAGTGACCCAGAGAAGGGCTGCTGGTGGCAGAGCTGCAGAGACCTGAGGGTGCTGGAAAGCCCTTCATCTGCCACCCGTCCATTCATTCAACAAACAGCTAGCACCTGCCATGAGCAGGTCAGTCCTACCTGCTGTTTACATAAGGTAAGCCCTGAGAAATCCCTGTCGGGCTGGGGAGGCAGATGAGGTCACGGAGCACACTGGCTTGTCCCGAGGAGGCGGTGGCACAGGTGAGCACAGATGGGGCCTGAGCCCCATCCAGGGAGGGGAGGGGGAGGTCAGGGAGGACTCCTGGCCTCCTGGAGAAGGGGTGCCCGAGTGAGTCTGGATCCAGGGAGGGTTAGGCAGCCAGCAGGGATATCCAGGCAGTAGGGGCAGAGGCTCGGCGGGGATGGCCAGGGAGGACAGGGCAGCTGAGAACCGAGTGGGGAGCAGAGGACAGGGCCAGAGCAGGGGTGTGGGAGGACCATCTGCCAGGCTAGGAAGTGAGAGAGTGATCCTGAAAGCCAAGAGCTTCTGCAGAATTCAAAGCAGAGAAGTTGAGCCCAGATGCATTTCATCACTTTGCTCTTCCAGGTTTAACAGGAGGAGCTCACTGTCTGACCCTGGGGCTGTCCCTTCCCCCTCTCTGGTCTCCTTAAGTCCCTATCCACAAAACATTCTATGTTATCACTTAGATCTCTTCCAGCCCCAACTTGCCAGGATTTCTGACTGTGATCATCAATGAAGCCATGGCCCTCCCACCGCATGCTGCCACGGTCTAGCCTGGGCTGTCTACAACGTAAGTGGGGTCTCATCTATGGCCGAGAGGGCTTCAGAACGTCTCGGGTGCCCAGGAAAACAAGGACTTTGAGAATGATGCTGTCCACCCTGTGACCCACTGTGGCCCTCCCCACAGAGGAGTGTAGACGTATCCACGGGGCCTGGGGTCTAGAGGGTCTGTCTACCCATCAGGAAACAAGGCAGGGCAGTGGGGATCAGCCATCCCTGCATGGGCAGCCATACACTGAGTCCATGGTGAGCCAGCAGCAGGGAAGCCAGCTGCCGCCCTGCTGAGGATGGGGGAAGGACGCCTGCCGCCCTGCTGAGGATGGCCCCGATAGAAATGGTCTCAAGATGCTGACCACTATGTGGCTTGGGTGCAGCATTATCAAGGAATTTGTGAGAGGGCTCTTGTATGCTTCAGCTTCTGCTCAGAGACTAATGTCTGTGGCCCCTCCAATGCAGGAGGCCACCACCCCTGCACCAGATGGGCCCTGGCCTGGAGGGGTGGGGTCACCGACTCAGGGGCAGGGGCTTGGCAGGTGGGAAGGCAGGGCCAGCTTTCACCCTGGAGTGGGGAGCTGACTTCCAAAGTCCCTTGATGAAGCCTGCCTCCTTTTAAGCAAATAAAAGCATTAGCCCTCTGAGGCTCTGGGTTTGGGGGTGCTAGGGCTGCTTTAGAGCAGGGTAAGAGCTGACTTGAGCTGTCTGCAGAGGGTGCAGTGGGGTGGGTCCTTAGGGAAGGGCTCAGAAAGAAAGGTCATGGGTCCAGTCTTGAGCCAAGGATAAAAGGCAGAACCTGCAGAGGAACAAGCCTGTGCCTTCCAATAAGCACTGTCCTCTGACACCTGGGCCACCGGAACATCTGGCTTATTCCTCCATTTCTGGTCTCCATAGACAGACTGCAATCCCTGCCCCACTCACTCTCAGCACTGACGTAAACATCATGTGTAGAGGGCATGGTCGTCAGGATGCGGGGCCACAGTCAGGTTTGTCCCCATCCAAAAGCCCCATGCAGGGGCCACAGGGCTCTTTTTAGACCCAAAGGGCAAGGAGCACCTGAGCCCTTGGCAGGTAACTGTCCTCCATGTGCCCTGCACCCTGACTGTCCTTCCTTGTGCAGAGGGTACCCCAGGGTCTCTTGGGGTGCGGTGGTCAGGGGCAGCTGAGGACAGGTATGAGTGTGCAGGTGTGGCACCTCAGCAGGCGGTGTGGAGAGGAGAGTGGGGCATGGCAAGGAGCAGTCAGGCAGGCTGTGGAGACTCTCCAGCCAGGAAGCAGCCCCTGTTGGAACGAGGAGTCTAAGTGGGGAGCTGACTCCTCACCCTCCTCCCTTGCCCTTTGGTGAACCCCCACTGCCACCTTTCACCGACCCCTGCGGCTTTGTCCACTTGAAGCACCTGCAGACACATGCACCTTGCCTTGCTGTGGCCTCCTCGGATGACAGTGTGTGGCAGAGGCTACCCAGGGGCCAGAACGAGCCCTGGAGGGAGCCTCCGGGAATCAAACGGGTTCCCCAGACCATGAGCACTGGGGGTATAGCACAGCCAGATCTGAATGGAGAGAAACAGCCAGGAAGCTGCTGGTCCCAGGAACCCCTGGCCCAAAGGCTGGACATTCACTCTGTATTTCCAGCTGGACAGAGGGAGCTCCTGTCCTCCACGGATGTTCTTTTTTCCCAAATTTTTAACATTTTATTTTGAGACTCTGAAAGGGGCTGATAACATTTCTCCAGCTTCAGGCTAAAATGCTTAAAATATTCCAGGAGGACTTAGCAACATCAGGTCAAGGAATAAAAGCCTAGAACCTGGCTTAAGAGGATGTGAAAAGTTGGGGGCAGAGCCCCTATCTGCCACCACAGAGGCTGGCTTCTCGTTCTCCTGGGCTCTGACCCTTGGCTGAGCAGGGCCTCTCATCATGGAAGCCAGGACTTTGTGGGCTTGATTCTCCATCTGGGACCCTTGTGACATCTCAGAGTGTCTCTAAGCCCCCCGCTGGTTCCCTCCCATGGAGGAATGGATATGTCCACTGGGGTCTGAAGCCTAGAGGGTCTGTCTACCCCATAGATGTGGGGTTCATGAAGGCAGCACCCCATCTGAGACCCTCTCAGCTCTGCCATCTACCAAGGCTGTGGCCTCTCTAAGGCAAACAGAATCAGCTAGTCAGTAACAATGGTCATTACTTAAGAAAATGAACGGTTTTATAGAATCATTATGCTTGGTGAAATGTTGTTTTAAAAGCTTTTTCAACAGACCAGTCTCCCCACTTAATTGCTTAAAAGATTGGAGGAGGCAAACACCTCGTGGTTTGTCTTACCTGTGACGTGAAGCCGATTTATAATACAGTGGTGCTGACATAACGTCAGAAAAACAGCCATTTGAGCAGGAAAATCAAAGCCAGCACTCTTCATGTTTGAGAATTGTGCCGTGGGAGTTCACAGGGAAAAAGCTGACTTGTGCAAAATCCATCTCTGAATCCTGCTGTAGGCCAGACTGCCTGGGTGCATGGTTCCCTCGGGACTTAAAAATCCCGTTCAGAGTCAGTTGCCCAGTCTATATGGTCTAGTTCTGATTCAGGTAGGGTCAGGAAAAGCGTTGGAAATCTTAGTAGAGATCTGGTCCCCAAAAGATGAAACCTAGTGTCACATTAGGGAAAGGAGACCACAGAGGTTGAAATGAATATTTGAATTGTGGGCCACTGATGTATACTTTCCTGGGTCAGGTATTTTTATCAAAGTCATTTTCAATAAGTAAAATGACAATGAAAGTCACAAGTGTCACACACCTGTGATTCTCCGGGGGTGCTTGCTGGTCCACTCTCTCTCACTTCTCCTAATCAGAAAGCCATCGTCCTCATACATCATCATTTTCTATTAAGTGTGCACAACTTCTGCCAGTCTAGCGAAATTGCAAAAATACTGAAAATGTCCATTTTTAAGTTGCTTCTTTCTCCCTGCTTCATGCAAAGCTTATGCTGTCTGCAGGGCTAATTGGAATTAGGCCCCATGAGCTGTCTCAGTGTGAGAGATGCTGCGGAGCTGATGTGGAGGGTCTGTCTGCTCATCAGTGGGGCGTCTGTTGTCCTATTTCCCAGAGCTGGGGACAGGTCAGCCCAACCCTTGGATCAGCACCACCCCAGGGCCTCCTGGCTATGGTACCACAGCATCTGCCCGGAGGCTGCGCCAGCTCCTCCAGAGGCTCCCCGGAAAGCATCTAGGATCTGCCATCATTCTTGGAAGATCCCCCAGGCTTGCAGGGGAACCGCAGTTGTAAATAATACATCACTTCCCAAGTCCTCTCTGATCTGCCAGTGCCTGAGAGCCCGATGAATTCTGCAGGCACGTGTGCAAGCACCCCACTTCATCTGCAGCCACACACTGTGCAGGAGAGGTCCTGCAGGCTGCTTCCGCGCATTCCTTGCTGGGAGGAGACATTTAAAGGAGCCAAAAGAAGCCAAAGGGGAGAGGAAAAGGAGTCACCCTCCCAGCAGGGTCGCCCTCAGGCAAGGCCAGCCCAGGGATGCACTGGCCATGCGGCAAGACTGGAAAACAGCCTGAGCCCCATGGCAGGTGTGCGAGCTCAGCCATCAGCCACAGTGGGGAGGGACCCACCCACAGAATCCCCAAGGGCAGTTGGCCACAAGGGGGATGCTGAGACCTTCTGGTGCACAGCACTGGCTGCAGGATTCCCCTTCGAAGTCACCAACATACCTTAGAGATCCCCAACAGGGAGGACGGAGAGGGAACAAGCCCCCAACACATCTGGAAGGAGGAGGCCATTGCCCACTGCAAGTCTTGGAGAAGGACCTCTTCCCACTAGTGAAAATGAGGATCCAGGTGCTTCTTTGTTGACCCGATTTACAGAATAATTTGTTTTTACTTGGTAGTACCACGATGCTGTAGGAGAAATCTTAACCAAATTAATTCTATTTAGTATACAAGCAGGTATTTGGGTCTCATGTTTAAAGGCGGCATATTTTCAGGAAAAATGAAATAAATCATTCGCTCCAGCTACTCTTTGTGTTAAAGTTCATGCAAAATGTAGGAGGCCTTCCACAGGGTGTTGCCAGCCTGGGAAAGGAATCACCCAGGAGCCTTCTTATTCGGGAGGGGGCTGCCTTCTGTGCTGCTGTGTGGCAGACAGTGCAGGGCTGCTCCAGCCTCCCCACTCGCTAGGGCTCCGTTTGTCTGTGACGTTGCCAGTCTTGGCTGAGCCCTGCAGTGGGTCTTCCTGAGGCAGAAGGGGCAGGATGCAAGGTGGACATTACTCTACCCAGGAGCCTCAGGGGCGGTGAAGGACAAGTCGATCCACAAAACAGGCAGTGGTGGGACACCATGGGAGGCCTTTCATCGCGCTGCTCCATTCCCTCAAGGCAGAGTCACCATCAAAGACCACAGGGTTGAGCTGAGCTTCTCTGAGCAAAATTGAAATGTGAGGACCAACGCTGGGGAGAACATCAGGCTCCAGGGTCCAGGATGGCCAAGGACCTGCAGTGGGCGCTTTGCCAAAACTGGTGCACCAGTCTTGTTTGGGAACGCTGACAATTTTTTTGTGGGGGTGGGGGACGGGTCTCACTCTGTTGCCCAGGCTGGAGTTCAGTGGCATGATCTCAGCTCCCTGCAGCCTCTGCCTCTGAGTCTCAGGCCATTCTCCTGCCTCAGCCTCCCAAGAATCTGGGGCTACAGGCATGCACCACCACGTCCAGCTAATTTTTATATTTTTGTTAGAGACGGGGTTTCACCATGTTGACCAGGCTGCTCTTGAACTCCTGACCTCAGTGATCTGCCCACGTGGGCCTCCCAAAGTGCTGGGATTACGGGCATGAGCCACCTTGCCCAGCCGGGGACTTTGACTATTAAATGAACATGGTAAACTAAGCTTTCTTCCAAAAAACAGTTCTTGAAATTGTTATGGAGGATTGGTAAGAACCAGAGGTTGCTGTCTGAGCACTGTGGCCCCAAATGCCCATGTCGACGTTCCTCACAGAAATCACCTCCAGGTACCTTCCTGACGCCCAGACTCCTGACGCAGCCAGCTCACCTCCCAGGGCCAGACAGAGCTCCCCGTTTCCGCCCTGGCCCCCTTAGCTCCTCTTGGGAGCTTGGTAGGAGAGCACCCGCCTGACTTCCGGAGTCGGAATGGGCCCTGTTTCAGGGCCCACAGGTGAGACCCTGCCTCCCGTCTGTGCTAGGGAGTGCACCTGTGTGCAGCTGGCCAAACTTCAGATGGTTTCGCAGCCTCGGTGGGGTCCCAGTGGGTCCCTCTTCCACACACTCATCTCCTCTCTGCTCTTGCCAATGCTGCCCATGCCCCTGGCTTAGTCACAGCTGCCCCGTCCACCCCAGCTTCAACCCACTGCCCAGTAACCTCTCTTTCTACTTCCTACAGTAGCCAGCTCTCAGGAGCAGGAATTCCTGAGTTGCTTCCACCAGGGCCATGGGAAATTGGAAATGGAGACTTTTCTAACTCCATCCTGGAAACCTTTCTCAGCTGTTTTTAAGCCAGTCTCCACTGTGCCTTGTTATTCTAGAAGCCTCTCTAAGGAGCTTGCTGTGTCCCAGACTGGCACCTGAGATGGGCAGGGCTGGCCCTCAAAATGACCCGGCTCTTCTACCACCACTGCCCTGCCACCTCCAAGAATTTGGACTTGGAGCAGGACTAAAGACCTTCGGATTTGACCTCTCACCTCTGCCTTCGCCTGCTTCTTCCCGGCTTCACCAGCCATATCCATTTCCCCTGGGAGTAGAGGGAGACTTCTTTCCCTGAAGTCTGTGGCTCTAAACCCTGGCTGCCCATCAGAATTGCTGAAGAGCTTTTTAAACCACCAGATTTTCTGGTCTCCCCCAGAGACTGCTGTAGTGGGCCGGGGGAAGGAAGCAGGCATGGGGCTGTTGCCAGCCTGGTGGGGGGTTCTGAGGAGTGGAGACCCCTGCTCAGGCCACAGGCTGAGGTTGTCCTTCTCTCCTTTAGAGGAAACGTCTGTGCCCCAGTGCCCTGGGCTCACCTTTTGGTGGGCACTGAAGCCTCTGGAATTGGGAAATCCTTTGAGAAGCCACACTCATGACTATGATAGCTCTCAATGTTTTAAAAATCTAACAATCAAAGAAACCTCTGTGCTTCCAGTGTTGAACCTTTACTCAAAACACAGAACTTTACTGTCCTCATGGTTGGGCTCCAGGATTTATTATTTAAGGGAAATGAAGTCCACTGGAGACTAACAAGAGGGCGTCTGATTAGAGACAGGACCGCCTCCTTCAGTGCTGGGGTGTGAGGCCTTGGGGAATCCGACGGGTGCGGCTGAGGCTGTGGGCAAACCCCTGTCCTGTTTGCTCAGCCGGACTTCAGGGACAGTCACTGTTGCACAGGCACCATCCTCCATGGGGATCCCGTGGAGGACAAGACAGGATGCTGGTGGACCTAAGGAAATGCTGGGCACAGGAAAGCACCTGCTGAGAGAGGGCATGTGATGAAGAGCTGATGGGAAAGTGTGTGCCAGGGAGGGGCTGGAGACCCTGCCAGCCTGAGGGGAAGACCCCTGTCAGTCGGTGGTCCACGGTGGCCACCCTTCCTACACTGGCCCAGCCTGTGCCTCTGGAAGCCTGACTGTGCAGCCATCAAACCTCAATGTCCTGCAGGAGCTGATACCAGAACTCCCCGAGGACTAAGGTGGGCCTGGAGATACCCAAACACAAGGAGGGGGCGTGGCACAGGGCTCCCAGGTGTGACGTAAGGCTGGTTTAGCTGGGACTGGCCACTGGTGCCTTCTTCATGTGAATCATGGCATTTTGCTCCATGCAGGTGGTCAGGGTAGAGATATGAAGAGGTGAAAAGGCTTTCCTAGGATCACCGAGAATCCAGGGTAGAACTCCCAGGGTTGGAAGTCCTGGTTATCCATCTATTAGCCTGAAGCTTTGGAAACATTGGCCAGCCTTTCAGAGAACTGAATTCTCCTTCCCTTTGCAGATCCACATGGGAACTGGTCATACCGCATGCCCCCCAGGGCAGGCAGGGGCCACCTGGAGGTTCTCTGAGCACCCAGGCCCCTCTCAGCCCTGAAGGTGAGACCAGGAGTCCCCGCTGGCCGAGATATCTTGCTGGCTGGGATCCCCTGCTGACCAGCACCTCTCTCTAGCTTGAACCCCCTGCCCACTAGGACCCCAGCTGGACCCCAGCTATGCTGGCTTGTGGACCTTCAGGCTTTGTCCCCCTCCACTCCAGGAACTGGGGGAGAGGTTTACGCTCTCCTTGCCTGGGAGAGCCAGAGGAGGGCACGTGGGAGGCACTCCACAGGGATTCTGAATGCATCAGAGAAAGGAAAGAGAAAAAATGTCTTTGTCCAAAGCCCCCTTCCACATGCCAACCATAGCATGGTTTCAAACAGGGGTAAGAGTTGATTTTCCCTTTAAGCAATTGCAATCAATGAAATGCACCCTAGCTTTTGTAACTAAGTTCTACCATCAGCAATTTTCTTCACACATCAAAATTTAAAAATCAGATCTCATTAGAGCAGGTGGAACAGAGAGCTGAAGGCCTCCCATTGTGGGCTCCTATGATGAGACTGAAAATAAAAGTTGCTTCTGAGGGCAAGAGCTTTTCATCTGGAGTCCGTGGGGTGAGCACACCATTGGCCTGGGTAAGGGGGCTGTGGTGTGGTTTTGTTTATTTGTTTTCTGGATGATAGCTTTGTTAAGTTAACCCAGCAGAGGATAACAACTGCAGAGGTTTCTTTTGAAACTTGAAAAAGAAAGTGGAACACACATGCCTTCGAAATACGCAAGTCTTGAAATGACGATGGCTGGAGTGGTAAGGGCACAGTTACACGGGATCCTTCCAGGTCTGAGGGGCAAGATGGTTGTGGTGTCTTTGCCTCGTGGTCATAACATCTAATTTAGAATGTTTAAATGGCTCCAAATATCTTTCAGCAAGATTTTTTTTTAAATCAAAAGATTTTTCAAAGGCAAGTGTAGGAGGTGCTGTATCACCTGACTTGAGCATTATGCATCAGGAGAAGATTTGTGTATTTAATTTCTTGTATATCTCCTATAATATATTCATGAAATAAGGCAATTATGACTGAAAACTCAGAGTTATGCAAATTCCTGTAGTCTTATGAATGCATGTGAGTGAAGGCTGTCCAGGGCAGTTGCACTGAACGGGCACTGCACCATACCCAATCTGTGTGAATGGTACTTTTGGGGTTGTGTGATATCTGTCGCCCACGCTGAAGCACAATGGCATGATCTTGGCTCACTGCAACCTCCACCTCCCGGGTTCAAGCAATTCTCGTGCCTCAGCTTCCCAGGTAGCTGAGATTATAGGCACACACCACCACGCCCGGCTATTTTTTTGTGTTTTTAGTAGAGATGGGGTTTCACCATGTCACCCAGGCTGGTCTGGAACTCCTGAGCTCAGGCAATCCACCCACCTTGGCCTCCCAAAGTGCTGGGATTACAGGCATGAGCCACTGTGCCCAGCCTTGTCTTCTTGGAATTACTTAGTTTCCTCTAAATTTCCATCCAGCTGGGTCAATAAGGAATTTAGCTTCAGCCAGTCTGGGGGTAAAGTGATAGAAGATATCATCTTAGTCCATATGTGCTTCTATAACAAAGTACTTTAGACTGAGTAATTTATAAATACTGGAAATTTATTTCCCACAGTTCTGGAAGCTGTGAAGTCTCGATCAAGGTGCAGATTCAGTGTTTGGAAAGCACTGATTTCACCTTCCAAGACGGCTCCTTGCTGTTGTGTCCTCATCGTAGCAAAGGACAAAAAAGGGATGAATTCACTCCCTCAAACCCTTTTATAAAGGCCCTAATCCCATGTATGAGGGTGGAGCCTAATCATCTGCTGAAGACCCTATCTCTCCATACTCTTGCTTTGAGGATTAAGTTTCAACACAAATTTGGGAGCAACACAAACATTCAGACCATAGCAGATGTCGGCTCCAAGGCAGCGGGGAAGCCCTCAAAGCAGGGTCAGCAACACACTGGAGTACTAGGGGGACTCCCCGGCCCCAACCCATGCAGTTCTTCCAGGGGCCTGGCTTGAGGGGCAGGAATCCGGGGGATCTGGGGGCACAATGGCCATTCTCCACTGTGCACTTGCCGTTCCCTGGAGGGCTCTAAACCCACAGGTACAGCCTTTTGTCTCGAGTTCATTCGGCGCAGCTCCTACGCATCCCCCTGAGACTTGAGGGTGCTCCATATTCAAAGGCGCAGAACTTCCTTGTGCAAGCGGCAGGGAAGGGGCAAAGGTCGCTTGACTGAGACCACCCAGGCTGCCTCTTACGTTCCATTTCTCTCCTTGCCAATACTCTCCACTTAGATTCCGATTATACCTCACTTGTGCTGTTCCAGAAACTTCCACTCCTATCCCCTTCTCCAACCAAATTCAGTGAGCAAGCTGCAAGAAAGCAGATCAAGGATACTAGTGCACAGCGGGTCTGGGCACTCCTCTACTTTAACGCCTCCCATGGCTCCCAATTTCCATGTGCACAAAGCACACTTGTGCAGCTCTCTATGTATGAGGCACTCTCCACACAGCAGTGCAGTCTTTTTCTCCAAGTGTGGCCCCCACCTCTCCTGTCCCACAGCTGGGATCCTGCAGAACCAGGCTTCTCCTTGTGTGCTGCATGGGTCCCACACTCTCTTGTCTGAGTGAATGCTCTCTAGCTGCTGTAGTGCCTGAGATGCCCCCTGCTGCCTGTGGTCAGAGCCCAGTGCCCGCTGTCATCTCAGAGAAGGCAGCTGTGTTGGGCTGCTCACAGGTCCTCCAGGAGGCAGCCAAGTAAACAGAGCAGACCACACAAGAACAGGGAGGTCTCTGTGGGTAGAGCCCTTGCAGACAGGAAGGGCAAGGGGAGTTTGTTGGCTTAACACATTTTCAAAAGCATTTCAATAGAATCACCACTGAACTGTTGTCACCAAGGAGATAGGAAAATATGTTCGCTCTCGATTGGGTTTGGTGTTACTGTGTTGTCCAGAGCCTAGTCTTGAACTCCTGGCCTCAAGTGATCCTCCCGCTGTGGCTTCCCATAAGCTTGAGCCGTCACACTCAGCTTCAGAGCATAATATTAGAAGTGTTTTCGGTTTTAATGTTGAGTTTACTGCTTTTTTAAATCAGAAATATGCTATAGGAACTTAAACTCTTGTTTATATCAAATAGCTTGTGGTAAAATGGGTTTTGTTATATGGCGTTTCACTTAAATCCAAGTTTCAACGAGCCCATTAAAAATGCTAAGTTAAGGCTTCTATATGCCCCAAACGGATCAAGTCCCCCTGGACCATCAAGAGATGGAATAAGAGCCAAAAAAAAAAACAAAAATAGTAAGCACAAGGGCAAGGGCAAACATCTCCCATGGCACTGAGCTCCCCACACTCGGGGAGGGGGATGGTTTCTGCTGGGCAGGTGCTCAGAATGCACGCACCGGGCCTGGAAGCTCACAGTATCAGATGTGGGGTTTCCTGTCCAGCCAGTTTGGGTGTGTTCAGGCTTGTCTGATCTGCTACACGTCTGATGGAGAGCTAGATTTTCTGAAAAGATGCATCTTTTCATCAAAACAGGTTATGAATTTTACCAACAGGCATTTTGAATTCAATGTGCTCCGGCCATCACCCCCAAACCTCCAACTGCAGCACCCAGGACTTCTCGAACCATTGGAATAATGAGGTCTCTCCTGATTCTGCCTCTCACGTTCCTCTGGTATATTCGGGTCTGCTCATTGTTTGGCATTCTTCTTTTTTCATAAACAAAACGTGTGTGTGTGTGTGTGTGTGTGTGTGTATGTGTGTGTGTGTGTGTGTGTGATGAAAAACTTGCGTCAAATCGAAAGCTGTAAGTCAAACAAGTAATTTTGAAAAGATGTGGAAACTGTGGTTTATGTGTGCCAAGAATAAAGGCTGGTAACCAGGGTTTGAGTTGTAGGTTGATTCCACATAATCCAATCATTTTTTTTCTAGCAAATTGGTTCTTGAAGTTAAGCTGCTGGAAACACATTATCAATCAACTTCCCTCACGCTGTTTCTCTACTGCCTGGTCCTTTGCTCCTCTGAAAGTCCTCCATTAATTACACACAGTTTGCTCCTTGCCACCAAAGACCCTGCGTTTTCCACACAATGGGTGAGGTATGCAAATGGTGGAAACCCATGAGGCCAATCAGAGGTTTACAGTGGGTTGCAAAATCCATCCACGAACCCTTCAATCTTGCAAAGATCTTTTTTTTTCCCTCTAAAACGCAGTCATATTTTTGGTCCTGAAATACTGTACCCTGTGCAGCCTTCATCTTGGGTTAACTTTGAAAAAATATCCTCTTACTAGAAAATATGAGGCAACTTTCTGCACTGCATGTGCACAGCTTACATAAGAAAGATTAACCATCCGCCAGGCCTCCGTGGAGGTTTTGCCTTGCAGGAGGTGAATGTCTCAGAGTGCCCAGCCCAGGTGGGGAAGAGCGCAAAGCTGCGGGGTCTGTAAATTACACTACACCTCCAATAGAATCCAGGCAGCATCTCATAAGCACATGCATTAATATTTCTGCTGAGAAATGCGTGAATATTCACACTAAGAGGAATAAATAAAGATTGCAAATGGCTCCACATTAGATCAGAACAGGTTTTGCTGCCAAATGAGTTTTCGGCCATAATAAAAAAAAAATTATTGATTCTTGGGTTGTGGCACTGCGGATGGGAGGCTGTGGCCCTCTGCTCCCTCCCCATGCTCTTGTGGGTGCCGGGGAAGACACCCAGGGAAGGGCAGCTCTGTTGATCTCTGGTGTTGCCAGGCGGAAACAGCCTCTCCCATCCCCCCTGAAGTCTGGCATTCAGGCACAGTCCTGAGGGTCCTGGGAACCTGGGTCAATGACCCTGTGGATCAAGAGTCCATGGATGGCCAGGCCAGCAGCCCTTAGGGTCCTGGGTCACATCTCCATGGTGTGGAAGCTCTGGGGACCCAGGGCTGAGCTGGCAGCCACAGTGGCTGTGGAGTGAGACTTGAGGTGAGGACAGTGGCTGATTAGCAGCCCAGGAATCCCAAGAAAGGAGGAGCAGAGACCTCCCCTCTGACTGTGGGAGGACACAAAGGAGACAAGGACGATGGAGCCGGGCATGGCCTTGGTCCAGCTGTGGCAATCTCCTACCTTCCCATTATCTGATGTGCAATTCTGAGCATGGTCCCCTTTTGAAGCTGTTGATGTCTCCACAGACCAGACCTATACAGAAAGCGCCAAAGACCCTCACCAAAGCTGATTTTCCACCCCCATCTATTCAGTGAGTCTTTTATTATTAATGTGCCTCCATTTCCTCTCTCTCTTCTTTTGTCCCTTTCTCCATGATCTGGGTATGTGAGCAGAGAACAAATACATTTTCTCTGCCATGACTCCAATCCTGCCTACCTCTCCTGGGCTGCTCACCCCTGATGCTGACACCCTAAGTCTAAGATATTTCCCTCCAGCCTCCCAGTGAGCCTGTGACCTGAGACCTGGCCCCTGGCCCTCCCTGTGGAGGAGAGGGAGGAAGAGGAGGGGCTTCCATCACCTTCTCTTGGCCAAGAAAAATATTCTTGCATACATTCCTGATTTTTTTTTTCCAGAAAGAGCCGAGATGGATTGACAGCGGAGGAGACAGGGAGGCTGAGGTCTTCACTAGCTTGAGTCTTTTCCTGGGGTATGTGTGATATGGCTTTTAATTCAGTGTCTTCTATTTCTGCAGAAACCAGAACATGCCAATATTTACTTGGTTCCTAATACTACCAGACATCTGTCCAGTTTAAGGACCAAGCTACAAAAATGTCACTGTATGTAAACACAATCATTCTTTATCGAGAGAACAGCTTTAAAAGAAAAATCTGGAATGCTAAAAAAAAAGTATTTAATCAGAGGCATATATGAGAAGTAATATCTCAGGCTAGAATACTCATAAGTAGAAACTGAGTTTACACTGAGCAGCAATACTTTTTATTGCCTCTACTTTCTCCTTTGGTTTTCTGCAAAAGTTATGATGACTTAGCTGAAATTGGTTCAGGGATATTTTAACTTGATATAATCTGCCATTCTAACTTCTATAACCTAATGCAACCTATATCAGCAGACAACCTTCCCCTCCATTCCTCAGGTGAGGGTAATAGTTGCAGGTTATTTTCCTAGAGGCCCCTGAACTTTCACAACTTCAGCCAGATATTTGGGAACATGGGGACACTGAATGCATTTATCAGGGACCCAAGAAAACACAGCTCCCTCATGTCCAAGATGCTGAGTCTACAGGAGTCCCCACTATGCAGTCACCGGGAGGTCAAGAGAGAATCCAAGTGTTTGAGTACTTGTGTGTGTGTGTGCGCACACCTATGTGTGTACCTGTGTGTGTGCACACCTGTGTGTGTACCTGTGTGTGTGTGCATATATGCACGTACACTTTAGGTTATGTGGAAGAGTGGGCTGGCCCAGCAAGGACATAGGGCAGCGTGTGGGGGGGCGGTAGGGGCGGGGGGGAGGCTGCAGGTGTCACCAGACCAAAGGTATATGTCCTGACAACTTAGAGACACATTGAAAAGCAGTGGTAAGCAGTGGTAAGCAAAGCAGTGGTAAGCAAGCCACCACCTTCCCACAGTCAGGCTGCATAAGCTCATTCACACATCCTTATCTTTAAAAGACTTTTCATCTTGGAATACTTTTACATTTATACAAATGTAAGGATAACACAGAGAATATTGGTGGGGCTGTGGGGGCAGCTGCAGGGACAGTGGGCACAACAGGGAGGGCCCTGGGGGCCAGGGAGCCTATGCCGGGCATTGCCATACAAGTCCCTGATTTCCCCCATTCCGGCCCGTGCCGGCATAGGAAGGCCTGGTACTGTGGTTGGGGCACTCCCCGTGGAATTAGGCAGAAGTCGCCGTGGCAGTGGGGCCCACATTTTGCAGGACATTTTCCACTTTGGAGAGTGAGGAACTCATCCCTGGCCAAGGAGACTCAATGTCAGAACGGGAGTTGAAGCGCAGAAGGCACGAGGAAGACAGGACCCCTCCGAGGACCACCTGTGACTTCAGCAGCACAGAGATTGCTGAAGCCAGGCCCTGAAGTCCTTAACAGCAATATGCACAGATGTGCTTGGAAGAGCGACCACAGATCTGATTCTGGCCATTTGTCTGCTCAGCCTCGCCACCCTCAGGGCTGGCTGTGGCCTTGGGAAAACCCATCCTTCTACCTTCAACCCGGAACCATCTACCAGGCGCTCCAGGTCGCAGCTTCTGTGCAGGCCTTGCTGGCCTCGGTCTTCTGCCCTCTCTCCTCTTTCCCTCTCTCCCCTCTCTTTCTACCTTTCCTTCTCCCCCTCTTCCTGTTTTCTCTCCCCATAATTTCCCCCTTCCCCCTCCTTTCCCACTTCTCTCTTCCTCCCGCTCCACCTGCTGCCACTCTCTTTCCTTCCACCTGGTTTTTGGTTTCATCATAATGTAGTATGTATGTTTTGATGTTTTCAAGTTTTCCTCACCTATCAAGGGAAAGAAGAATTATATGAAAAAGCAACTATAGAAAGTGAAACCCTTTATCATTTCTGCTTCAATATGAGGCTTTTGGGCTTCAGAAAGAGACTCTAGACTTCAGAGAGTGAGAGGTCATGGAATCCGGACCAAGGGCAAAAGGCAGCGCAGCAGCTGCTGGGATGGAGCCCCCTTTAACACTTGGAGATTTGTCCCTGCAAGAAACAGGTAACATTGAATGATCAAGAGTGGCACTTGCCATTGTGTTGAAATTGTGTCATTCCCCATCAGCACATAATGTGCAGCTATTAGTTTCGTTATAATGGCTTAGGAGTCATCTAGATGTATCTTCCTTGATTTTTAGTTTGTTATTTAGACAGATGTTAAGTTGAAGCCTGGCTTACATTTTCATTATGAAATCTCAGAATCCATCCAAGCACTGGGGTGTGCTTCCCAAGGTCAAGTCCCCCTTCCTCCATCCCGGCTTCCCTAGGCAGAGAGGGGGACGGAGCTGCCTATGGTGCTGGCTTCAGGAGGGGAACCCCAGCTCCTTTGACCTCTACTCTCTGCAAAAGGAGGGTCCTGGACAGGAACAAGGGCTCATTCTCATTCTCCTATCTCAACCAGGAGGCCTCGTCCCAGCCCTCCCAGGACCTTGTGGGCTGAGGGTCGCTGAAGGCAGTTGCTGTGGGTGGTGTTCTCATTAGCCACAGTCAGACACAGCCAGGCTCACTTCTGACCTGTCACACCCCTGGCCTTGCCCCCCGGGAGATTGTATCATCTCCCGGAAAGGAAACAGCAGCCATACTGTGTACTGCTCCTCAGAGTACTTTGCTTACCACCTCTGACAGTCTTGCCAACTGATACAGTTTGTCTGTGTCCCCACCCAGATCTCACCTTGAATTGTAATTCCCATAATCCCCACATGTCATGGGAGGGGCCTGGAGGTGATTGAATCATGAAGGTGGTTTCCCCCATGCTGTTCTCATGATAGTGAGTGAGTTCTCACTAGATCTGATGGTTGTATAAGCGTCTGGCATTTCCTCTGCTTGCACTTTTCTCTTTCCTGCCATCCTGTGAAAAGCACTTTCCACCATGATTCTAAGTTTCCTGAGACCTCCCCAGCCGTGCGGAACTGTGAGTCAATTAAACCTCTTTCCGTTATAAATTACCCAGTTATAACGTGAGAACAGACTCATACACTAAGGCCTGAGCTGTCTTTCTCCTTACGCACAGGAACCCATAATGACTGCTGCCCGGGGCCCTCCCCTCTCTGTAACACTCCAGTCACCACAGAGGAGGCCTTGGGTCTCAGGACACAGAGGGAATGGACGAGGAATGTTGGGCCTCCAGGTTCCTGATTCTAAAAGCCAGTCTTGCTCCTACCCTGGGTGACTCTGACCTTGACCCATCCACAGAGAGGAGTGAGCCACCTCTGGAAGGCCATGGAGCAGGGGCTTGACTTTCTGCAATGCGCTCATTGCCTTGGGGGGCCAGGGGGTGGTTCTGTGGCAAAGGAGCTCACACTCCCCCATCCCCTCATGTAGCCTGAGTGCAGTTGTGCACCAGAGCTGAGGATGGGATGGGAAGAGCAGGCTGGGCAGCCAGATACATTCTCCTGCAGCCTCCTGGGCTCGGTAATGTTCCCCCAACCCGGTGACTCCCCGCCCCTTCCCCCAAACCTCTGTATCACTCTAGGCAGATATCAGATAAAGCATGCACCCCGTGGACTTCATTTCCAATGCACGCACCTGTCTCCCTGTCTACACTGTGGTCTCCTCCAGGGCAGGGAGCAGGTTGTATTCATCTCAGTCGCCTAGCATCTCTCAGCCTGGCACACAGTAGGCACTTACAGGTGGTGTTTCATTCACCACCCAAATAAGCTATCATTTATATTATATATTATTAACAATATATATAATTATGTTATAATGTTAATATATATGATATAATATATTTATATTATTATGTTAATCATTAATATTATTAATACATTATTAATAAATATAGTAATAATGGTATACTGTATTATTTATATTATAAATCTGAAGAGAATTTCTGATGTGAGCTGTTTTCCCAATAACCTGCTGGTTGACAAGGACTTCCTTCCCTTTCACTGCAAAGGCTGTGATGCTGGGTGCTCACTTTCCTCACGCAGCTGCAATTGCCCTCTCCCCTGACTTCTCCCTCGTTAGAGCTAACCTCATGGGGATTGCCTGTGCCCACTCTGTTCAAGGAGTGAGATGTAATTAAGGTTGCCTTTTAACCTGGGGAAGAAGGAACAGGGCTGAAGTGTCAGTGGATTCATAAGTATGTTTCACAGGCCCCGAGGCCCAGACCACGGCTGGGGTTTCCTGTCCAGGCAGACTTCTCTCTAAGTGGACGTCAGCTGTCCTGTCCTCCCTGCTACTCAGATGCACTTACTGAAGAAGTGGACAGAAGGGATGAATACAGGAATTGGGGTTTGTGCAATGCCATCCCCAGCAGGGCTGGAGGAAGACAGTGTATGGAGGCCCTTTTAGGGGCACACAGGTCCATGGAGAGTCTGGGAAAACCCTGCCTCCTCCTCCATCTGCGTTAGGCCTCTTGCATTGCTATAAAGAAATACCTGAGACTGGGTAATTTATAAAGAAAATAAGTTTAGTTGGCTCACTGTTCTACAGGCTGTACACAAAGCATAACATCAGCATCTGATTGGCTCCTAGAGAGGCCTCAGGGAACTGCTACTCATGGCAGAAGGCAATGGGTGAGCTGGCACATGGTGAAAGCTGTAGGAAGTGAGAGAGAGAGTGGGAGAGGTGCTACACACTTTAAATGGCCAGATGGAAGGAGAACTCAGAGCAGGAGCTCACTCGTCCCCAAAGGGATGTCCCAAGCCATTCATAAGGGATCCAGCCCCATGAACAAATCACCTGCCACCAGGACCTACCTCCAACACTGGGGATTACAATTCAACATGAGATTTGAGTGGGGATGAATATCTAAACTATATCACTATCCCTTCATCCATCCATCCATCCATCCACCCATCCATCCATCCATCCATCCTCTCTCTCTCTCTCTCTCTCTCTCACACACACACACACACACACACACACACACACACACACAAACAAGCACAGGGAGGAAGAAGAGACTTCCTGGAGAGGCCACAGCCTGTTTATTAACAGGCTTCCCCACCAATGCTGGCCAGAAGGCTGGGCCGGGCCCCACTCCTGGTTGATGGATGAGGCCGCACTGCACCAGGCTCGCCCAGCCTAGCAAAAAGGAGGAGCTGCTTCTTCCAGACTCGCTGGAGCTCCCTGCTCAGCGACTGGAGAGCTGATGGATGGGAGCTGTTGAAATAGGGGAGGATTACAAGCCTTAAGTCCTGGCTCTCTGGCTCCAGAGGTTCAATAAGGCCATTTGTATATCAGAAGCAATTTTCAAACCTGGATTTTTCCTGTCAAGCTGAAGGCAGCGAGGATTCTGGGAGTTTCCGGAGCCTTGATCTTTGGATTGGTTCTTTTTAATATAACTTAAGGATGACAAATTGAGATGTTGACTTAATTCCTAGTGATCTGAAAATCAGTGCTACTTTAGGAGTTAGAGAAAGTAAATGGTTGCCAAATGTTACTACCTACATTACCCCAGAAAATGGGGGTTCTCATCTATAACCTGGGATGCTAATCACCCCAGCTCATGGGGCTAGCCAAGGAAGGCGATTTGTGCAAAGGGTTTAAGTGTAAATTGCCTGGCTGTGGTGAGTGCCCAATCAGAGCTAGCCATCATTCCTATCATTACTAATAAGCCACCCACTATTCCACATTGACTCCTGGCCCAGGGCCCCTGGGGGGTAAGCAGCCTCATTTCATCCAAGATTTTACTCTCCTCACTTTCCATGGAGGAACAGGCAGGTGAGGGACAGCAGGGAAGTGACAAAAGCAGGAGGGTCAAGATTCCCACTCGGTCCCCTGCTGCAAGATCCCGACTAGATCCTCCACTTACCCAAGGGCTTCTCTGCAGAACGTGCCGGGCCTGTGGGCCCCCAGTGAAGGGAAGTGAAGGTTGCTCGGCCTCCTTCTATTCCTCTCCTGCTAAGAATCAGAAACAAAGTGGCGTGATCCCCAAATATGTACAGTGTACATCGTAGCTGAGTCATATTTGTCAGATAAGAAAATGCAAGAGCAAGTGACACAATAGAAGAAATGATTCACAGAATTGGCAAAGGGTTGGTGGCAAGAACATATAAGGAGTTCCCACAAATCAACAGGAAAAACACAGCCCCGTAGAAAAGTGGGCACGGCAGACGTTGAGCTGAAGAGGAAATGTCCACGGCCCACAGGCCCAGGAGGATGTGCTCCGATGGTCGCCAGGGAGCCGGGGGTGCAAACCACGGTGACAATGGACACGAACTGACACCTGGTCAGTTGCAGAAATGAAGGCAGCTGACTACACCAAGCAGCGACAAAGATGTGAACCCACTGTGCAAGTGTGGAGGGATCTCCCTGCAGTGAAGGCAGGCACCTGGTGGGCTGCAGTGCTATGTCCTGGTCTGTCGCGTTGAGAAATCCCTGAACGTCCAGGGAGATGTGTTCAAGGTCAGAGCATCACAGGTGCCGGACTGTCCGCAGAAGAGGAGAGGGGCAGAGGGCGGAACAGGCAGAAGGGAACACAGCCCAGCCAAAGAAAACAGGCACGGCAGGAAGAAGCCTCCTGAGTCCTGAGGACATAATCTTAAATTCCAAGAACGAACTCCCAAGATTGCTTCCAACACTCTACCTTTTTCCACAAAGATTAAAAACGAACACTTAAAATATACTTTTATTTGATTTTATTTATCGCAGATGCAATAAATTACTTGAAAAGGAGAGCAGGACGTGTTGCGCGTGGGGCGGCAGATGGCAATTGTGGGGCTGGAAGAAGGTCTGCGTGAGGTCTGAGCTGGGGCTGCAGGGCCCTAGGCTGACTGCTACCAAGCACCAAGGTCTTGTTTGGGGTGGAGGGCCCATGGGGCGCCGTGATCCCGTCAACTATGCCTCACCCCCAGTTCCACTCCTCCACCCCCAGCTCTGAGGCGCTGGCTGAGCAAACCCGGCTCAGCTCTGCCAACACCAGCTGGCCTGAAACGTCATGGCCGCGCAGTCAGCAGCCCCCAGGGAGGCTCTGAACAGGGGCGCCCTGGAGGGTGGCTCTGGGCAGCTCCTTCTCTTCCTGTTCCCTGAGTTTCCTGCCCCCACCCCAGTGCAGTTTGTTCCAGCACTGGATCCGCCTGGCGGTTTTCTCAACACTTGCAGAGTCAGCCTCTCGTTCTCCTTCAGACGCCCGCACAAGCTGGCCAGTTCCTTCCTCAGAGCTCTCTGTCTCAGCCCCTGGAACCCCTGCTCAGCACTCAGGACCCCAGCACCAGCTGGGTGGGGCCTCCTCCCCAGAGGCCCCCCCAAAGCCTTCCCCGTTTCCCATCCCACAGGGCGGCAGCGGCCTCACGGGCTCCTCCGTGTGCGCAGGTGTCCCCCGTCTGCACTGGCCAAGGCAACATCTCTTCATTTTAAAATCTGCCTATCAGTATAACAGCCACAGTTCTGTCTGTTGACTGCACACTGACCGCTACTGGCGCTTATTAGATTATTGTAAAACATAGGAAGAGTCGTGTTACTAAGGAGAAGCAGAAGTGAAAGGACGGAAGAGATGCCAGTGAGTCAAAGCCAAGGAGCCCGCACCTTTGTGCTGGAGTCTGGTCTGCGGCCTCTGCTTCTTGTGGCCATGACTTTTCAGGCCAGCTGGTGTTGTATGAGTTGAGCCTGTGTGCTCGTGACAGTGGCAGGCATTTCCACAGGACGTCTGATAAGAACGATCACGCAGGCTCTCAAACAGTTCAGCCTGCTGCTTCCCAAACCATGCTGGGCATTTGAAAATGCTGGGTATTCGTTAAGCCTGCAGTCCCCAGCCCTTCCCCGGGTTATCGGAGTTGGGAGGTTTCCAGCACCCTCTGCTCACCTGTGCTAGGCGGGAGTGCCTGGGAAATCTAGGGCAAACCCAGACCAGCGTGACGTGCATGACAGTGCGTCACCAGGTGCAGGAGGGATTGTGGGGAAAATCATGATTGCAACCCCAGGATAAGTTAACTGTGAATGCACAAACAGGTGCAGGAGGAACACGGTGTCCCCAACACAGGGAGGCCTCCAGGAGCATGTTACCAGACTCTGGGCATCATTTTTACGGCTTCCTGAAGGAGTGCATGACTTACAGCTTGAAAAATCCAGCAATTACAGACAGGGGGCTGTTGATGTAGAGAAAGAGCATTTTCCCAGCTCCCCTGAATGCTAGCTACATTACAGGCACCTTACATGCCTGTCTCATCTAATTTTCTCAGCACTCTGAGGGTGGTTAATATTATCCCCATTTTACAGATATGGAAAATGAGGCTCTAAGAGTTTGGAAAACTTACCCAATGTTGTTAGAGACAGAATCAGGACTCAAACCCTAGTGGTGTGTTTAAATAACTCGACGCACACACGCACACGTGCACACTTGTACATACACACATCCTCAGTAACCTTCATTCAGCACAGACCTCCTACCACCTGAAGTTTCTCTCCCCTTCTCCCCCTCTAAAGGACAACTTCAACAACAAATGAAAACATAAAGCCCCTAAACACCAATAAAATCTCCAAATCATGCTAATTTGTATTGCTTGAGAGCTAATTAGCCAGACCCTATGCTTAGCACTTGACAAATGAGAAATGAAACTTTGAGAGGTGAAATCACTTGCCCAAATTCTTCCTCTCTGAAGCATCAGGCAAGGCCTCTGTCTGGTGTCTAACTTCAGAGCCCAGGCCTCTAAGCTCCACTGTGCCTCCAGTTTGCAATAGTCACCTTGACCATGTCCTCCCAGAATCCCACAGCATGCACTGACAGCCGACTCTGGCCAAACTGCGAGGGCTGAAAGGCAGACGTGGGCCCTGACCCACACTTCTCCACCATGGCCAGTCAGGTGGCCATAGGCGACTCACAGTCCTGTGAGTCCTTGTCAGCTTGGAAATTCAGAAAGGTGTAGCAGTTACCTTTCAGGTGGCCATTCTCATGGGAGGATGGGTTATTCAAGTCAGAAGACACATGGATCAAGAGCAGGAAGGGAAGTCCACTATGAGAAATTGAAACTTGAATTTGAAGTCCCTGTACTTCTCCTGGGACCTTGACCCAGGCTGCCTTTTCCTCTCTGGTCTCTAGTTCCCTAACTCTAAGATAAAGTGGTCCATCCAGTAAAAATCTAAGATCTTTACGAGCCATCACTGCCTGTGTATTTCAGAACATAAACTTATTGCCAGGGCACCCAACTGCTCTTATATTTATCTCAGTGCTTCTTTTCAATATGTGATTTGTTTGGGTAAAATTACATGGTTGTAATGCTATTTCTTTGAGCTGACAAGAAGGAAAATGGCCTCACAGGACAGCAGATGAGGGAATGTTTACTGTGCACAGCGCAGTCCTTCAGGTCATTATAGTGTAGTTACCCCAAGAAGCCCTTGGATGGTGAGCTAACGCTGTTGTAAACGTATTTGCAAGTGTGGCTGGTGCCATCTGTGCTGAATTGGCTACCTGTGCTATTTGGCTGTAACTCTGTAATTCTTGTAATGGCTTCACTCATCATGCCAAAATATTAGCTGCTTATAACCTGTTTGAGGTTGTGAAATTGCTTACTATTGGCTTATAGGAGAACACAGAAAAACACCAATCTGTGAGTAGAGAAGTCTGTAACAAAAGATTGTCTCCAAGTTGGATAAGGGAAATTTTCAGCTTGCTTATCCCTCCTGCTAAATTTTACAATAAAATTTAGATTCTCTCTGCTATACTTGGAAGAACAGATAGAAGCTCTAAAGGATAGATGGATTCTCCTCAGCATCAATGTCACTGTGAGACTGCCTCACCTGGAGAGGAGCGGTCTAGGAGAGAAAATAAACAGACAAAAACACACATATACACAGACCATGTAGGGGTATCAATGGAATGCTGAATAGCAATTAAATATCATTTATAAAGACAAAGGGTAATTCTATGAAACTCATAGAGGAAACTGCAGCTTCAGTACAATAAATGGTAGCATCCTTGTGCAAGAAGCACAGTGGTAAAACCAAGAGTGGTAAACCAAGTGTGGTAAAACCTAGAGCTCTGTGGTTGTGAGGATGAGCTGGGCAGTGGTCACCACGGAGCTTTGGCAGCAGGGAAGCAGGAGTCTAAAGGTCTCTGTAGCGTGCAACTGATGGGCTGCCTGCCTGGTCTCCTTGCTCTGCTCCCCTGAATCTTGACTATAACTGTTGCCCGGTCCAACCACTGCTCCCAAGAATGCTATCAGGAGGGGCCTGTTTCTCCATGTGGACGGCCAAAGGATCCCTGGGCAGGACGTGAGGGTTCTCACTGTGGAACCAGGGCAACATGACTATGCACACAGCCAGGACACTGTACGTCCAGTAGCTGTGGATATTGCAGAGCAGTTTATCATGCGTGACATTCTGATGGCTTTTGGGATGTTCTAGGGATACAGGACTAGCACGGTAGCCAAGAGCAAGTGCACTGCTCAGTGGTTATGGTTGGGATTGTTTATGAGAGAGCATGGTCACAGGAGGCGTAGGGATGCCCATTTCAGAATTCCTCATGCCACTGATCGTCAAAAGCAGGTTCTTTATGGAATTTTGATGTGGGTAGAATTGTTTGACTGAAAGTTCAGGCCAAAAGCAAAGGTAGACGTTGGTGCAATGCAGAGCCAGGAGACTTCTGTGCTGTGACAGTGTCTGCATAACTTTACTCAATCTGAGAGCTGAGGTTCTGTGTCACACTGGAGAGTCTGCTCACCCGTACCCCAAGAAGACAGAACAAAGGGTGAAGACAAGCAGGAAGGCACTAAGTCTACTGGAGCAACGTGACACTAAGTTGTCTTGAAAAATTGTGAAACTAAACATTTTTGTTGAGGATAAATTGAGATGTACCAAGATTTTCATTTTTTAATGGGGATAAAAAAGAGTTTTCAAATCCCTTAGAAAAAACTTTTGCCAAAGTTTTGGCAAAGAACATTTCTATAAATGTCCACTCTACCAGAAATGTAGATTGCTTTAGGTGTGAAATGTAATTTATCAGCTTCAACGTTCTCTGTATCCAAGACAACAACTTTAAATACAGTAGGAAAAAAACATAAAGACAACATTGCCAGCAAAATATGCTCATTAAAAGAACTATAAAATGAATAGGTAAATAGCTATTATTAGCTGTAAGCCTCTCTGTCCTTATCTCCAGCATAGGAAATGCACTTAGGTACCATAAGAAGGTTGAGCAAAAATTGAACTCTCCATGGATATAAGGACGAAAACTATTTGACTTTCCTGAAAGCAAAGGTGTGTTTAATATACAATCAGTAGAAAGCTCTTAGGACTTGATAAATCCAGAAGTGCAAATCGCAGTACAGTTTGGGACCACTCGGATGGCTTTTCTTACCTTAAAAGTATGCCTTCCTTAACTTTCTAATTCATATGCTATTGATGGTGTTGGTAATTCACAAAACGAGGTTCTCAACAGCACAGGGTTAACACCATGTGTCCCAGTGGACATCTCTGTCTTCCTTCCACTTTAGGATTTACTCTGGCTTTCCTGCATGGGAGACACACTTACTGCTTATTGAGGTAAATAAAAGAGATTTATAAATAGAGAATGTTTAGATAAAGGCAAAACATCATCCATCTGGAAAGAGAAGCTTATCTGCAGTAGATATGTGTTTACCGAGGGAAATTGGCAGCACATTAAACCTCGCTACCCTGTTTTGGAAGGACATAAAACTACCATTGACTAATGCAGTGGTCTATCATGGAACCAGTCCCCTGGGTTCCTATGCCAGATGTATTAGGCTATTTCTCTCCAGGGCAGAGCAAGGATGACTCCAGTACAGCATCAGAGTTAAAAAAAAAATGAATGGAATACACCTTTAATATATGCTGGGTCACACGTCATGCTCACAGAGGTAGAAATAATGATTTCTAAAGAGATGTATTTGTAG
This sequence comes from Homo sapiens, assembly GCF_000001405.40. Taxonomy (NCBI): domain Eukaryota; kingdom Metazoa; phylum Chordata; class Mammalia; order Primates; family Hominidae; genus Homo; species Homo sapiens. The sequence goes on along the minus strand of NC_000010.11, from coordinate 130,880,636 downwards.
AGTGTTAAATTTTAGCCTGTGTTTAAATTGGTACAAATAATCCAGTCATGACTGGAAACTAAACACATGCTTGAAGAATTCTTCTCTTTACCCCTCCATTTGAAGAAAGTAAAAGAGATCATTTTATTTGATCTAACATGGAAGTTTTTAAAGTTCATCTCTTGAAAACTCATGTAACATCTCTCTCTTTTGCAACTTGCAAGATTCTTAAGCATCTGTCAAGGTTTTGCGCCAGGGAATAATTAATGTCGCCAGGTCTGGTGTGTGCTTATTTCAAGGGATACCCTCTCAAAGTTAGCCAGCCCTACCCAGAACATGATCTGGCTGTTTCAGTCAGGATAAGGGCATGCCTGACGTCTTAACAGCTTATGAGCTAATCTAAATTATTTCATTTTATTAAAGGGTGGGAGTTGAATCTGCATACATTTTGAGAGATAACTTATTTTTCCTTGCTTTTGAACACAGCACTAAGTGCGTGACTGTCTTTGCTGTTCTGAAGCAATGCGATCACCACAGAGGAGAATGGTGGTGTCATCCTGTTAGAGGCCCAGGTGTTCTGGAAATGGCAGCTGAGCTCAGAAACAAAATCCAGGTAGCTATCCCATTTTAAGTCTTCTCTGTCATCCTGACTGAACATAAAACAATTCTCATTTCTTCTCTTGACACAACCATATGCGTCCTGATGCTGGTGACACCATCGTCAGCCACTTGTCCGAGTCCCCTGGGGGACCCTGGTGGTGACCAGGATTCCTTGTGTGGGCAGTGGGCTTGGTATCCTGCAGCAGTGCCCAGGGAAGGGTAGACCCCACCTTTGGCATCAATGATGATGGATGGTTCATGTTGCTTTGAAAAACTGGTATCAAGTCAGGCTCTATGAATGCCACCTGTCAACTGCCATCCACTGTCATGGGATGTGCTACCCAGAAATTGGGTCTCAACTCAGCATCCCATGGCCTCTGTGCCAGTGTCCAGAGAGCTATTATGAGGACTCTGCAGAAAGCAGAAGATAGAAGTCAGAGTCCAGTCATAAAACAGGAGGCACCAGCTCTTATCCTGGTCCCAAAATGAGGAACAAAAGTCCCAGCAGTCACCTGGGAGACATTCACACTCTCCATCTGTAATTGCTTCTTGTGGCTTCCGTAACTCAGGACCACACACGCAGTGGCTTGAAGCAGCGCACGTTTACCTCCTATGGTGCTGGAGGTCAAACATCTAAAATCAAGGTGCAGAATCCCTGGGACCTGAGGATCCTTAAGGGACTTTGCAGATATGATTCATAAAGGGTTTTGAGATGCGGAGATTATCCCAGATCATCCAGGCAGGCCCAGTGTCATGACAGAGATCCTTAAAAAAGAAGGCAAGGGGAGATTTGTCTGTAGAAGAAACAGAAGGCCATGGGATGCATGGCTGCCCCGCAGTTTTGTGGCTTTTTCTGTGATGGAGGCCGCAGGTAATCATCGCGTCCTCCTTCCACTCCCTTCTGCTCCATGACTTCCTCCACTGCTCAGACCTGCTTTCCTAATTAGGTGATATAAACCTTCATTCCTGGAGTGTGAGCCTGCAATGGCTCCGCTCATTTCTTCTTTATCCGCTTTTGGGTTGTTGTAGTTTTTCACTAACTTTTACTATTGGATGCGGAAGAACTAAGAGCTGTCCCAGAAAATTCTCTCAGTTCCAAGCATACTGTTCCCTGCGCTCACAGAGTGCAGCCAACCAAATTTTCCCTCTGCACCAGGTGTCAATGAGCCCAGCAGTGGAGAACTCTCCCTTGGGCCTATGAGGTTAAATTTATGAGACGTCTTGATTGGTCCAGTGGCAGTTTCAGCGTCTAATTCACTGGAATTGCAGTCAAGTTGCAGTAGTAAGTGCTACGGTTTAAATATTTGTTCTCTCCAAAACTCATATTGAAATGGCCATTGTAACAGTAGTGAGGGGTGGAACTGTAAGAGGAAATTAAGCCATGCTGTCTCTACTGTTGCAAGTGAATTAATGCTGTAACGGGGAGAGTGGGTGCATGACATGACTGCAGGAGCAGGTTTGCTATCAAAGGGAGAGTTTGGCCCCTTGTCTCTCTCTTTCTCTCTCTTTCCTCTCACCTTCTGCCATGGGGTACACATCAAGAAGGCCCTAACAAGATGCTGGGACCTTGGAATTGGACACCTCATCACCCCAAACTGTGAACCAATACATTTCTGTTGAATGTAAATTACTCAGTCTTAGGCATTCTGTTAGAGCAGGAAAAACAGACTCTGTCTTAGCAGGTGTAGCAGCAAGAGAAGCAATTTGTGCTCCCACCCCCTGATTTCTGCACCCACACCTTCTGGCTGAGGGAGAAATACTCTGCATCCTGGTGACTTGTTCAAGTGTCTGTACAACACCCTGTAATAGAGAACTCAACCCACTAGGGATATTGCTTTAACTGAGTCTTCTGTAGCTCACTACATTTTTTGGATAGACCCAACCCTCTTGAGTATGGTAGGTGTGGGAACCCTCCGGATGCCAAGGGCATGAGTCCATGTTCGCACTGCTTTGCTGTGCAAAGAGTTTTTTGGTCAGAAGTGACGCTGTGTTGAACCCTAGTGGTGAAAGCAGCATTTCCTAAAGTCCACGTACGACGGTGCTGGTGAAAGCATTAGGGGCAGGGAGTGCAAATCCATATCCACAGCATGTGTCTACACCAATAAGGAGAATTGCTCTCTTTCCATGATAGAAGTGATTCCATATAAACTATATGTAATCAGGTGACTGGCCGATCACCCCAGGAAATAGCACCATACAGGACTGTCGGCAGGTTAGCATTGACTTGTAGCAGTAGCCACATAATCTACGGTCTGGGAAGTCCATGTTTTTGGGCCCATTCCTAGGCTTTCTGCCACCATGGCCACTTTCTGTTAAAATTTTGGCCCCTAAAGAAAGCCCGGGAATGCTTAGGAAAGAAGATGTTGGGAACACGCCCTGTCACCTGCTTGGCTATTGATGGTCTCTTCTGCCATGGATGCACTTCTGTGAGCATTGCTCTTGGGACACAAATATCTTTTCAGGCCGCATCCATTCCAAGAATAACAGCCCATGCCTTTTCCCCAGAACTCCTTGTCACCAACATTCCAATTCTATCATTTTCAAGCCTAGGACCATCAGGAAAACCATTAGCCAGTGCCCACAAGTGAGCCCTGATTCTCACTTCTGAACATGTCTGCAACAACTCACTGAGCTCAAATTTCTGCTGACCGGGAGGATTTTTTACTGCCTGCTGTCTTTCAGATTCTCTTTATTGAGTGTGTAACGCTCTAGGAGTCCACTCTGGTTGGTGCCAGCAATTCAAGCAGAACCATCTGTATGCCAGGGCTGAGCAGTTTTTCCTCAGTCAACTGGTCATAAGAAACTCTCCATGAGCCATTTGTGTGAACCGAGGTACCAGAAGAAATATAGCAGGAATGGGTGTCAGAAGAACCTGAGATGTCTTTCATGTAATTGAGTAGAGCCTTCTGGGCCTGCTCTGCCAGATCCCTTGAACACTGTAGTAAGACAATCCCAGATGGCCTGTGACGAACCACTAAAATCACATGTGATACAGTTTGGCTGTGTCTCCACCCAAATCTCATCTCGAATTGCAGCTCCCGAAATTCCCTCATGTTGTGGGAGGGACCCGATGGGAGATAATTGAATCATGGGGGCAATTTCCCCCATGCTGTTCTTGTGGTAATGGAGAAGTCTCACGAGATCTGATGCTTTTATAAGGGGAAACCCCTTTTGCTTGGTTCTCATTCTCTCTCTCGCCTGCTGCCTGTGCCTTTCGCCTTTCGCCTTCCACCTTGATTGTGGGGCCTCCCCAGCCACATGGAACTGTGAGTCCATTAAACCTCTTCTTCTTTGTAAGTTACCCAGTCTCAGGTATGTCTTTATCAGCAGCATGAAACGGTCTAATACAACATGGTCCTTGATGTCCTATGGTCGGACATTTTTATGGGTTGAATTGCATCTCTCTCTTCTTCCCCACTTCCCCCAAAAATATGTTGAAGTTTTAACCTCCAGTAGCTCAGAATGAGATCTTGTTTGGAAATGGGGTTATTGCAGATGCAAGTAGTTAGCATATGCTCATACTGGACTAGTGTGGGCTGGGCCCCTCGTTCAATATGCCTGGTGTCCTCATAAGAAGAGACAGCCAGGTGCTGATAGGGACACACACAGGGAGAACGACATAGGATGACAAAGGCAGAGATTGGCTTCATGAAGCTTCAAGACAAGGAACACAAAACTTTGCCAGCAACCACCAGAGCACAACTGCCAACAACTTGATTCAGACCTCTAGCCTCAAGAACTATGAGATGATAAATATCTGTGGTTCTAAACCACCCAGTTTGTGGTACCTTGCTAAGGAAGCCCTAGAAGATTAAGAGCATTTATGCAAAGGAAATAGTTATCTTCAAAAGAGAGAACATATTTACTCTAAAACACTAAAGCAGTCGTGCCCAGCATGTGGGCTCTGAACCGGAAGCAACAGGCTCACCTAAGAACTTTTAGAAATGCAAATACTTGAACCCCACTCCAGACCCATTGAGTCAGAAACTCTGGGGATGGGGCCTGGCAATCTGTTCTAATAGCCCACAGGTATTGTCGATGCATGCCAAGAGAACCACTTCCTGGGAGGTGCAGGGCCTCTACATGGCACCCCTGTTCAGTCCAGACCCTCTGCGCATTGCCGGATCCGGCAGAAGTATGTCTGCAGGGCAGCTGAGCTCCTTGGAGGGCATTCTCTTATTCTGAGCCCCACTCAGAAGTGGCGATCTTACAAGGCACCAGTGAATGTGAGATAGGAATAGCACTGAGTAGTCACCGGAGGATAGAAAAACTGAAACAACAGCTAAAACAGAATAACAGAAAACCCAAAATAAGTGAGAGAAAAAGGCCAACATCTTGGTCAGGGTGACATGTCCCTGACTCTTCTAGGCAAACCCAGATAAGGAAGAAAGGGGGTGGTAACTGGAGGGTCCCTGAAATTCCCTCCTTTTCCAGAATACCTAGTGATTATCACATCCCCTAATTAAAGAAACACTGATAAAATCAGAAACCCAAACTCCCTTGTGCAGGACTCACTCTCCCAGGTTTGTGTGTGTGGCCCTCTTGAGTGTGCATCTTCACTTTGCAAAAACAGCTTCTTGTCTTCCCCTTCATTCTGACTCATCTCTCAATTCTTTCTTGCAATGATGTCAAAAACCTGAAAACCAGCTGGAGGTGGGCTCTCCCTAGCATCTGGAGACCCTCTTGAGCCCTCTGGTCACACATGGATTACAGCACGTGGTGTGTATGGTATGCACGACCTCTATGTGTGGTAGAGAGGCTCTACAGTCCAAAGCAGCATGATGCTTGCTTTTAAGTGGCAGGCAGTGCAAGGTCCAGTAGCTTGTCTCTCACCTTGAAAGGGCCACCTCTGCATGCTTCAGACCTTCAGGAACTTCATGACATCAGAGACCTCTAAAGCTTCATGGGATTTTTCTCTTATCCTCTGGCTTACCTGCATTTTACTGAAGCATCTAAAATTGTTGCTACTTCCTCTTCTCTGGGTCCAATTAGCATAATTTTATCACTGTAGTAAACCGGTGCAATCTTCCTTGGAATAGTGAGAGAATCAGATCCCTGGGAGTTCCTTCACTATTGAAGGAGAGATTATGTAGCCCTGAGACAAAACCATGCAGGTACATCGGTGCCCCTGCCGGGTGGAAGCACGCCTTCTGGTATAGCAGAATTGCAAATTAGAATGGCGAAAAAAATAATTCACCAAGTCAATAGCTAAGAATCATGTTCCAGGGATTATGTTGATTTACTCCAGTAAAAAGAACATATTTGGAACAGCAGCTTCCATTAGAGTCACCAATTAACTTAATTTATAATAATCCACAGTCATTCTCCAAGATCTGCCTTCTGTATAGGAAGAAACAGATAGCTGTATAAGTATTGAGTTTCTATGCCCTCCTCTGAATCTTTCAAGTCTTTGATGATGGATCTAATCTGTAACTTATCTGAGGATATGTATTGCATTTGGTTGAATGTTCTGGTAAGTCGGGAACTTGTCAAGGTCTTCCATATGCCCCTTTCCACCATTATAGCCCTCAGTTTCTGGGTCAGGAGCAATATGGGATTCTGCCACTGAATATCATGGCAATTCTAACAATAAATTCTGAACATCAAAAATAACCTCAAGTTGGGTACACATGAGGCCACAATGATACAAACTTTGGTCAAAGTACCTGACTACCATTAGCTACAGTGTGGACAGCAGGTTACAGGGCTTGGGGAGAGGCATCTAAGAATGGTATTAATTTTATAGGAAATCTAGGAACCACTCAAAGCATATGATATTTTATTTTACTCAAAACAGAGTCACTCCTGTAAGTGAACACAGGGTCACTTAGACAAGGCTTTGAGGAAGAATGGGGTGACAGCATCTCAGGATTCTCCCTCAGGTGCACCCAACTTTTCCTTCAGGCAAGGCCTTCTGGACTGTGAACTGGCTTAGTTCTAGAAATTTGGTGAAAAGCTGTACTTCTCCATCTACTGACTTAGCCTCATTTCTGGCCATCAGCCCTGGTGTTCTTCCTGTCATACAAAGATCAGGTTACATTTTAATGCTGCTTATTTATTCTATTCCCAGGAAAACCATGATCAATTGGACACTGCCCAAACTCCCTGGCACTCAAACATTCTGATGGTCACATTGTCCCTGATGTTCATGCAGCAAATGTAGCCACCTTGCTCCTGGCAGCTCAACACCACCACTCGGCCTCTGCTGCCCAGGATCCTGCCACCCCCAGTAAAACCCAGGAGGCTGGCACCTTCTCCCCTGGTCACTCAGGTTCACAGGGACAGCTGCCAGGGAGCATCATGAAGGTCAGGGTGCTTCCCTCACTAGGGTGTTTCTCCATGCCTTAGCAAAGGGCTTGTGTGGAGTTTTAGTCTGAAAGCATGGTTGTGCAGAATACATGCAAGAAATCCTTCCCACATTTGTATCCCTTAGAACTTTTGATCTCTCTCTCTCTCTCTCCATATATATGTATGTGTATACATATATGTACACACACACATGCCAAGAGAGTTCTAACATCTCAACTCCATTGGTTCAAGTTTATTTTGATGAATGCACTGAGTAAACTATGAGGGTCACCTGCAACTGCACAAACTCACTCACGTTGTGCGGGCTCCCTGCAAGCTCACTCGCCCGGTGCAGGATCCCTGCAAGCTCACTCATCCTGTGTGGGCTCCCTGCAAGCTCACTCGCCCTGTGTGGGCTCCCTGTAGGTGCACTCATGTGCTTGGACTTGGCCCTTTCCAGTGTTATATTTTATCCTTCTTGGTCTATTATCTAAGAATTCATTTCCATATATGCACCTTAAGTTTCTGAAATATAAACTAACAATAATCTCTAAGAAGTGGACTTAGAGAATAAGCCACTTCTTCCTGGGTCAGATTTTGTGCCTTCTGCCAAGGCACATGCTGAGATCTGACCCTGGTTGCAAGTCTAGGGGCAACCGAGGGTGGGTCTTAATGACATCCATACACCCTTGTAAGGTAACTGTCCTAGATGAGATTATCACAGAGTATATAATTAAAGGATGGTATAATAGTGTCCTCAGACATGGGGGGAGGGCAAGTGGGCTGTTTTCACTAACAAGGGAATCTCAGGGTTATTTGGGGGTTCAACACTCTCAGCTTCATTTATGTCCACTTGTGCGTAATGTCAGCATAATGTCACCCTCATTTCAAATCTCATGGACCCACTCCTTCCCCATCAGTGCCCCAACTTTTTCATTAGCAACTTGCTGGGGCTGTGAATTCAACTTACATTGTAATTCTGCAGCCTACACAATTCATATTGTGTCATCCTGTTAGAGAGGTCGACCTTGCAACTATAAGGAGTACGAAGTTCTTTTATGGTTACTATAAAAGTTCTGCATTCTCTAACCATGACTTGACCTGAGCGTTTAAAACCTTGTGTCTGTCAAATTCCTTCTAGAAGCATTTCATGGCATGCCCGGAGCAGGCATCTAATCCTGTGGTTCTTATCATCATTGCTAATGCTACAAAAGCCCTCAAAGTCACCTGATTTTTTAGATTTTTTGATTACTGTTGCTGTTAATACATGCTTTGGAGCTAGTATTCCATCTCAGGTTTGCAAGAATTGCAGCCTTGCTTTCAAGCCTAAAAATGCGACCAAAACAATCCCCAAATACCATTTTGAGTGTTTGTTTCCTGAGACAACTCCTGGTGATAATTTTTATATCAGTCAAGGTCCAGGAAACAGATATTATACCCTGGAGAATTTAATGTAAAGACTTTTTACCTTCTTAGTAGAAAACTGAAAAGGCAAATAGGAAACACTGAATTTCACAGAGGTCATACCTCCAGGGAGCAATTTCTATGCCTGAGATTGAGAAGGGAACAAGGGAAAGAGATTAGAGTTTTAGAACCCAGAGGCTTGGGAGACGCTCCCTCTAGACTTGGGCTGCAGACCTCTGGGGCAGGGAACTGGCTGGTGAGTTCCTTGATTGGAGCCTAGGTGCATGTTCCAACATCAAGGGAGGGGAGAGGGAAGGGCATGAGCAAAGATAACGGACATGAGACAGCATGGCTTTCTCAGGTGCACAAGTAGTTTGGGGTGGCAGGGCACAGATGGGACACAGACACGGTTGCAGGAGGCGACAGAAGGTCATCCAGGGTGGTGGCTCTGAAGCAGCTTGTGTGACCTCTTAAGGGGTTTTGATTTACCTTGTGAACAATGGAGAATCATTGCAGGGGTTTCAGGAGAAGACCAAAGAATTAGATTTTCATGTCAAAAGATAACTCTGGAGATAGCATAATAGATGCAGAGCCACTGAGAAATTACTCACATAGTCTGGATAAAAATGGGCCACTTCAGTTTTTAGACCAGAAGTGTTAAGGATGGTGGCAAGGATATGGCCCCAGGTGTCATGGGACCAAGTGGATGGGCACCAGAGCCAGGGAGAAAAGTCAGGATGACTTCCTGGGATGTGGCTTGAATCTGAAATGTAAGAACATCTCACTGGTGCCCCACAAGTCCTCACTTAGAAGCTCTCTGTCCAGAGCCCTGGCTGTGCTGGAGGCACATGTCCCTTGTCAGAGCCTCTCCTGTCTTTTTAGTCTATGGATTCCAAGCTGTAACACAAGACTCAGTGGGTAATCAAGTTGTGAAGAAATGTCTATTGAGAGAACGCTATTGTGATAACTCACCCTAGGTAATGGGATCTGAGACCCAGAGCCTTCAGAAAATATTACCCTGTGCCCACTGAATTTTACCTTCTACTGAAAACAAAGACCAGGATTGAAGCTAATAGAACCTTCTGAATAAAACCAAAAATCAAACAGAGACTATTGTGGACTAGACTATGAAATACCTGAATATTTGGAAATTTCTGTTCCCTGCACTAAAAATCTAGTATAAATTCACCATAATCTCCTTTAAAATAGAGATGTGATCTTTGTCTTTCTCCTCAACTACCAGCCCGAAGAACAATATCTCAGGCATCACACGTGCTGAATACATGTCACTGTTTGTTGAATGCTTGATCATACAAGTCGCTCGGAAAATGGAAAGAACATCTACTCCCCTTTCTTCAACACAGTTTGCTCCCCCAGCTCAGATGTTATTCTCAGAAACATCACGATGGTGTTAAGCAGTGAGCTCCAGCAGTGTATTACACCTGCATCTGTATTAAGCCAGTACTAATTAAACATTTCATAATTCACATTATATTACATAGCCTATGCCCACCACATATCTCCAGTGAGAAGAGCTTTTATGCTAAGAAATATGCATGCATTCTCATCCACATCATGATGGTTTATATTCTTGGATAAAGACTAAGTCCTGAGTTGTATATGTATTTATTTTTATTTCAGTTTAAATGTGTAAGTCACATCTTCCTAATGAGAACTGTTTGAGTAACTCCTTGTTTAACATTAATTTTTTAACGTTTTTCTAGATGTGGGAAGAAGGGGCATAACCATTAAAAAGCCTGTATTTGTGGTATCGAATCCCGTTTTCACTAATCCCATTCACTAATGTGTTTGTCCATATTTTATTTAGGAAAGCACTGCCTAACGGCTACTGCATGACAAACTCAGTCACAGACACTGGAGAGGAAAGAAGAAAAAGGCAAGTCCAGTCTCTGGAGGAGGTCAGAGCCTAGCAGGAAAGATGAGACCAGTGCAGTCAAGGGCGCAGCAACCGATGCCTTCTGGCATTTTGGGGAAGCCTTCATGGAAGAAGTGCCAGTTGAGTGGAGTCTTCAAGGATGAATCAATTTTTTCCAGGCCAGAAGCAGAAGCGCGAGATTCCAGGCAGATGACTGTGTGTAGAAAATCAGGCCAGGTGCAGTGGTTCACGCCTGTAATCCCAGCACTTTGGGAGGCTGAGGCGGGCAACTCACATGAGGTCAGGAGTTCAAGACCAGCCTGGCCAACATGGTGAAATCTCATGTCTACTGAAAGTACAAAAATTAGCCAGATGTGGTGGCACATGCCTATAGCTTCTAGTCCCAGCTACTTGGGAGACTGAGGTGGGAGAATCACTTGAACCCGGGAGACAGAGATTGCAGTGAGCCGAGATTGTGGAGACTTCATCTCAAAAAAAAGAAAGAAAGAAAGAAAGAAAATCATTGGGGTGTGTGTGTGTTTGTGTGCATGTGTGTGTGTCTTGAAGGGCACAGGGATACGTCCGTGGGAGAATGGGGAGATTAGTGTGACTGGAGACAGGGCTCTTGGGTGTGTTCTGGGAGTAAGAGATGAAGGCAGAGATGACAGATCTTTGTCCTGTAGCAGGGGAGGGACCTTCCAGCTTGCAAATAGGGGAGTTCAATGGTGTTTCTTTAAGACATGTGAGTAAAGCCCAGAAAATGGACTGGAGCTGGAGGTGGGGAGACCGTCGGGGCCATCACATAAACAAGAGCCATGGTGTAGAAGTGATGTCAGCAGGCTGGAGCCGAGAACACAGGACATGAGGCTCAGGCCGGTTCAGGGCATAAAATACGGCAGAAGAGGTTGTCGACCGGATATGAAATCTAAGAAAAAGATAAAAGATGACTCAGGGCTTCGATAAGAAACTGCGAGATAGTATTGTCATTAATTTAGAAAAGTAATTTAAGAGGGGCCTGCACAGGAAACAGAAACAGAATGAAGTAGGGAAACACAGGGCTGGGCAGAGGGCCTCAGCCTGGCCACCGCCTGTGCATGCCCTGGCTCCCACTTCCAGGGGCTTTAACACAGGAAATGGTGATGGAAACGCTGAGCTTCTTTCTGTGGCAGCTGATTATTTACTAAAATAAAACATAGACAAGAGCTTCTGGTAGAAAACAAAACAGAAAAGCAAAAACCCTATGGACTCAAAGAAAAAGATCTGGAATATGTGCAAGCCTGTGAACCCTGACACTGCTCACCAGGGAAACCAGGGTGAGGTTAGGGAATCCGAGCCGTTCTGGGGGCAGCACTTACGTGTTGATCTTCCTACAAAGCTTGGCTGTATTCATAAATGACCAGAAAAGTGTTTATTAGGTGCATGGATTAAGACTTATGAATTGTTTTACTAAAGAGTTATCTATTTTAGAATACAAGAATAATTCAAAAGAACATTAGTGGTGCTGTGTTGCTTATTAGGGGGGATTTCTCCTGCTATAACAGGCCCCCCAATTTTGATGTTGCACTTTTTTAAAAAAATAGAGGCAGGTTCTCCCTATGTTGCCCAGGCTGGTCTCAAACTCCTAGACTCAAATGATCCTCCTGCCTCAGCCTCCCAAAGCACAGGGATTCCAGGCGTGAGCCACAGTGCCCAGCCCTGATATTGCAGTTTTATGTTAACACATCACCAGGTGATGTTACACTTTTATTCTCACCAAATATGGAGCATTAATCTTCTCAAATTAATTTTTCCTTTAAAAATCATCTGATCATATTGTGAAAAATGAAGAAAAATCGACTCCACACTTCATCAAAACAACCATGGTGGTTAAGTTTCTGGCATGGACCTCTCGTCTTTACCACGTCATAATTATTAACTATTAGCTGTGTCTTATTATTTATTACTGACATGGTTTGGCTGTGTCCCCACCCAAGTCTCATCTTGAGTTGTAATCCCCATTACAACTCAAGGGAGGTGTCGAGGGACAGACCTGGTGGGAGGTGATTGGATCTGGGGGTGGTTGCCCCATGCTGTTCTCATGATAGAGGGTGAGTTCTCACGAGAGCAGAGGGTTTTATATGGGGCTCTTCCCTCTTTGCTTCCTTCACAGGCTCTCTCTCCTGCCACCTTGTGAAGAAAGAGCCGGCTTCCCCTTCTCCTTCCACCATGATTTTAAGTTTTCTGAGGCCTCCCCAGCCATGCAGAACTGTAAGTCAATTAAACCTCTTTCCTTTATGAATTACCCAGTCTAGGGTATTTCTTCATAGCAGTGCAAAAATGGACTAATGCAGTTACTATTTTCTTCAACACAGATTGACCTTCCTGTACTTATAGTCTGCACCAGCTCCCACTGCCCGCACTGTTCACCTGAGGCCGCATGGAGAGCTTTTCCCTGGGGCCTCACAGCCTGCAGGGGGGCTTTGCCTTGCTCAGGGTATTGTCCCCCAGATGGGGCTGAGCCACTGTGCTCCTCTCCATCACAGGCTGGGCACATCCATCTCTTCTGATTTTCAGTGCCATTAAAGTAGCCCAATTCACTGCTTGAGATAACACTTTGCTCTCTGCCCCCACAGGAGCAGGTGGAAGCTGCCAGGTGAAACAAGGCTGTGGCACCATCCTGAGCAATGTGGCCACCATCCCAGAGTCACTCACCAGGAGTGTGGTCCTTCTTGTGTAGCAACACTCCCAGGGAACAACCCGTGCTTTCTCATGACATGCTGGCTAAATCCTGACCCCATCAGTGTCCTCTCCACATGTCATAACGATGTGGCCAGCGAGGCAACCATGGCATGGCAGGAGTGACTGAGTACTGTTACTGACAAGCTCAGCCTCTGTGGGGGTCCCTGGAAGGCTGTATGGTTAAGACTAGTGGAGGGTAAAGGCAGCCGTCCCTCTGCAGAGGACAGTCCATGCTCCCTGGAGACCGAGCTGTAGAAATACGATGTGCTGCCTGCAGGAATGCAGCTGCCGCTCCATCGTCAGCAGAGCCAGGCTGCTGAGAAAGACTGTAAGCTTCACCTGCAGCAGCTCTCATCTGTAGGGACTGGCCCAGGCAAGGGACTCAGGAGGGAGGAAGTAGCCTTCATCTGGCTCATACTCAGCAGGAATCTGGAGACAAAGGTGCTGTCTCCAAAGGGCCCTGCCTACGGGCATTGTGCATCCCTACCTGGCCAAGCCAGCAAACAACTTGGATGCTGGGCACCCAAGGAGGTGGCCCACACATCCACTTCTACCTGCTGAGTCCTCTGCTTTTATGATGATGTGCATTCCCCACATCCCACTTAGTGTGTGTCCTCCCTCTGCCATGTGCCGGTTCCACCTGCTCCCTCCTCTGCAGTGGCCTGCTCTCTACCCCCACAGAAGCGGGTGGAAGCTACCAGGTGAAACAAGGCTGTGGCACCATCCTGAGCAATGTGGCCAACATCCCAGAGTCACTCGCCAGCAGCACTGTCCTTCTTGAGCAGCAACGTTCCCAGGGAACAACCTGTGCTTTCTCGCGTCGTGCCCCTCACCAGGCACCATCCAGGAAGAAATGCACAGAGCAGAGGTGAGTCCATTTGAAAAAATAATGATTCTTGCTTAAGATGCAGTCTGGTTAGTCTACCTCCCGCTCCCCTTCCTGAAGGCTCAGGATGGTGCTGGGGTGGGCACAGGGTTCTAGGATCCCAAGACAATGAAAAAAAGAGAGAAGACAGCATGAGTGAGTGCAGAAGCCCAGCTCGCACTTAAGGACCAGCCAGATACCTGCTTGTGCAGGGACCCGCCTACAGCCGTGCCCTGGGAGGGGCTGCTGGTGTGAAGGGGCACCCAGGGCAACTGAGCTGGGTCAAGGCATTGGCTTTCAGACAGACAAGGGGCATAGGAGGTCACGCTAAGGCAAATGGTGCCACCAGTGTCAATGGTGTAGACAGTGCAGATGGGAGCTGGTGTGGAGGGCAGTGCAGGGTCGCTGGGCTCCTAATAGCAAGGAACCAATGCCTTGGGCTGGGAAGTTAATCCTGAAAACCCACAGAAGCTTCCACCCCTGGGAGAGGTGGGCCCTGAGTCAGATTCTTGGAAGAAAGGGAGGTGGGAGTCTGTTGTAGGCACCCCTGGGATCACTGAGCTGGGGTGAAAATGAGCCCTCAGGACAGGAAAGCGAGAACATAGAAAAACATTCTGAGGGAGCCCACATAGGACAGAGTGATGCACACTCATCTGAGGGAACCCACATAGGACAGAGCAATGCACACTCGGTCCCCTTAGGCAGAGCAGATGGCCATCTTCCATCAAACGAAGTAAAATTCTATTTGTGTTTCTTCAAACGATGTTCAATGCCTGAAAAGAAATAGACTCCAATATGTGTTTGTGGCCAACCCTCTGGGCTATTGAAAACCTCTGGATATTGAAACTGAAACAGGGCTGACTGTGCATTGTGTGGGCCTGGGCTCACATCTGTGGCAGGGGCTGCTGTGCAGGCTGAATTGGTGTCCGCAAGTAGGAGGCCTATGGAAGCTGGCACTCCTGGGTCACTTAGGGGAATCACAGTCCCCTGCCCTGTGGCATAAGAAAAATGGCACATCCAAAAACTCTTCCTAAATGCTTTTGATGGCAGTGTAGACATTGCTACAAAATGGGCAAAGACTCTGGAAATAACCAGACGATGCTGCACCTTTGTCCCTGCTATGGGTGTGGGTGTATGCTTATCATGGCAGCTCACACTAGCAAAATACAGCACACTGGAATGACGTAGAATCATGCTGTGTTGAGATCACTACCATCAATTACAAATTTATGATCGCATTTGGAGGGGTTGTCATGCCTGCTGTCCAAGTAACTCACATAGGTTTTGTGCCTCGTCTTCTCTCTACAGCCTTACGGGTGAGGAGCCCCTGCCAGATGGGAGCACTCGGCGAACCATGGAATATGCTGAGCCTCATCAGGGGATTAGCAGCCCTGACCTCCCTTATCTCTTATAGATCTGAAACTGAGCATGGGCTCACATTTAAACTTGCAGAGTTTTCCATCAAGAGCTCACAGGGGTTGCAGCCGACAGCTGTGCACCCAGGTGTTGGCGATGAAGGATGCTCAGGCTCCTGCCAGGTTCAGCTCCTGCTGGATTTACATCCTTCGCCAGGAGCTGCACAGTTTCTCCCCGTGATTTTGTTAATGCTGACATTTCAGCACACAACGAAATAGAAAGGTCATCAGCTGGCTAATTTAAAAATAGCATTTTGATCACTCATCTTCCTGGAGTGTCAAGCCCTGCAGAGCTGGTGGAATTGACATGTACTTATTACCACGTTTGGGCTCCTGAAACCAAGCTGGGTAATTTGAAGCCCTGTCTTGGGCAGCCCTGGGAAGGCCATCAATCAGTGGCATAATCACCAACAGCGATCTCCACCAGAAGCGGGCGGCTGAGAGCCGGGAGTCTCACTCCTGCTGCAAGACAGTTTTGGGGGGTCAGGGTGATGATAGTAATAATAATTTATTGGACACTCACAATGTATCAGATTTAGCATGAATTACTCAATTCAGCATGAAACAACTCCAGCCAGTGGACACTCTGCCGATGTACAGTGTGTATAGGTGAGACAACAGAGGGTTGGGGGGCCTCGGGCTGCACACTCAGAAGGAAAAGAAACAGCCTTGAACCTCGTCTGCTCCAAGGGCTCCAGAAAAAGTGGCTCCTGCTTAGTTTTCCATTGTCTCTACTGTGCCTTTCCAAATTAACACAACAAAAATGGAGGCATCTCTTCACACTGCATAAGCATTTTTACTTAAGAGAAAGCAGGGATGAAAGAGTCAAAAGTAACCTGCACCGCCTCACTCACCATGCGCCAAGTGCATTCTCTCGCTCCGTCCTTAAACTCACGCCACAGGCGCGCATGAGTCTGAAAAGGAGGACAAGGAGGCTTGGAGAGGTTACATGACTTACCCAGGATTGCACAGCTTGCATGTGGCAGAACTCGGATTGAACCCAGGACTTCTGACGCCAAGCTAGATGGCTTCAAAGCATAAGAATTATCAAATAATTATAATTAATAGTGATTGAGCAATCGCTGTTGGACTTCCGCACTTGGCTCTGTTATTGTTACAACTCCGTCACCCCTGCGCTTTTTCAGATGAGGAAATGCCAGCTGATAAGGACTGTGGGACTTACCTGTGGTGGAGAAGCCCCAGTGGCTCCTACGAGCCAGACTTATCTCCTGTCCAGTGGGGGACACA
This sequence comes from Homo sapiens, assembly GCF_000001405.40. Lineage (NCBI taxonomy): Eukaryota > Metazoa > Chordata > Mammalia > Primates > Hominidae > Homo > Homo sapiens. The sequence goes on along the minus strand of NC_000010.11, from coordinate 130,864,243 downwards.
TGAGCTGCACTCTCCCTGCCTCAGGGGCTGGGGAAAATCCATTCACCACCAGTTCTGCCTCAGCATCCTCTGATGGCCTGGCCCCTAACTGAGAGTCTACTCTCTGACCAGGCCCAGGCATCAAGTCCTGCCCGGTTCTCCTTTGGGTAGCCACAGCAAGAACTGCCGTTCCAGGGACTGGGTCTGCATGGTGAACCCCTGGGTCTGAGCCTTGTCTTGCCATGAGTTTCTTCCAGGACAGGTCCCTCCTTCCCTTGTGATTTTTCTGGAACTTTATGTAGTGAAGCAACCAACATCGCCAGGTAGATGCCCAAGACCCATCTGGGGAGCTTCCCAGTTTCTATCCCCACCACCCTGGGCCTCCCACCCTGCCGCTGTCCACGCCCATCCCCGTCAATCCTCCAGCCATTCATGTAGGCCCAGTTAGGAAAGTCACCCTGTCATTTGTCTATTTCATTAGGGTGGTTAACAGTAACTTCTCCACAACGTCTCCCCTAGTCTTCTCTGTTCCTGTGTCACTGAGAAGTCTTTGCCCTCCTACTTGGTAGAAAGCTTCTTTTTCCTTCATATAATTACAACTTTAAAGATGGTTTCTTGTCTCTCAGTGGGAATCTGTTTATTCCTCCGTGTAAGCCTTTTTGCTTTGCTATCTAATTTCCATTCATCGTGATAAAAGATACAAGTACATTTCATTTCACCCAATCCTTTAAAAAACGGGTATCACTTTTGTTTCTCTTAAATTTTATTACCTCTGTAAATTTATTACCTCTACATGATGACGTTCACTTATTTTTCTTAACAGATGAGCAAGTGCGAGTCTCTGTAATTAAGGCATGGATCCCAACTGCCAAGATTGGAGATCCTCCGCCTGGGAGTTTCCAAATGCTCAGAGGCCACATCCCTGATCATAATGAGAGGCCAAGTCCATGAGGTCAGTCCTGGTTCTGCTGTGGTGGCAAATGCCCAGATGGGCCTACGCTCCAAAGCAGCAGCTCATTCTCCACGCCTGCCACATGTCCACGTGGGGCGGCCAGGCTGGCTCTGCCTCATGGTCCTCCACATGCAGGGTTCAAGCAGATGGGGGCCAGGACCGTGACCAATGCTGTGGCAGAGGGAAAGGAGAACACAGCAGACAACAGGCTAGTCTCAAAGTTGTCACCCTCAAAGGACACACATCACGTCTGCTCACAGTTCACTGGCCAGAGCCAGTCAGTGACTCTAGGCCGGCCAGCCAGCCAAGAGATAGGATCCCCTCCTGGGGCCTGGCTTGGAACATGTGTGAGCAGTAACACGGTCTGCCACAGACAACAAATCCAATCAGCTTTTGGAGAAACCGACGTGCAGAGAGAGAGGATCCAACCTACCCAGGTCACCAGCTCACTAGTGGCGCCTGGGCTGCGGGGGACATGAGCTCTGTCCGTGGCCGTTGGGCCTTGATCTCACCACTGCATTCACCCACCACAGTGCAGGCAGTTGGCAAGGTGGTTTCCTGGCCACTCTCCTGGGGCATTCACACCCCACTTCCTGAGGTCATCCCCTACTCCACACAGGCCTCCAGCTCAGGATTTCCTTTTCTGGGCATCAGCTGCTGCAAGACAGTTTTGGGGGGTCAGGGTGATGATAGTAATAATAATTTATTGGACACTCACAATGTATCAGATTTAGCATGAATTACTCAATTCAGCATGAAACAACTCCAGCAAGTGGACGCTCTGCTGATGTGCATTGTTCATAGGTGAGAAACAGAAGGGTGGGGAGCCTTTTTCATAAGCGGGACTTTTAGAATGATGACATTAGGTGTGCACATTTATCACTCGAGGTGCCCAAGACAGGCTCTGCTAGAACCGTGCTCAGGTGCCTCGGAGGCAGCGCCCAGGGCTGGAGGGAGGGGAGCAGCCCCAGGCTCATGGCCATCTGGCCCAAGGCAGAGGACAGCGGAAGAGACCCTGACTGCTGGCCCGCCTTGATGGGATGGTTTTGGGTCAAGTCGAGTGGGCCACAGGGGGCCCAGATCTCAGGGTGTCTGTTCGGGGGCTTCTGGATGAGTTTAGCATTTGAAGCAGATGGTGTCCCCAGTGTGGGTGGGCCTTGCCCAATCCACCGAGGGCCTGAATAGAGCAACAGGAGAGGAGGGGGCATGTGCCCCTTTTTCCTGCCTCATTGCCAGCCCAAGCTGGCTCCGCTCATCTTCCCCTGCCCTCAGCCGGGGATTCACATCGTCAACCACCCTGGGTTTCAGGCCTCTGGACTCCAACTGAGTTACGTCCCCAGCCTTCCTGGGTCTCCAGCTTGCAGATTGCAGATCAAGGGGCTTCTCTGCCTCCATAACAGTCATGATCACATGAGTCGATTCCTCATAAAAAAAAAAAAATCCACATGGAGATGTGGACAGACAGACAGACAGATGGACAGATGGCTCTATACACGAGATAGCCCATCGGGTCTGCTTCTCTGGAGAACCCTCATGAGTACACTTGACACTCTCAATTTCCACAATCCCTGGCTCTTGCTGTTGTTATTGGAGATGGAACCAAGTGACCTTCTCAGGCCATCACCACCAGGCCCCCAAGTAGCTGACACATTGGACTTGGCTATACCTTGCACACACACATGTATGACCCCGGCTCACCTCTCAACCATCTACTCACAGTTACATATGACAAGGTCAGTGTGCTCTTCATGACCTGAGCTACACGAGTGCTAACGGGCATCGGCAGCATGTGTGGTGCTGGGCCAAGCTGGGAGAGGCTGAGCACATCCGCTGATGGACTTGCCGTGGTCGCCCACGGGACCAGAAGCAGGATTTGTTTACAGAAAATGTCCGTTTCCAGTTTCTTTTTTTTCAGGTCCACAAAGCCTGAGGTGTTTGGTTTTGAAAATAATGGCAAATAAAATGTGATTGGGAAACTGATTCCATTGTGGTAGATTGAAGTTTATGTTTATAATTCATTCTGGATGAAAGTGACTAGGCCCAAAAGGTAAAACCATGCGTTGTCATTTAGAAGTGGATTGAAGTTTAGTGTGGAACATCTCATCAGTTACCCCGCAGTGACTTGTGCTGTCTCCACTGCACAGACGCTGTGTCCTGACACACCCACGTTACCTCCAGAGGAGCTTGCAGTTCATATGAGCATTGCCAGAAATTCAGGCTGTATCACCTGGGTGTGTCCTATAAGCAGGATGGAGGGAGGACAGAAAGTAGAGAGCTCTCAGCTGCCCCATAAACCTGGGACTTGGTTTGTCATCACTGAGGAAGCTCTTCGACGAAAGAATCAGATGGCATGCACTTTTGGAGATAACCAGCAAATGTCAGGAAGATAACTTCTTAATGGCTTTGTAAAATATACATGGCCATGCCAGCTGGTGGAATGTGTCCAAGCCCAAACAGTCATCGCAATGGAAGAAAATGTGCTCAGATTTCTTGCATTGACAAGATGCTCTCTCAGTTCCAATAGTCACGGTTTGAGCAGCGTCAATCTGTGAGTTACAAATGACCCTCAAGGCCCCGTGCAAGTGCACGATTTTCATCTCAGTTGCACAGGCTCCTCTGTGAGCATCTTAGAGCCCCCACTGATTTTGAGCTCTGTCAGCTGTGGGTGAGGAAAATGTCAATTCACATGATTTTGATATAAAGACTCTACCCAAATAGCACCTCCATTTTGTGCTCCCCTTGTCTGAGGAAAATAAATATCAAGTGAGGGCTCCCCAAACCCATAGAGTCATTGGTCCAGCCAGATAAACCTATAGGAAAAGGCTGGATCAAAGTTGGAAGAACCTTGTGTAACCTCACAGAGATGGCTGCACATGACTGTGGAGGACCAGGGCCACATTCCCAGGAAAGAGAAGGGATGAGACAGCAAAACAGAGCAGGTCAATCCGGGAAGTCTTCTTGGAAGAGGCAAGTTCACTAGTTCCATGGGACAATGTGGTTTTAGTTATTAGAGATAGGAGGGGTCAGAGCAGGTGTTGAACAGGAGAGGGCTTGAGGAACTGGCTTGGCTAAGCCTGGAAACAGGGTTAAGTCACATGAAGGAGGAGCAGACTGGAGGAAGGGAAGGTGGGAGTCTGCAGGAGAGGCAGAAAGGCTTCAGAGGGTGCAGGAGGCTGGATGGCTCCATAGCCCGCTGCTTCCCAGACCCCTCCCCAAGCTCTCCTGGAGAGGACTCCGTTTTCTTGTGATTTTCTTTCTTTTTTTTCTTTTCTTTTCTTTTTTTTTTTTAGATGGAGTTTCACTCTTGTTGCCCAGGCTGGAGTGTAATGGTGCAATCTTGGCTCACCACAATCTCTGCCTCTGCCTCCTGTGTTCAAGCTATTCTCCTGCCTCAGCCTCCTGAGTAGCTAGGATTACAGGGCCCACCACGCCTTGCTAATTTTGTATTTTTAGTAGAGATGCGGTTTCTCCATGTTGGTCAGGCTGGTCTCGAACTCCCAACCTCAGGTGATTCCCCTGCCTCGGACTCCCAAAGTGCTGGAATTACAAGCGTGAATCACCACACCCGGCCTCCTTGTGCATTTTCATACCACCTGTTCTGACATAGCGAAGTGTCTCTGAGAGCACAGCTCCTCTGCCTCAGCCATAGGGAGGACCGGGTGACCTCCCTGCTTCATTAACCCTGGTTGCAGACTCAGCCTCTGTCAGCATGCATCTCAGGGACCAAGAGAGCATGGGTGCCCATGGGCCCTCAGAACCCCTTCCTGAAAACAGGTGTGATGGGATTCCAGGCTACAGAATGGAGTCTGTTAGGTCCTTGGGACACCTCTAGTGACATAGCCACCATTGAAGGCTACCAGGAGCAACAGACTTCCCACTTCTCTGAGCCAGGCACCAGGGAGAGTGCACACACTATTGTTCATTATCAACATGACCACACAAGGCAGCTTTTAGAGAGCCCAGGGCTCAGGGAGTTCAAATAATGGGTTCAGATCACAAAGCTGGGATCCTGAGTTGGGATTTGAAGTCAGGTCTGTCTGATTCCATCCCTGGACTCTTTCCCTCCCTCCCTCCCTCCCTCCCTCCCTCCCTCCCTCCCTCCCTCCCTTCCTTCCTTCCCTCCCTTCCTTCCTTCCTTCCCTCCTTCCTTCCTTCCTTTCTTCCTTCCTTCCTCCTCCAATGCACAATTAGCAAGGTGAGAAGTTCAAGAGGTAACTTACTGGGAGAATTCTGACCCTGCCACCGGGCTGCAGTCTGCAGGTTCATTCCTCTGCCCAGGAATCACAATTCTTTCAATCTATGACCCCTAAGCTCTGAGCAGGAGGAGTAACCACACAGCTGCCTGAGGTTCAGAGCCCAGAACCAAACACAGCGTGCTGCCATTTAGCTCCTAGCTCCAGTTGTTCTGTGTGGCCTGGACTCTGTGCCCTCTGCAGCTGCCTCACAGCCCTGTTATCCTTCCATGTTCAGGAGAGATGCTCCAGGCTGCAACCCTTCCCTTTCAAAAACTGCCACCTTTCTCCTCCAGGGACATTTCAGTGCAATGCTTAACATGCTTGGAGGCAAGTTGTCCTGTAGGAAAACCTACCTGGCTGGGGAACGGGAGGCTTATCTTCTCCTGCAGGCTTCTTTTCATTTTTTTATTTGGAAAACAGAACTTTGGGTTGACCTTACTCCAACCCCCAAGCTTCCCTACCATTCTTCATTGCAGTCCCTGAAATGAGGTTGGAAGGGTCCACTTCAGCCCCTGGCCCGTTATGGGGGCACCAATATCTGCTCCTCGCTGCAGAGACACGTGTGTGGTCTCTGCTCCTCTTCTCTCCCCTCTGCCCCCTGTTATTTATACACAGCCCCTCTGAGGTAATCTTTGCACTTTCAAGTTCAGGTGACCTCATATTAAGAAGAACCTGTGTTTGAATTTGAGGAGTGTTTGACATTAGCCCAGAGATGGGCAGTGTGTGTCCCAGACATGTATGCAAAGTCTAACGCCACTTGGGGTCTCCTCAATTTTGGGAAAGAATGAAAATGGCTTGATTGCATGAAGGCAGCAGGGTTTTGCTGGGTGGAAACAGATGCGCATTGTACAGGGGTGTCAAAGCTGTGAGTGAACTCACAGCCACCAGAGCTGTGCCTGGAACCATGCCGTGTCCCTCCACACAACCCACTGTCCCACCTCTACCTCGATGCCACAGTGGGGACTCTGCATGCCCTATTTTTGATGCTCCAGCTGGCTCCATTTCAGGCTGTGCCAGGAGGTGATGGCAGAGGGAGACTGCTGAACAAGTGGTTGAGGAAGAGGACCGTTCTTGTTTTCTTTTTGTTTCTTCTGATTTACTTCTCTAGTGGTGGTTCCAGTGAAGGTCACCTAGGGACATGGCTTCACCCCCACAGTGGAGGCCTCTTCCCATAGAGATCTCTGCTGGAGCGATCTGGACACAGGCAGAACCATCCGCCACACCCCACACACACTCCCCACAGGCCTGCATCCTGGTCCCACAACCCTCCTCCAGCTCAGAGGCTGACGCGCACCGGCCAACACACAGCCCACCCCAGGACCTCTAAGGGTCAGCTCTGTGGAAACCTGCCTCCAGGTTCAAAATCTTAATGATCTCAACCTCTTCCTTAGATCTCCAAGTGCCTTCAGCAGTTCCTGCCTTTATGAGATGGCAGCATCTTCTACTTACCAGTCACCCAGTTAACAACTTTATACCAAACTTGTTATTCCTTATAGTAAATTATCTCTGTTTAATGGCTGCTGCAGTGTTCGCCTCCTGGCCAGCTGCTGATTGGTGCCCAGCCAGCAGAGAAACCACACCTGCTTCCGCCGGTGACGCACCAAGGGCAGGAGCCCAGGCTCCAGCCAGACTTACCCATAGGCTCAGCCACTGGCCAGCCTCAGCATCTTGAGAAAGTCACTGAACTTTCTGTCCCTTGTTGCTCTAGTCTGTGCAGGTGGGAACTGCTTCATAGGGTTCTTCTGAGGGTTGAGGCAGTGAGAAGGTGATGATCACCAAGTATTTCCCTGGGACTGTAAGAGCACTCACAAGCATGAGCTATCATTACCATGGTGACTCTTACAAAAATGCAAAAGTGCACCTTTCAACAGGTAAAAGAAAAAAATCCCCAAATCTTAATTCTAAATAATAACCACTATGCATATTATATCATTAGCATTAGTGTATTTTCTGCCTACATACAGGTGGAAGAACAGAAACATGAAGGTGAGAGAAAATGTTATAACAGAATTAGAATATACATCAGTGTTTAAAAAATACATTAAGCTTAATTTCACTGGAATTAAACAGGAACAGAAGTGAAACTCAGGAAACTGCTAAATTTTAGAGAAATATTTTCTTTGTTCTATTTCATAAAAGATCCCTCTGAGATTTTAAATCAAAACATTATGAAAAATACTGAGGTTTCAGTTCTTTGTTGCAATAAGGCTTCCATTTTACTCAGTAATGATCGACTCCCTTGTCTGGAAGAAGAGATTTTAAAAGGCACAGAATTTTACCCACTCACTTCTTATCTCCTTCAATTTTTGTTAGAGCCAGTATAGTATCATTATTTTGATTATTATTGTCAAGATTTATAAAACATTCTGTTCTGTAACTGTTATTCTCACTGCTGTGTATTACCAGGACTGCAAATAGATGAATTAGTGTTCACCATCAGTCCTTCTATCACAGATTTTCCATTCCTGAGAACTCTATTTTAACTCATCTATTGGTTTTCAAAATTCAATTGGCAAATAGACATTTCAAGAGGATGTATAGTTTTGATATTCCCTGAGCCCTTCCATGCTTAAGAATAGGGCCGCCAGTGATTCAGCACTATGAACTGAAAAATTCATTACTATGTATATATTCAGGAATACTTCAAGCTTCACTTATTGTTATTTTCTTGAACTGGCAACTAAAGAGTTATGTAACGAGTTAAAAATGGATCAATGTGCAAAGCGTTTATGACCATCAACTTCAACCTGTTACAATGAAAAACTTGCTTATGTTGGTCACAGTAATTGACGGTGCTGGGTACCCCAGCTTCAGCTATGGATGCTCTCAGAGGAAATGCCCCATCCCGAGCATCTCCAGCCAGCTCTGATTGGGGACAGTGTGTGGATCCCGGAAGGCTCTTCTGGGAGGCTGCATCTCCCTGTGAATGCAGGGGCCAAGCCTCCAAAATGAGGCTCTTTATTTATTTCCACAGACCCAGGCTCCCATCTTGGACAATTTCCCTGAATCTGAAAAAGCTTCCGTTGCTTGCAGTGTATGTACTTTGTAGTGCAGTTCTGATGGAAATGAGTTCCCTTAGCTTTTGTTTTTTCCTGAAAACATCTTTGCCTTTTGAAGAAATCAACTGTGAGGTACAATTTACATCTAATAACATGCATCTATATTAGCTGAACAGTTGAATGAGCTTTGACAAAAGTATCCATCCATGTAACCACTATGACAATCAAGATAGACAGCACTTCCACTATCCTGAGGTCTCCTCCTGCCTCTGCATTAGAAGTCCCAGGCCACCTGCACCCAGCCCCAGGCAGCTCCTAATTTGCTTCCTGGTACTGTGTATGTGTGCATGAGGCTTCTCATCTTCTAGAGTTGAAGGTAGATGGAGTCACACAGCAGGCTCTTTATGTCTGGCTCTGTGCTCAGCATAACATTGCCAAGCTCAATTATTGTTGCATCGCCTGTTCTTCGTCAGTATTGCCATGTAGTATTTCATTGTGCAGATGTACCCAAACGTGTTTATATTTCACTTCTTAATGTCTACCGGAGCCACCTCTTGTGTATTCACCTCCGTTTTTGAACAATTATTTAACTGAGTATAATTGTTGAGATTCCTTTATGGATGTCATTTCAGCATTTCCAGGTGGCTGAGGTAATAAGAGCCACCTCCATCTGACTCTCCTCACACAGCTTCAAAGATACTGTACAGCAAAATGAGAAGAAACCAAACATGTTCTTCTTAACAGAAAGGCAAAGAACACCACAAACTTCAAATTACCTATTGGCAGAAAATTAATGACAAGACCATAGCAGCGACTTCTCTTGAGCTTCCACTGCAAATCTTTGTGGAAATCTAGTGAAATTTGGGGAAATGCACAGAAAATAAAGGATAAAAACAAAAAGCCTAAAATGTACCTAAAAACAAAGACAAAAATAGAAAGTCCATCCTAAATGTAAAAACTCTGAAACGATCCCATCAGATCAGTGTACTGACTACAGGGAAAATACTTAAATTAAGTGGAGCACAGAAAGACATTGTTTCTGAGGGAGAAGAAGGTAAAAATTGAGGAAAAGGCCCCCATTAGAGACTGGGTGGTGAAAAAAAAGACAAGGCAAACTTTAGAATCCTCCATGATAAAATAGGTCCCAAAACATCGAAGTCTACACCCCTACTGCCCATAACCCCCAAAGCCCACTCAGTAGCTACACTGTGCTATAAAGACAGAAGTTGCTCTGAGGATATAAAGCGTGCAATATCCTCCAAACCATCACTATAGGAATAGACATAAGCAGCCTTCATTTATGCAAAGCTAACGTGAGAATAAACAGAAAATTTAGATCAAAGTCTTTCAGTGGATGAATCCACCACCAAAAAAGTGAAATAAAACTAATGCAACACTTCAAAGTAAATCAAATATGCTCAGAGAAGCACTGCATGTGATAATATTAAAAATTCAGAAATTACAATAAAATAAACAAGAAGAGAAAGAAATTGAAGTAGAAGTTATAGAACTCAGAAGAGAAAGAAGAAAAAGGTACTGTCATTTAGAAATAAAGGTGAATTTAAAAACTGCCTGAGAAAGAATATATTTGAAAAGAAATTTTCATAAAAGAAGCTATAGAATAAAATCAGGAAAATAGCTAGGAGAATGAAAGTGAAAGAAGGAAGTAAAAAGGGCCAGAGAAAATTGGTTGAAATAGACATTAAGCAAGAAAACAAAATCCAACATATGTATAATTGGAGTTAGCAAAAAAAGAAAAAGTATGAATCACAAGTAACATTGAAACCTATTTTCTGCTTAACAATAAAGAAAATAACACAAGAAACTTCAAATTACCGATGGGCAGAAACTAATGGCCAGATTGCAGTAGCAATGTCTGTTAAGATTCCACTTATGGGTACTTTCCAGAAATAAAGGAAAGACTGAAGACATGCCTACACTTTGCAAGGGCCTACAGAGACCTGAGAAATTTAATGCAAAATAATAACCTATAATATTTTAGCCTAGTAAAACTATTAAACTTTAAAAATTTATGAAATAAGATCAGGACCTCAATGCGAAAAAAAGAAAAAGAAAAAGAAAATTAGTTTAGCATCTCAAGGCAGCAACAGGGCATAATAAAAACGGAAAAGAATATGTTAATTAAGGATTTTATATCCAGCTAAAAACAGTCCAATGTTAAGACTCTCAAATACAAATTTTAATAAAGTAAGAGCACAAGGAATGCTGTTCTCATGAGTCTTTGAGGCATCTACTAAAAGATGACATTCATCCAACCAAGAGATGACTGAAAAATCATAGGCAAGATGACTGATTACTATTTAATATATTTAGTTGAATATTAAGACTGAAAGATAGGTGGTGATGAGAGTCTGAGAATAATATGTATTATATATTTTGACAATATGGAAATAATAAAACTAAAAAGGGAGATAAATTAAAAGAGAAAAGGGAAAAGAAAAGTAAGCTTATTGATTGTGATATAAGCTATTGATTGAAATATAGCACAAGTGACTGTCAGGAATACCACTAAAACGAATTTTTTAAAAGATCAGCAAATTACCAGATAAGGTCACAGAAGACTAATGTGATAGAAAAAGGTGTAAGAGCGAAGGTACCACTAGAACAAAACACAAACCAATGTAAATGCCAATGGGGGTGATAGGGAGAGAGAGAGAAAGAAAGAAAAAAGAGAGAACTGGAGAAAACACATCACAAAAGGAAAGAAAAGAGCAAATATGCAAGAATAACTATTGCAACCATAACAAGAAATAATATAACTGCAGTAAGCCCCAACATACAGCTCCATGAATAAATATGAATAAGTTTAACTGACCTATTAAAAGAAAATTATTTTCAGTTTGTGTCAGAAAGCAAGACTCAATTCTATGCTGCAGCTGCAAGACACACCTGCAAAGAAAGTGACTTAGAAAAAGGCTAAACAGATCCAAAAACGCTGAGGTATACCAGGCAAATGAAAAAAAAAACAGAAAACAGAAGTCAATTAAGCAGAGATAGGTGACAGTTGTAAATATCTGTGCCAAAAATGCGATAGCAAACATCTCCAGAGAGCTGGAAATACAAGAGTAGACAAAAGAGAACCTGGAGACTTAGCAACATAATCAAGGAGGCCGATCTTATTGAACTATGAAGGGCTTACTCCTTGAAAATGGCGAATACAGCTTCTTCCCAGCCACACATGGCACATTCACAAGAACTGATCGTTGATTACATCACAAAGAAATATCAACGTGTTTTATAAAGTAGACATTTGCCAACAATCCTTTCTGATCACAGTGCAGTAAATCTAGAAGCTAATAACTAAACAAACCAACAACAACAACAAAAACAAATCATTCAGCCTGGAAATTAAAAGGAAAAAACTAAAATAACCATTCTGTTAAAAAGTTCCTGGCCGGCTGCGGTGGCTCACACCTATAATCCTAGCACTTTGGGAGGCCGAGGTGGGTGGATCACGAGGTCAGGAGATCGAGACCTTCCTGGCTAACATGGTGAAACCCCGTCTCTACTAAAAATACAACAAAAAATTAGCCGGGCGTGGTGGTGGGCGCCTGTAGTCCCAGCTACTCGGGAGGCTGAGGCAGGAGAATGGCGTGAACCCGGGAGGCGGAGCTTGCAGTGAGCCAAGATCGCTCCACTGCAGTCCAGCCTGGGCGGCAGAGCAGACTCTGTCTCATAAAAAAAATAAAATAAAATAAAATAAAATAAAAAATTCTTAAAGAGAAATTGCAAATTGAAATTACATAATATCTTTAAAAGCATTGATAACAGTTATGACATTCATGGAAAGCAGTCATCAAAGGAAAATCAGTAGCTTTAAATAATGATATTAATGTAAACAAAAATATTGAAAAATGAAAACTCTAGGAAAAGAACAAAAAGGAAACCAAAATAAAGCACAGCAAAGCAAACAATAATATAAGTGAAAGTTAATATAGTAGAGAGTAGAAAAATAGAAAATCTAATGAGTAATCAACGTGTGTTTTTTTAGTGAAAATAGACAAGCAACTATCCAACTTGATTAAGAAAAGGGAGGAGAAAGTGCTAAAAAGAGAAAGAGAGAAAGGGAAGGAAAGAAGAAAGGGAAGGGAAGGGAGGAAAAGGGGACAGGAGGGGAGGAGAAGTGAAGGGGAGGGGAGAGGAGGGGAGGGGAGAGGGGAGGGAAACGGGAGGGGAGGAGGGAGGGACGGGAAGGAAGGGAAGCGAACCATTAAAAAGTGAGCATATGGGCCAGGCGTGGTGGCTCATGTCTGTAATCCCACCTCTTTGGGAGGCAGAGGAGGGCGAATCACTTGAGGCCAGGAGTTTGAGACCAGCCTGGCCAACAGGGCAAAACCCTGACTCTACTAAAAATACAAAATTTAGCCAGGCATGGTGGCGTACGCCTGTAGTCCCGGCTACTCAGAAAGCTGAAGCACAAGAATTGCTTGAACCTGGGGTCGGAGTTTCCATTGAGCTGAGGTTGTGCCACTGCATTCTTAGCCTGGTGACAGCCTCAAAAAAAAAAAAAAAAAAAAAAAAAAAAACTAAAAGTAGGCGTAGGACATGAATAGCCATTTTTTGAAAGAAGACACACAGACATATGAAAAACATGCTCAACATCACCAATCGGAGAAATGCAAATCAAAACCACAATGGGACACCATCTGACACCAGTAAGAATAGCTATTATTGAAAAGATTTAAAAATAACAGATGTGGGTCAGGCATGGTGGCTCACACCTATAATCCCAGCACTTTGGGAGGCCAAGGTAGGCAGATCACCTGAGGTCAGGAGTTTGAGAGCAGCCTGGCTAACATGGTGAAACTCGTCTCTACTAAAAATACAAAAATTAGCCAGGTGTGGTGGTGAGCACCTACAGTCCCAGCTACTTGGGAGGTTGAGGCAGGCAAACTGCTTGAACCCAGGAGGCAGAGGTTGCAGTGAGCCAGGACGGCACCACTTCACTCCAGCCTGGGTGAGAGAGCGAGACTCCATCTCATAAAAACAAAACAAAACAAAAAACATATGTTGGTAAGGATGTAGAGAAAAGGGAATTCTTATACCTTTTTTTTTTTTTTCTTGAGACAGAATCTCACTCATCACCCAGATGCAATGTTGCAATCTCGGCTCACTGCAATCTCTACCTCCTAGGTTCAAGAAATTCTCCTGCCTCAGCCTCCCAAGTAGCTGGGATTACAGGCACCCACCACCATGCCTGGCTATTTTTTGTATTTTTGGTAGAAATGGGGTTTCACTATGTTGGTCAGGATGGTCTCGAACTCCTGACCTCAGGTGATCCACCCACCTCAGCCTCCCAAAGTGCTGGGATTACAGGCGTGAGCCATCACGCCCGGCCTGGAACTCACTCTTCTATGCTGTTGGTGGGAACGTAAACTAGTACAACCTCTATGGAAAACTGTGGAGATTCTGCAAATAACCATAAATAGAACTACCATTCAGTCCAGCAATCCCATTACTGGGACTCTACCCAAAGGAGAAGGAATCATTTTATCAAAAAGATACCTGCACTCATAAGTTTATCACAGCACTCTTCACAGTAACAAAAAGAGAATCAGCCTAAGTATCCATCAACAGATGATTGATAGAGAAAATGTGGTGTATATATACACAGCAGAGTACTATTCAGCCATGAAAAAGAATGAAATCATGTCCTTTGCAGGAACATGGATGGAACTAGGGACCACTATCTTAAGTGAAATGAGTCAGAAACAGAAAGACAAACACTGCATGTTCTCACATATAAGTGAGAGCTAAATAATGTGTAGACATGAACATAGAGAGTGGAGTGACAGACACTGGGCACTTGGAAGGGCGGGAGTGTTGGAGCGGGTGGTGTGTGATGAGAGATTACCAACGTACAGTATGTGTTGTTTGAGTGATGGACAAAAAAGCCCTTAGCCACTCTGCAATATATCCCTATGGCGCAATTACACTTGTACCCATTAAATTTATACAAATAAAAGATGAAGGAGAAGGAGAGGGGAAGGAATGGGAGGGAAGGGGAGGGAATGAAAGGGAGAGTAAGCCAGAAACTGATGAGATTGGTTACCTATAAGGCCTGTTGGCAATGGAGTAAAAAGTACTGGGAAGGATACTTTTGTGAGTGTTACTTTTAGTATTGTTTTGAATTTTGGAACCACATTAAGATTTTACATAGTCAAAGTCCTTAAAATACAACATGGGAATGAAGTAACACTAATTTATTTCAAGTGAATAACATAAACACACTGAAGGGAAAAAAACTAAACCCAGAATGTTGAACACAACAATTTGACTATGTAGCATGATTAGAAAGACGGGAAAAAAGTCTATAAACAAATAATGAACTCTAGTTAGCAAGTTTGTTTTCATAGTAATGTGAAGTGTTTAGGGATAAAAGGACACCGTGTCTGTAACATAATCTTAAATGATGAAAAAATCCATATATATGTGTGTGCGTAAAGAGAGAACATGCACAAAAGATAAATGAGTAAAATGAAAATAACTGGTGAGTTAAAGTAAAATATAGAGGGGCTAATTTACTCTTCTTGCCTCTTTTCTGTTTTTGAAATTACATTGCGGTACCTTCTCCCAAGATCATATTATTCCATGTCTTCTGGATCTCTGTCTGTGTTGAAATGTCAGCTTTGCTGCTCTGAAGGTAGTGACCCAATTTCCCCCTCTGGCTATTTTAAAGATTTTTCTCTTTGACTTTGGTTTTAAAAAATTTGAGAATGATGATCTTAGGTGGGTTTTCTTAGCGTTTATCCCGCTTTGGGTTTGCTGAGTGTGTCCACTCTTTTATTTGGTATTTTAATTAGTTTGTGGCATTGGTTATGACTGAATTGTTTCCCAAAAAAATTCATATGTTGAAGCTCTAATCCCCAGTGTGGCTGTATCTGGAGATATGGCCTTTAAGGAGACAATTAAGGTTAAACGAGGTCCTGGGGTAGGCCCTACTCTGAGAGGACTGGTGTCCTTTGTAAGAAGAGGAAGAGGTGCCAGAGCTCTCTCCCTGCAGGGCCACACAGAAGAAAGGCCAACTGAGGACAAAAGGAGAAGGCAGCTGTCTGCAAACCATGGGGAGGCCAACCCCGCCAGCACCTTGATCTTGAACTTTCAGTTTACAGAGCTGTAAGAACATGCACACGTATGTTTATTGCAACACTGTTCACAATAGCAAAGACTTGGAACCAACCCAAATGCCCATCAATGATAGACTGGATAAGGAAAATGTGGCACATATACACCATGGAATACTATGCAGTCATAAAAAAAGGATGAGTTCATGTCCTTTGCTGGGACATGGATGAAGCTGGAAACCATCATTCTCAGCAAACTTACACAAGAACAGAAAACCAAACACCACATGTTCTCACTCATAAGTGGGAGTTGAACAATGAGAACACATGAACACAGGGAGGGGAACATCACACACCAGGGCCTGTTGGGGCGTTGGGGGATTAGGGAAGGGATAACATTAGGACAAATACCTAATGTAGATGACAGATTGATGGGTGCAGCAAACCACCATGGCATGTGTATACCTATATAACATACCTGCACATTCTGCACACATATCCCAGAACTAAAAGTATAATAAGAATAAAGAAAAGAAAATAAACTTCTGTTGTTTAAGCCCAAACGGTGGTGTTTTGTTTTGGCAGCCTGAGCAGATGAATCCAGCAATTTGGGGAAATCTTCCATGAACATTTTCTCAAAGGCTGCTCCAGTCTCACCCCACCCCCCTTGCTTTTTCTGGGACTCTGATCCACATCAAGTAGACCTGTTCACTCGGCTCCATGTGTATCTTACACTCCACATTTTCCATTCTTCTCTGTGCATCATTTTACATTCTTTCAAATTAATTGTTGCACGGCTTAGGAATTCTTTCATCTGGTATGTCTAATCTCTTACTAAATGTATTTGTTAAATGGCTAACTTAATTCATTGTTATTTTAGAACTAAAATGCCAATTTAGTTTTTCTTTCCTTTTCAGGGATTCCTAGTTTCTGATAAGTTTCCATCTTTTTCTCTGCATTCTTAATAATATTAAACTATTTTAAAATTTATGATTTTGGTATTTCAGCGCTGAGTTTTAGCAGGTCCTGTAATTTTTTCTTAGAGGTCAGCCTTTGCAGCTTTGCAGATAAAAGGAAGTCTTAGAGGCTACCAATGATGTTGTCTTTCACCAAAGTGGTAAAGTTTTCTTCTGGCATGTAAGGAGAGCACCGTCATGTCTCATTGGCCCCGTCAATAATCAATTTTAGGGTTTGTTATGGCTGCATGCACTGGTTTTCATGTTGCCCTCAGGATGTGCCCCTTGCTCTGTGGGGGCGGCCCTTTTGAGATCTCAACTGAAGCCTGAGGTGCTTCTCAAAGCCCTTGACCTTGGCAGAGTTTGAGCTCCTTTCTCTTCAGTACCCTATGGCTACTGAAAATCTCCTCATTTTTTTGAGCTGTCAGCCCCTGTTTTCTGCTCATTTCTAGAATTCTTACCCTCACTTGAGTAGTTTAGGAGCTATCCAACTACTTTCAAAAAAGTTGTTCACAGATTTTCCAGCTCATTTCTCTGACTTTTCTTTCTCCCTGGGATGTAGCCCCATCGTTTTCAGCTACTTTGTTATCCCTGAACTCTGATCTATGTCTCTCAGTAAAATTCCTGCTTTCTGCCTGGAGTCTGCCCATCCCCCAATCTCTCCTCACAACTCCACTTCAATCCTTTGAAATGGAATTCATTCCCAGGAAAGACACTAAGGTGAATGTGAAGCTCTCTTCTACTTAACTTCTCTGGAGGGCACCAACTCCTCAAGTCCCACCTGCATTAACTGCTGTCTGTGTATCCATCCAATTACACACACACATGCACACACACACATGCTTGCACTCACACAGGCATACACTTACACACTTGCTATTTTATATTTGTTTCCCTAGGAAGCTTGTCAAAGTTATATCTGTCATTGCCAGAACCCATGTACTGTACATTTTCTGAAGTGGATTTAAGCAAAGGCCCAAAAGAAGATATTTGATAGTTGAAATACTCCCAGATATGTTAAGACAATCAGTAAATGTCTGAGTAAAGGCAGTATCCTAAACAGAACTACAACTAGTAGTGTTATTTGATGAGTTAAGGCAGAAAACAACACTAGCATCTTGTAGAGCTACTAATGTTCACGTTTAAAAAATGAAAACCTGTTTAAAATATATCATTGGCTCTACTAAAGCACTATGCAATGTCATAAATTTATTGTTAAAAATAAGGATTGGATAATTAAATTCAAAACATTCTCCAGCTTATCCATGTATTTAACCATGTGTAATGTACTTGATTGAAGCTGGAAACCATCATTCTCAGCAAACTACCGCAAGGACAAAAAACCAAACACCGCATGTTCTCACTCATAGGTGGGAATTGAACAATGAGAACACATGGACACAGGAAGGGGAACATCACACACCGAGGCCTGTTGTGGGGTGGGGGGAGGGGGGAGGGATAGCATTAGGAGATATACCTAATGTTGAATGACAAGTTAATGGGTGCAGCACACCAACATGGCACATGTATACATATGTAACTAACCTGCACGTTGTGCACATGTACCCTAAAACTTAAAGTATAATAATAAAAAAAAGAAATATGGAATTTTATACCAAAGTATTAGAATAAAGAACATTTAATTGCATAAATAATCAACATTTTTCTTTTTTATCAAAACCCATATATTCAAAAACCAAAATAAGTCCAAGATAAAAAACATTTGGGAAGGTTCAGAAGAGTCAGGGATGAGCCTCTGAAACTGGTGAGGGGAGGAGAGGCAGAGGGCTGGAGCTGAGGTCAGAGGCCCTGGGTTCAAGTCCTGGCTCTCCCTCCTGCACCCTGGTGACCTTGTCTGAGTCCTGAGGTGAACATTCATAATCCTCACACCTTCCTCACAGGGCTGCTGTGGAGTGAACAAGCTCACTTAGGAAAAGCTCCTGGAACGGTGGCTGGCACACACACACACTAGAGGCTTGCTGGTTTTGATTCAGAGACAGAAGCTTCCAGTAGGTCCAGGGCTCACCTGTCAGCAGTAATCAGGGTGGCTCCAAGAGAGACTCAGAGCCCCACCCATCTTGGGTCCATCTGCCTCTGGGATGTGTAAAGGAAACTCAGAGCCCCACCCCCCTTGGGTCCATCCTCCCTCTGGGGTATCTAAAGGGAGACTCAGAGCCCCACCCTCCTTGTGTTCATCCTCCCTCTGGGATGTCTAAAGGGAGACTCGGAGCCTCCCCGCCTGGGGTCCATCTTCCTCTGGGATGTCTAAAGAAAAACTCAGAGCCCCACCCCGCTTGTGTCCATCCTCCCTCTGGAATGTCTCAAGGTGCTGCTTCTGTCTTTCCCATCATGGCAAGCTCAAGGCATGGGCTGTGGCATTGGCTTCCTGCTCCAGGTCCCTGCCACACCCTCAGAAAATGGGACAGTGGAGCCTCCCCTGGGAAGAAGAGGGCAGAGCCAGCCCTGTGTCACCAGGGATGGAGACAGGTGCAGCAGGGGGTGAGATATGGCCATACCGTCCTGGGAGGTGTGGCTGTCATCTAGGAGAGACAGCCACGTGAATCAGAAGTGAGTTCAGCTGCAGAAAGGGCTCCACGTGACTGACACACTTGTGGCCGAAGGATGCCAACCCTGTGAACCTAGAGGCTTTTCCATGGAAACAGGACATCGTGGAGACTCATCACGGGGCCTGGAGGAGGCAGGATGAGGGCCCAGCTGAACTCTGCTGCTGTCTTGCTCTGTGACATTGAGCTGCTCAGCTGGCCTCTCTGAGGCTTGGTGTCCTGTCTCTAGACTGAGGTGCTTGGACTAGAGACCTCTAAGGTCCTCTCTGCTCTAACATTTTACAAGGCTGAAATAGACCCATTAAAATGTTACCCAGCTGTCTGCAAATGCCACCATATTGCCAACTGTTTAATGATAAGAATGTCTTCCTTTGTTTTAAAAGATGTCACTTGCTCACCTTCTGAGCACCAATGGGTTCTTTCTTTGTGACCTGATCAGTGCAATTAGTAAGTGAATATTTAACACCTGAAAACCAGGCTGGAGTCCCTTTTTTGCCCTTTTTTCACTTCACTCTAACCTTGCTTGTAAAATAGAGCTAATGAACATCAAGTTCGTCATGAAGGTTATAAATCCATATGCAAATGCCTTGGGTACCAGCGACCACAGAAGGTGACCAGCGAAATATGGCTATCCCCATCCTTAGAAGCAAGCAAGGTGAGGCTACCTCTAATCATGCTGCTTCCCACTATTGAAACACTGCCTATACTTTCTGACTTGTGAGTTTCCTTTGTAAAAATTAAAAACAAAGAAATATTTTCATAGAAACTCTCTGTGTATCCGAAATAGCCAACTAAATCAAGTCTGAGTCCTGCTGACTGAGTTCTATGTCATAAGTCTAAGCATCTCTGCAGAAGATAATCTGCTTAAAATAACCATCTACTTGGAAATCTATAAATTGCAAGTCATGATGAGAGTGATCCATGGGAGACCCTCCCAGGGGACACTTCCCCGCACACAAGTCCTGGGGTGATTCACAGCTTTGCATCTTAGGAAAATAAGTCAAGAAATTCCAAAGAGGCCTGTCAGCTCCGCGCCAGTCTTCAGTGCATTCCGAAAGATGCTTTGATCTAATTTATGAAAAGAAGCGCTGCTGGCTTGAGGAATGGAAACAGACAAACTCCCAAGCAAGAGAGCATCAGCAAATCATCAGAAGAGCTGCAGCGTCTCCTGGAGCCAGCATTCAACTCGGAGAATGTGCTAATCCCAGCTGTGCAGCTAGGTGTGAGCCCACCTCCCGCTCACACGCTGTCTCCAGGATCCCTATTTCTGGACCAGCCATGCTCTTGTTCACTTAGAACCCTATAGAAGGATTTAGGGCAAGGGAGCAAGGTTGGACCTCTGTTCAGACTCCAACGCACCTGCAAAGTCCCTCTTGCCTCCCGTCAAGTTAAAAGTCATCATGAATCCCAGGCCGGGACTGGCTCCATCCTGTCTGTAGAAGCTCTACTGACCCTCTGCAGAGGCAATTCAGCACTTAGCCGGTGCACATTCACATGCACCCCAGAGAACTTGGGGATCCCACATCAATGGCTTTGGCAATGATTGAGGTCCCTTCCTGAACTATTTCTGTAAGAAGATCAGCATTTTGTTTTGAGAAATAAACAATGGAGTGTTGATTGTCAATGAAAAGCCTAATTTTCCTGTAAGAGGTATGACATAATTAGAAGAACTTCATATTTGATTTGCTTTGGAAATTAATACAACATATAACATTAGTTTGGAAATTAATGCAACCTGTTAAAGGGTTTTTAAAGTGTATTTTCCAATTTAGACGTCCGATCTAAGGAATGTCATAGAATACGTTAGTTTGTGTTACAGGAAATAGTGGAATTGTTTCCTTGTCCAAAAATGAATCCAGACTTGCTAATGCGTCCAACCCATTGGGAATCATGGTTTTAAAGGTGGTTTTACAATAATCAGAAGAACAGAGTGAGCAGGCATCCTGCTGAGCAGCCTCTCTACAGCCCCGCGAGGCCCTGGTGGCAGATGTCCCTGGTCTTGGAGCCAGCACTGGGATCAAAACTCCTTCTCCAGCCTGGGATTCCTGAGCTAGTTGTGTCACTTGGTACAGATTCCCCCAGGGTTGTCAAAGGAGCGCAGTGCGTCCTGATTCTCGGAATTGAATGGGGAAGGGTTCACAAGGCCCGGGTCAGAGGAAAGGACTGTGAGGTTCCACTCCCCCAGGGACCATCTTCAGCACACTGGGCGAGCCCCCGCTAAAGCTGCCTCTGGGGTGATGGTGAGAATTAAGGGAGGGAGGCGTGGGGGCACCTAGCATACCTGCGCAAGGCAGGAGCCCCAGCAGGGCCCGCTGCTTCCCTGCAGAGGCAGCCAGTCTAGTGGGCTTGGGGAGTCCACAGACCCCTTGTCTTCTGCCTCCTTATGTCCTGCTTCCTCTGTGCCTCACCCTGCAGCAGGGTGAAGGGCAGATGGTGCAGGTGTGAGCCTGCCTCCCACTCACACACTGTCTCCAGGATGCTTCTTTCTGAACCCACCATGCTCTTGTTCACGTAGAACCCTATAGAGGGATGCCGGACAGAACAGGAAGGTTGGACTTCTGTTCAGACCCCCATCAGCCTGCAAAGTCCCTCGTGCATCCAGTTAAAAGTCAACTTGAATCCCAGTCTGGGACTGGTTCCATCTAGGAGCTCTACAGACCCTCTGAAGAGGCAATTCAGCTTGGACCTGCGCTTGGCATAGTGCTCCTCATTTGCAAGAACGATAGTGACAAACCACCAAGTCTTGAAGTAGAAACCTTTCTAGACAGCAAACAATACTAATTAAAGAAAAAAACAAGAGGAACTAGATATGCATATTCAACTACAGATAAGTTCCCACTAACACAAATGGAGACTATTTTTTATACATTCAACTAATGTATCTTTATTGCCAGTAACTCCCTAATATTCCTAGATTACCCATAGCAAATGCATTCATTGTTTCTGGGGAACATGGCCACAATCAATGACGAAATAGATGCAGGTTGTCAAAGAGCATTTCTTATTTGGCTTGCTAGTATTTTCATGAAGATTTTTGTATCTATGTTTATCAGGGATATTGGCCTGTAGTTTTCTCTGTTTCTGAGTGTCCTTGTCTGGCATTGGTATCAGGGTGATGATGACCTCATAGAAGAGCTTGGAAATATTTCTCCCTCTTCAATATTTTGAAGCATTTGAGAATTGACATTAACTGTCTTTTAAATGTTTAGTAGAATTCAGCCATGAAGCTACCCTGTCTTGGGTTTTATTTGTGTGTGTTGGGAAGTTGTTGATTATTGATTTAACCTCCATACCTGTTATTGATCTGTTCAGAACTTTTATTTCTTTGTAATTCAGTCTTGGTGACTTGTATGTTTCTAGGAATTCGGCCATTTCCTCTATGTTATCCAATTTGTTGGTGTTTACTTGTTCTTAATAGTTTCTTGTGATTGTTTATATTTCTGTGGTATCAGTTGTAATGTCTCCTTTCAATTCTGATTTTATTTATTTGACTTTTGTTTCTTTTTTCTTAGTAAGTCTAGCTAAAGGTTTGTCAATTTTATTTATCTTTTCAAAACACCAACTCCTCATTTTGTTGATCTTTTCTATTATGTTCTAGTGTCTATTTTATTTTTTCTGCTCTGATCTTTATTATTTCTCTTTTTCTCTACTAACTTTGGGTTTAGTTTGTTCTGTCTCGAGTCCCTTGAGGTGTAATATTGGGTTGCTCATTTGAGATTTTTTTAATATAGGTGTTGTTTTTGTTATGAACTTCCATCTTATAACTACTTTTGCTGCATTTCATGAGTTTTGGAATGTTGTGTTTCCATTTCTGGTTGTCTCAATATTTTTAAATTTCCCTTTTGACTTCTTTGACGCATTATTTGTTAAAGAATGGAAGCAAATATTTTTGATTTTTTAAAATTTATTTTTTTGTTTCAGTAGTTTTTGGGGAACAGGTGGTGTTTGGTTACATGAATAGTTCTTTAGTGGTGATTTCTGAGGTTTTGGTGCACTCATAACCTGAGCAGTGTAACCGTACCCAATGTGCAATCTTTTATCCCTCACCACTCCCCACCCTTTCCCGTGAGTCCCGAAAATCAAATGTTTCCTTCTTATGCCTTTGCTTCTTCACAGCTTAGCTCCCACATGAGCGAGAACATACAATGTTTGGTTTTCCATTCCTGAGTTACTTCACTTAGAATAATGGTCTCCAATTCCATCCAAGTTGCTGCAAATGCCATTATTTTGTTCCTTTTTATGGCTGAGTAGTATTCCATGGTATATATATTCCACATTTTCTTTATCCAGTCATTGATTGATGGGCATTTGGGCTGGTCTACATTTTTGCAATTGCAAATTGTGCTGCTGTGAACATGTGTGTACAAGTACCTTTTTTTGTATACTGACTTCTTTTCCTCTAGGTGGATACCTAGGGGGATTGCTGGATCGAATTGTAGATCTGCTTTTACCTCTTTAAGGAATCTCCCACCATTTTCCACAGCACTTGTGCTAGTTTACACTCTCACCAGCAGTGTAAAAGTGTTCCCTTTTCACCATATCCGCACCATCATCTAATATTTTTTGATTTTTTGATTATGGCCATTCTTGCAGGAATGAGATAGTATTGCATTGTGGGCAAACACTTTTGATTTTTTAAAGTCAAGCTTTATTGAAAGAGAGAAAAAAATGTTTCATAGGACTTTCTAGGGCTAAGTTACCCAGAACTAGGATGATCTGATGTATAAAGAACTGGGCATAGAGAAAGTCATCAAGGAGTTTCTGTAGAACATCACAGAATGGGGAGGTCAGGAACACAGGGCACATCCTGGCACAGAGGAAAGGGAGAGTGTCTCCCACTCTGAGGGTGGGGAGGAGGGGATGGTAGTTTGGGGAAGAGGCGATGGTAGGGTCGGGGGGAGGGGATGGTAGGGTGGGGAGGAGGCGATGGTAGGGTGGGGAGGAGGGAATGGTAGGGTGGGGAAGAAGGGATGGTAGGGTGGGAAAGAGGGGATGGTAGCGTGGGGAGGAGGCGATGGTAGGGTGGGGGGGAGGGGATGGTAGGGTGGGGAGGAGGGGATGGTAGGGTGGGGAGGAGGGGATGGTAGGGAGGAGGGGATGGTAGAGTGGGGAGGAGGGGATGGTAGGGTGGGCAGAACATGTCCCCCTGTGGTGCCCATGTCCTAATTATCAAAGCCTGTGAATGCCACCTCATATGGCAAAGGGGACTTTGCAAATGTGCTTGAGATTAAAAATCTTGAGATGGGGAGATGACCCTGGATAATTCAGATGAGCCCTAAGGAATCACAAAGATCCTTCCAAACTAAGAACTTTTCCCAGCCCAAAGAACCAGACAAATGGCTTCAGAAGAAAGAGTGTGCCTAATGTCACTGACTTTGATGACAGAAGAGACCTTGGGGCAAGGAATGCAGACAGCCTCTAGAAACTAGCAAAGGCAGAGAAGCGAATTCCCCTCCAGAGCCTCCAATTACAGCCCTGATGATACCTTGATGTTAGCCCAGTGAGACCCACGCTGGACACCTGCTGTCCAGAACAGGAAGATAACACATTTGTGTTGTTTTAAGTCACTACACTTGTGGTAATTTGTGACAGCAGCTATAAGAAGCTAACAAAGATGTGGCAAGAAAGGGTGGATTGGGGGATTCTACTCTGCCTGCTATCCTCAACCCTACAATCAAAATCCTAGGTTGGAGACAGGAGTCGTGAGGAGATACACACAGGTGTGTTAAACAGGCACAAATCTACCTCCGCTTTTGTGATTCTGAGCCCCCAGCAGAATCTACAAACTTTTCTAGGCCACAATGAGAACCAGGCCATGCATGTGAATCAAATAACTCAATGCCCAATCAAAAAGAAGGCATTACCATCCATCCGGGAGCAGGCCCAGACCTGCAGTCCTGTCTTGTTAAGGCTCTCACCCATTTTTAGCCTACATCTAGACCTTTAGTGCTTCTTCAAGGATGCCTCCTATGGAGGAAAGGAGAGCAAGATAGGCATGTTAGAAATTCCAGACAGGGGAGGCTTCCTCATTGTCACTATGAGCAGACAAGACGAAAGTGAAGCAGTGGTCACTGCTGCCTCTGGGGAGAAGTGTGCAAAGGCCCTGAGGAGGGGGGGATGTTCATGGAATGTTCAAGAAAGAGTAAGGACATGCTTTTTTTTTTTTTTTTTTTATGGAGTTTTGTTCTTTCCACCCAGGCTATAGTGTAGTGGCACAATCTTGGCTTACTGCAGCCTCTGCCTCCCAGGTTCAAGTGATTCTCCTGCCTCAACCTCCAGAGTAGCTGAGATTACAGGCATCCACCACCACGCCCAGCTAATGTTTGTATTTTTATTAGAGATGGAGTTTCACCATGTTGGTCAGACTGGTCTCAAACTCCTGACCTCAGGTGATCCACCTGCCTTGGTCTCCTAAAGTGCTGGGACTCCAGGTGTGAGCCACCTCACCCGGCCAGGATGTGCTTTTTATACCAAGCTACAACCCTAGAGGCTTAAGCAGTGCCTGACACATTGTAGGTGATAATAAACACTAGGTGAATGAATCAACACAGTCTTAGACACTCCATGAACATCCGTTCAATGAAACGAATGTGCAGCTCATTCTAGATACTAAAATTATCGGAGGAATGGCCAGTCCTTGCCCGCAAGTCCTCAGAGCCCTGAAGAGGCAGCAATACAGATATGGAAGACGCTCAAGTGCACTAAGAAAGCAAACATCGAGAGAGAGAGACAGCAAGCACCGCCGCCTCGTCTCTATTTCCCAATGTGAGCAGCAATCATTGTGAATACAGGAAGAGGAGATCTTGTTAGTCTTTCTGCCGAGGAACCCAAAGATGGATTGTGCTCCCCGCGTGGGCACAGGAAATGAAAGACGTTGGTCACCAAGTGCCACAGAGTGTCTGCGCTGCAGGAGTGCCCAGGACTGACCTGTGGGGGAATTGAATTTCCTCGTGCCCATCTGGAAATACACAATTCAGAAAAGTACTCTCAGCAGTATTTACAGATGTCAGCCGCATGACTTACTACCGTCCTTCATCTCAGAAATAGCTCTGTGCCACTTACCGATGGGATGGAGATGGGCATTGAGGCTTCATTTTTCCCCCTCCAAGATACAGCATCAGTGGGGTCACTCCACTCTGGTTCTTTAACTGCATTTCAGGATCAAAAGGTTATTTTCAAGCGTATAGCTAGAGTTTTTCTAGTGTAATTCTTTCTCCAACCTCCTGCAGGGATAGACTTACAAACACCTAAAAACAAACAAACAAAAAACAGTTGCAAATGATTTGCATAGGTTATCGGTGAGCCCAAAAAAGAAAAGTGAGATGAAAGTAGAAAAACACTTATTGTCTCTGGGCTGAAGGATGAGTCTCCCTTAGTGGGAAATGTTTCCAACTGACATGGCATGATACATGGACAGTGAGCAGTGATGGCCACTGGTGCCTCCAGCACAGCTCTGGAGTGGATCCACACACAACAACTGCTCTCTGCACAGCGTGGGGGCCTCCTCTCTGGGTTGAGATGCCCTCCTGCAATAGAAACCTAGAAGCTGGTGAGGAGGCTGTCAGAAGACTGCTGATGCCTGGAGCCTCTGCATGACTTGTCTAGGGCTGCTGGCTCATATTTCCACACACTGGGGGGACTCAACCAACAGAAAGTTATTTTCTCACAGTTCTGAGGGCCAGAAGTCTGCAATCAAGGCGCTGGCAGGGCTCCTTCTGCAGGCACTAAGGGAGGCCCCTCCCTGCCTCCTCCAGCTGCTGGTGGCTCCAGGAGTTCCTTGGCTGGTGACCACATCACTGCAATATCTCCCTCAATCCGACCTTGGCTTCTGTGTCTTCTCCTCTGCTCTGTGTTCTATTTTTCTGTCTTGTTGTTGTTGTTTTGAGATGGAGTCTCACTTTGTCACCCAGGCTGGAGTGCCGTGGCACAATCTTGGCTCACTACAACCTCTGCCTCCCGGGTTTGAGCAATTCTCCTGCCTCAGCCTCTCAAGTAGCTGGAACTACAAGCACGCACCACCACACCTGGCTAATTTTTGTATTTTTAGTAGAGATGGGGTTTCACTATGTTGGCCAGGCTGGTCTCGAACTCCTGATTTCAGGGGATCCGCCCACCTCAGCCTCCGAAAATGCTGGGATTACAGACATAAGCCACCGAGTCCAGCCCTAATTTTCTGTCTTTTATTCGGCTCGCGAGGTGTGATCGACCATCATCTCACATGCAAGGCCTGTGGCCCCTGCACTCCTGGGGGCAGCTCCTGCTCAAAAGAACAGCATCGATCCCTCAAACCGGGACCTTCCCCAGGCTCCTTGGAGGGAGAAACAGAAGCTCCATGGCCACATCCATAGATGTGCTTGGGACAGAGCCCAGCAGGCAAGCTGCTTCTCCAAGTGAGGCTGGTCCCCTGTCTGCTAGGGGCTTCCCCTTCCCTGTGCCCAGACCCCATCTCCAGGCCACACTGCTCTTGGCTGAGTTCATCGCCACTGGACTTTCTTAGGGTCAGCTTCTGCAGCTGTTTTAGAGAAGTGACACAGTGAGACCACCTTCTTTGCTCCTTTGTTAAGTAGATTTTCACTTGTTCATCCCACATCCTATCTGCCTCACAAGTCCCTGAGTCCCTGAGTAGGCATTGGTGTGAGACGACCTGCGTTAAATGGGCCCATGCATAGGAGAACTGTGGCTGGGCAGGGGCATGCAGGAGCTGACGGAGAGGCGCAGGCACAGGCCAGGTAGGAGTGGGGTTGAGCCCGCGGCTGCCTTGCCCCTTGGTGGAAATCTCTGAATCTCTGAGGCATATTCCACGTTGAGGGGCAGGAAACTGAGGCCTGTGGGGCCCAGTCAGGCTCATCTCCGGTTTTTCTAAATAAAATTTTATTGGAACACAGTCCTGTATGTTCATTGGGTACTGTTTATAGCTGCTTTCACACTACAAGAGAATTGGGCAATTGCCCCTGAGGCCTGGCAGGCTGTGAGAATCAACTGGTAACCACGTGGCCATAAGAAGAAAAGTATCTCAAGCCCTGATCAGGAATCTAGCATCTCTCAGAGGCCCGGCAGGCCTGCCCTACCTGCTTGCAGTGGCCACAGCTCCCCAGTCCAGGCTGTAGTGGCCCCTGGCCTGACCGGCCTCACTCCCCACTCCCCCAGTTGTTCTAAGGGTCCTTTCTCTAATGAACCACATACATGCACCGTGCCTCAGGGTCCATGTCCAAGAAGCCCTGAGGCGATGGACCTGAGGAGCTAAGATGCCATGCAGGATCTTGCAGATGGACGGTGGACACAGGGGCACCCTCAGGATCAGGCGGAATGGCCATTGAGCAGAGGAAACAGCAACAAAGAGGCTGGGGGGTTGGGAGTGGGACTGGGCTGTCCTGGAGGTGGGAGTGGAAGGTGTAATTAGGAAGATTCTGTGTGTGGGGTCAGGAGGAGTCAGACCACCATGGGCCAGGCATGGGCCAGGGGATGAGTCTTGTCCTGCATCCCAAAGGTGGCCAGGCATGTGACGTGCCCAGCACCCTGCAGGTGGGATGATCCCTGCAGGTAGGGTACTCCCTGTGGGTGGGGTGCTCTCTGTGGGTGGGGTACTCCCTGTGGGTGGGGTGCTCCCTGTGGGTGGGGTGCTCCTGCAGATGGATTACTCTCTGCAGGTGGGCTACTCTCTGCTGGTGGGGTGCTCTCTGCAGGTGGGGTGCTCCCTGCTGGTGGGGTGCTCCCTGAAGGTGGGTTACTCCCTGCGGGTGGGGTACTACCTGCGGGTGGGGTGCTTTCTGTGGGTGGGGTGTTCCTGCAGGTGGATTACTCTCTGCAGGTGGGCTACTCTCTGCTGGTGGGGTGCTCTCTGCGGGTGGGGTACTCCCTGTGGGTGGGGCGCTTCCTGTGGGTGGGGTGCTCCCTGTGGGTGGGGCGCTTCCTGTGGGTGGGGTGCTCCGTGCGAGTGGGTTACTCCCTGTGGGTGGGGTACTACCTGTGGGTGGGGTGCACCCTGTGGGAGGGGTGCTCCCTGTGGGTGGGGTGCACCCTGTGGGAGGGGTGCTCCCTGTGGGTGGGGTGCTCCTGCAGGTGGATTACTCTCTGAAGGTGGGCTACTCTCTGCTGGTGGGGTGCTCTCTGCGGGTGGGGTGCTCCCTGTGGGTGGGGTACTCCCTGTGAGTGGGGTACTCCCTGTGGGTGGGGTGCTCCCTATGGGTGGGGTACTATCTGCTGGTGGGGTGCACCCTGTGGGTGGGTTACTCCCTGCGGGTGGGGTGCTCCCTGAGGGTGGGGTACTCCCTGCAGGTGGGCTACTGTCTGTTGGTGAGATGCTCTCTGCAGGTGAGATGCTCTCTGCGGGTGGGATGCTCCCATGGCACACCTGGCACAACGGTCACAGCAGGCAGGCCACACTGGCCGCTACTTTGACAGCCTTCCTTCTCTCTCTGCCTGCTTCCCTTCTATGATCAGTGGGATATTGGAAGGAACCACTCATCAATCAAACCTTTGTATTATATTTAAGGAAAAACATGGGGATACAGAGGGTTTCGCAGACAAATTTTGCACGTGAGTCACTCTTCCCTCAAGGTGTGGCTGGATTTGCTTCAAACTCCCCTGGGGACAGTGCCGTTTGTTCCTCTCAGTCTGCCTGGTGCCCATGTCACTGGGAACAGCCACAGAGCCCTCTCCGCCGACTTCTACCCAGAGGGTGCAGGCAGCGCTCTGAGGACGTCCTGACTTACATACGGCGAGACTGTGATTGCGCGGCTGCAGCTCTGATCCTTCTCGGGTTCAATTTGAAGACGCCAGGAGGCCTGAACAGCCATTCCCAGCAGGGCGGTGAGGAGAGCGGTGCACCTGCTCCTAGAAGATCTACAAGGCAGCCTGGAAACAGGAGCCTCAGCTTTATGAAATTATCCATTTTCTTGCTGTGAAAATTCAAGCCTTTTGTAGGGCAGCTGCAAAGTCTGTAAAAGTAGCCTCCACATGGATGAAATGATAAGTTTTCATCTGCAGAGAAGAGCTTGTGTTCGGGTGCTGAGAACAATACTGCGAGAGAAACACGCATTTTCCAAGAGGAGGGGAGGCGTCCCCAGTGTCCACGGGAGGCCATCCCGCCCCAGGACCATGGACAGCAGTGGGGCAGCGCTGCTCACAAGCTGACATCATCACAAGAATTTTCTTTGTTACAAAGGCAAGCTTTTGACGAAAAAAAAAAAAAAGAACCAAAAATCCTGTGGAATGGCACCCTCGACTGTCCGGATGGCACCGAGAATATGGATTCTCGTTTAGCGAAGCACTCACTCTGCTTTCCCACGCTGCTGAGGCGCTGAACCTTGGACCCCTGTCCCTAGGGCGGCTCTCAGCCATGTCCGAAGCGGGTAGGGCCGTGATGTCACCTCTGGGTCACTCTGGCCTCTCTCGCTGCCAAAGCGAAGGTGCCTACCTGGGCGGCCTACAGAGAGGCTGGGAGCTGGGGCAGGCCTGTCTATTCTCAAGCATTCCTCGCTTCTCTTTAGAGTCTCAGGCAGGCTGCACTTCTGGGGAAAAGGTAGGTGTGGAGTTTTTCCACATTGAAAGATTCGTGCTCCTTGCATTCTTGTGAGCTAATTATCATTCCGTGTTCCACATGGAGCCTGTGACCTCCGTCTTTAAGTTTCACTCTCCGCCTGTTCAGCGCCGAAGTCGGTTTCTCTGCAGCTTTGGATCAGCCCCCACCTCCCCCGCCGCCGAGGAAGCGCAGCAGAGGTGCCACTTAAACCAGACCCTGGCAAGGGCCACGTAGGGCCCTTCTAAGAGACTCCACAGCTGTTGGAAAACAACTTGCCGTAGGCCCTGAGTCACTGTTTAAATCAGGGGTTTCATCTCCAATATGAGGAGCCTGTATGATCCTTTTTGATGCCGGTCCTTAGAAGTAGGCGTCTTCTCATGCGCCTCGTTCCTTGTTCCCCATTAGGAGGCAACTGCTGAAAATATTAACTTCCAAATAAAGTAAAAGTGATCCATATTCATGTAATGCTAATTAAGGACATCCTGAGTTCATTATTGCCAATTGTAAAAAAAGAAGCCAGATTTTTTTTCTGCACCCAATTTCGCTGTCTATGGCAGTTGAATGAAAAGAATGTGTAAGAGTGTGTGTGCCTGTGTGCACATGTGTGGAGGTGCCTGTCAGTCTTCAAGGAAGGCTTAGACAGTCTTTTACCAGGAGCAGCTGGAACCTGATCTGACGCACATGAGTATTATTTTGGAGCTAGGATACCTAAACTTAAGAACCACCTTATTTCTAAATGCCTACAACCACCACCTGAGGGTCACTCCCCATTGCTGAGAGCTAGGGTCTGATTGGTCTATACAATGAGCTGAGAGCTAGGGTCTGATTGGTCTACACAATGAGCTGAGAGCTAGGGTCTGATTGGTCTACACAATGAGCTGAGAGCTAGGGTCTGATTGGTCTACACAATGAGCTGAGAGCTAGGGTCTGATTGGTCTACACAATGAGTGAAACGTGTGAACACAGCAAGTCTCCAGTGGGAAATGTGAGATCTTGGAGCTCATGATGGGTTATGCAGGCGATAGGCCCAAGCAAAATAAAGCTGGGCACATGTGGGGGCGTGTGTACATGTGTGCACATGTGCATGTGTGTGTGTGTCAGGGTAAACATGTAAACCTTCTGCCCGACAACAGCACCGAGAACTGACCAGAAGGAACTATAAGGGCAGAATAATCATGAAAGACAAAACTGCCATTAGTTTCCTAAGAGTTGTCTGAGTTTAAAAAGCACAGCATCCCATGTCTGCAGAGTGAGCACAAGCTCAGTTTGGGATCAAAGAGAGCAGGATTTACACCTTGTCCATGACTCACTTACTTTGTAACCTCAGACTTGTCTCTTTAAACCTTACTTTTCCCCTCTGTAAATGGGATAGGTAATGATACCTCTCTCAGAGTAGAGGGGTTAAATAAGATGCCGTGCATT
This sequence comes from Homo sapiens, assembly GCF_000001405.40. Lineage (NCBI taxonomy): Eukaryota > Metazoa > Chordata > Mammalia > Primates > Hominidae > Homo > Homo sapiens. The sequence continues at coordinate 130,832,530 of NC_000010.11, read as the reverse complement.
AAATGTGCAGCTTGATGTCTGACATAGCGTACTCGTTCTAAAATATTATTAGGTGTAACTGTTCTCTGCCGTTTATTTTTTAAATAAACTTCATTTTTATAAAAGTTTTACATGTATAGAAAACCTGAGCAGACAATACAGGCGTTCTCAATGACCCTACACCTGGTTTCCCTCACTATTAACACCTTACACCAGTGCGGTACATTTGTTATGATTAATGAACCAGTATTGACACGTTTATGAACTAATGTGCAGACTTCATTCATATTTCCACAGTTCTTTTTCTCCTGTGTTCTTTTACAATCCCAGGACACCACGTTGTATTAAATTGTCATATTTCCTTAGATTCCTCTTGGCTGTGACAGTTTCTCAAATTTTCCTTGTTTTTGATGACCCTGACAGTTTTTTTTTACTATAAATATTTTTTTATTGACACATAATAATTGTACATACTTATGGGGTACATAGTGATGTTTCCAAACATACAATGCTTAGTGATCAGATCAGGGTAATTAGCATACCCATCATCGCAAACATTTGTCATATCTTTGTGTTGGGAACATTCAATATCTTCCTTCTAGCTACTTGAACTAGATAAATATTATTAACTATAGTCATCCTAGAGTGCTATAGAACACTAGACCCTTTCTATTTAGTGTAATTTTGTATCATTTAACAAATCTCTCCCCATCCCCAAGAACCTATGTCAATTTTTTAAAAATTGTATTATTATTATACTTTAAGTTTTAGGGTACATGTGCACAACGTGCAGGTTTGTTACATATGTGTACATGTGCCCTGTTGGTGTGCTGCACCCATTGACCCTGACAGTTTTGAAGAGTACTGGCCAGATATTTTGAAGGGTATCTCACTATTGTAATTTGCCTGGTGTTTTTTTCTTGTAGTTAGCCAGGGTTATAAGTTTTTGGGAAGAAGAGCACAGAAGTAAGTGAGATTTTCATCACATCATATCCAAGGCATATGCTGTCAGCAGGGCCCATCACTGTTGATGCTGCCCTTGGTCATCTGGCTGAGCTAGGCTTGTCAGGTTGTTCCCTGCAAAGTTACACCTTCCCCCTCAGTTCCACGTTATGTGCTCAGAAGGAAGTCGTCATGAGCAGCTCCTACGTAACACGTGCACAGTACTGCTGCATAAAATATCTGGAATTCTTCTGCATGGGATAGTTTTCTCTTCTCATTTATTAATTTATTCATGAATTTATTTTGTCTGCATGGAATTATGGATATTTATTTTATGTTTTATCTTTTAGGGAATCATAATCTAATATTGCTTGATTTCATTGCTTAAATTGTTCCAGCTTTAGCCTTTAGGAGCTCTTTGATTAGTTCCTGTTCCTATCACTGTATGTGTGTGGGGTATTCTATTGCACTCCTTGGCACTACAAATATTCCAGGCTCACATTGTATACTTCTTGTCTTAGTTCTAGAAGCAGCCATTTCTCCAAGGAGCCGCAGTTCTTTTTATTAAAGAATGATATTTGAAACAAAGTTCTGAGAAGGATGTATGCTTATTGCTATTGGAATGAGATTTATTTTAGGTTCTCCTAGCTGACAGAACAAGGAAATAGTGTGTGCGTGTGTGTGTCCATCTCTATCTATATGAAGCTGATCATGAGTTCTTACCGTTGTCTCCAGCACTGATCTATTATCACATGGGTCATTCTGATCTTCTTTTACTTACATGTAAACCCCACTCTTCACAGTGAGAAAATTGGCCCCCACCCTCTGTCATCCAGTTCTTAATTGTTAATTCTGGTACAAATATTTAGAAGTATTATAACAGTTAACCGATAACCCAACAGGAATACCTTTATCAATGAGTGTACAGTCTCATGGGCAGTTGTTTTTCCCTTTAAATTTATGGACTCCACTTATTTCCAGAGTTCCTTAGGTCAGTAACTCAACCCCTCAGTGACATGGTTTCAACATTACAGAATCTCTTTTCCCATTCTGCTTCCTTCCTGGTATCCCACAATCTCCCAATGATGTTTTAAATTTTTTTATACATTCAGATTCTCTCTTTATGCTCCAAAGTTCTATGGATTTTGACAAATGCGCAATCTTCTTCATCCATCATTACAGCATCATAGAGAAGAGTTTCTGTGCTTCACTTATTCAGTCCTCCCCCCTCATTCCACGCCCTTGTCAACTACTCATCAGCTTACCATCTCCACATTTTTTTCTAGAATATCATATGATTAAAACCGTAGAGTAAGTAGCCTCTTCAGAATGGCTTATTTCACTAAAAATATACATTTAAAGTTCCTTTCCATCTTTTGAAGCTGGTGAGTCTTCTCTTTTTATTGCTGAGTAATATGCTATCGCGTGAGTGCAGCAGTTTGCATATCTATTCACCTACTGAAGGACAGCTTGGTTTCTTCTAGTTTTGGGGTGATTATGAATAAAGCTGCCCTAACATTTCTCTGTAGGTTTTTGTGTAGTCGTAAATTTTCAGATCTGTTGGGTAAATGTTAGGGGCAGAATTCCTGGATCATATGGTAAGAGTATGTTTATCTTTGTAAGAAAACACCGCAGTGCCTTCCAAAGTAACATTTGTATTCTCACCAGCAGTGAACGAGAGTTCCTGCTCCTCTAGATCCTCACCAGCATTTGTTATTGTCTGTTTTGTTTCAACCATTCTAAAGTGTATTTACTAGTATCATATTGTTGCTTTAATGTTCACTTCCATAAAACAAATGGTGTTGAATATATTTTCTTTCATATGCTTATTTTTCATCCATATCGTCTTTAGTGAGGGGTCCAGAGATCCTTTGTCCATTTATTTAAGTTGGGTTTTTAAAAATAATAATGATAATAATAATTTTAGATATAAATCCTCTATGAGATATGTTTTGCAAGTATTTACTGTCAGTCTGTAGCTTGTCTTTTCATTCTTTTATCAATATATTTTAATTTTAATAAAGTCTAACCTATCAGTTTTTGATGGATTGTACTTTGGGTGTTATAGATAAAAATTCATTGCCACACCTGGGTAGCATGAACTTTGTTTTCCTATATTTTCTTCTAAAAGTGTTATAGTTTTGCCTTTTATATTTAGCTCTATGATCCATTGTCAGCTACTTTCTGTGAAAGATGTAAGGTTTCTGTCTAGATTCATTGTTATTTTGCATGTGGATGTCCTACAAATTACTCCAGCATCATTTGTTTAAAAGACCATATTTTCTTCATTGAATTGCCTTTACTCCTTTATCAAAGATTGGTTAGCTGTATTTTTGTATAATTTTTCTAAGTTAATCCATCCTGTTCCATTAATATATGGATGTATTCTCTCCAATATCCTGCTGTCTTGAGTTTTACATGTTTATAGTCAGCTTTGAAGTTGGGTGATGTCAGTTCTCAAACTTTGTTGCTCTTCTTCTTTCTCTTTCTCTCATCCTCCCCTTATCTCCCCTTCCTCCTCAAGACAAAAATTGACACCTTAAAATATTGAGTCTTTTAATATCTGAACACAGAATCTCTCTATATCTATTTGATCTTGATTTCCTTCATCAACCTTTTACGGTTTTCCACATATATACTATGCATATAGCTTTTTTTGTTTGTTTTTTGAGCTGGAGTTTTGCTCTTGTTGTTCAGGCTGGAGTGCGATGGTGAAATATTTGCTCACTGTAACCCCTGCCTCCTGGGTTCAAGTGATTCTCCTGCCTCAGCCTCCCAAAGTGCTGGGATTACAGGCATGAGCCACTTGCACCCGGCAGATTATGTATACAGTTTTAAAGATGACACTGTGTCATGTACAGTAATTCAAAGTTCTAATTGCTCATTGCTGGTAAATAAAAAAGGAATGAATTTTGTGCATTATTTCTGTATTTTATGATCTTTCAGCACTTGCTCATTGGTCCCAGGAACTTTATTGTGTATTTGTTGAGATTTTCTACATAGGCAATCATATCATTTCTAAACAAAAGACAGTTTTATTTCTTTCTTCCCAATTTTTTTATTTCCTATTCTTGTCTTATCGTACTAGCTAGGACTTCTAATACTATGTTCAATAGGAGTGGTGAGAGGAGATAGACTTTCCTTGCTCTCAAACCTAAGAGGACAGAACCCAGTTTCTCATCACTAAGCATGATATTAGCCGTAGGTATTTTGTAGATGTTTTTATCAAGCTGAGAAAGTTTTTCCCTATTTCTAATTTAATGATTTTTAAATCTTGAATGGGTATAGAACTTTGTCAAATGCATCTGCTGCATTAATTGATATGATCATATGCTCTTTCTTCTTTAGCTGGTTGATGGGGGTGTATTATACTAATTCGTTTTCAAATGTTGAATCAATATTCTGAATTTGAAATAAACCCCACTTTGTCATGGTGTATAATTATTTTTACTCATTGGTGGATGTGATTTGCTATCATTTTGTGAAGAAATTTTGCATCTATAATTATAAAAGACATTGTCCTGTAATTTTCCTCCCTTGAAACAACACTCTGGTTTTGGTAAGAGCATAATACTGTCCTCAGGGAACCCGGGGGGAGATTCTCCCTCTGCTTCTATTTTCTGGAGGAGATTGTAAAGATTTTCTATAATTACTTCTTACATTTTGGTAGAATTTACCCATGGAACCATCTGGGCCTGGTGGTTTATTTTTGGAAAGTTATTAATTGTTGATTCAATGTCTTCAATAATTTTAGGCCTATTCCAATTGTCAATTTTTCCTTGTTTGAGTTTTGGCAGTTTGTGTCTCTCAAGGGATTGGTCCATGTCATGTAACTTATCCAAATTATGAGCATAGAATTGTTAATAACATTTCTTTTTATCTTTTTTAACATCACTGGGATCAGTAGTAATGACTCCTTTTTCATTTCTGATGTTTGTAATTTTTGTCTTCTTTGTTTTTGTGTTATTTGGGCTGGCCGGAGGTTTACCAATTTTAATGTTGTCTTCAAAGAGCTGGCTTTTGATTTTTTAAATATATTTTCTCTGTTGATTTCTTGTTTTAATTGTATTGATTTCAGTTATAATTCTTATTACATCTTTTCTTCTGCCTGTTTTAGGCTTACATTGTCTTTGTTATTTCATTTTCCAAGGTAGAGGCTTCAATTATTGACTTTAGAGTTGTTTTCTTTTCTATTATGCACTTAATACTATTTATTTTCCTCTAAGTGTTGCTTTTACTGCATTCCACAATTTTTATGTTACATTTTAATTTTCACTTAGTTCAAAATATTTCACATTTCTCTTGAGACTTTTTCTTTGACCCATGTGTTATTTAGAAGTACGTCGCTTAATCTTCAGGTATTTTGACATTTTCCAGTATCTTTCTGCTACTGATTTCTACTTTAAGTCCACTGTGGTCTGCAAATATACTTTATATGATTTCTATCTTTTTAAATATATTATTAAGTATGTTTTATGGCCAAGAATGTGATCTATTGTGGTGAATATTCCATGTAAGGTTAAAAGAATGCTATTTTTCTGCTATTAGATGAAGCATTCTATAAATGCCAATTTGATCAAGTTGACAGTTCATGGACTCTTAACTATGTCTTTACTGGTTTTTCTGTCGGCTTGATCTACAAACTTTAAACTTAGGCTGTAAATTTTAATATTCCTGAAAGAGGAATGTTAAAGTCTCCAATTATAATAGTATATTTTTCCATTCCTTCTTGGAGTTTGATCAGTTCTGCCTCACATATTTTGATGTTCTGTTGTGAGATGCATTCACACCTTTATCACAGTATAATTTCCTTTTTCTATGTAAAAATGTTTTTTGTTCAGACCTCTGCTTTTTCTGAAATCAGTATAGCTACCCCAGTTTTCTTTTGCTTAGTTAGCATGATATAGTTTTCTCTATACCTTTACATGTAGCCTATCTGTGTCTCCCTATTTAAAGTAGGTTTCTTATAGACAGTGCATGGTTGAGTTTTGTTTTTTTAACCACTCTATTTGTCTCTCAGTCAGTGTATTTAGACCATACACATTAAAAATGATTATTGATACAGTTGTATTAATATTTACTATGCCTATAACTATTTAACTGTTTCTCATGTCCTTGTTTTTGTCTCCCTTGTTGTCTTTGGGTTTCCCTAGGGACTCCTTCTTAAATAGAGTCTATGCCTTTTAGCTCTTTCAACTGGATTTCACTCCTGTGATACTGGATCTCTGTTGATGTAATAAGGAGGTGTGGGGAAGGGGGTGCATTCTGAAATCTTACAGGATGTCTTTTAGTAGGCCTGTGCCTCTGAGCTTCACCATTGTAGGCTTTTATTTGCTTCAAACTACCCAGGTGACACAAGAAGGCCAGGGGGCCTGAAGTAAGTTAATGCCCTTCCCTCAGGTGGGATTAGGTTCTAGTAAAGTATTTTCTCATGAAATATAGCCTTTTTTCATGGAAAATATTTAGGTTTTTTCCAAAGTTGTTACTTTTTCCCTCTGTATCAAAGTCATTAGGGTTTCTTTTTCCTCTTGACTGTGAGAACTTAGGTTCCTGGAGATAAAACCAGTGAAAGTGTCCTCCCTACCCCAACTACAGCCCCCAGAGTCTCTGGGTCTCTCGCTTTCATACTAGTCCACTCTCAGCCTCCAGCAAGTCATCAAAATTATCATTTAAGTCTTTCTACCAGGCTTTAGCTCAAGTGTTTTCTGCCCTTGGGGTGTTGATTTCTGTACTCATCTGCCTTTCTAGATTTCAGGGCAGAAGCTTGTTCTGTAACCTCACTTCCATGAGGGGTCCAATAAAGTCATTGACTTTTACTTTGTTCAGCTTTTCCTTGTTAAACTTCCACATTCTTTAAATGTCACAGTTTAAGCCAAAGTTCCTATCTGCATTTCTTAAAGATTTCCATTAGAAAGCACCATTGCTAAGGATAATAGAGGGCATCAGCTTCTTACTACATCTGGGGCAGACTTCGATCAATGCTGAAAGCCTCTGCTGGACCTGGCATGTTTTACAGAAGGAATGGAAGTTGGTGACTCATTTCCACTGCATGATAGTGATCAGAATCAAGTGCTGACAAGGCCTTAAGGAGCTGCCTTAGAAAATACCACTTGATAAACTGAGTAAAGTGCCATTTAGCAACTGGAAGATAATTAGAAAGCAATTACTGAAACAAAAACAAACCCTGAGAACACAAATAAACAATTAGAATCCAGCCCAAATTTATGGTCAGGGTCAGAGACTGTGTTTTAATACCTGTGTGGTAGAAGCACATTAGAAAATCCAAATTAATGCTTAATTTGCACAACTGACCTACTTATTATTGAAATACCTAGATATCTAATTGCCTTATGTAATCAGAGAAAGCTGCAGGTGCTTTTCTCTTCATTATATTCTAAGAAGATGCAATAGAAAAAATTTTATTGCATTTTGACCAGCGCACCTAAAGCTACATCTATTACACATTACTGATGATGCTTTTGAGATAAGAGCCATGCAAGTGAAAAGGTAGCATTTTGTCCCACTGCGTTGGCCACATGCCTTCTGCTAGGAGCAAAGTACTGGTGTCTCCTTCCCTGTGATCCTCCTTGTTCAGTATAAGCTAGATCTTGAGGGGCAGGGGGTGCTGTAGGGACAATTCCTGGCCAGTGGCATCCCTGCTTGGTTGCCTTTTTGTGTTCTGGGGGGTCCACTGTTTAAATCTCCAAGAGTCACATTTTCCCTAATCCCTCTCATCCCATACCAGGCCTTGTCCATCCAGGGCCCAACCCTCCACTCAGACCTGGGCATGGCCCAAGCTAGGAGTGGGGAGGCCTCCCCTGGCTTTGTCCTAGGTCCTTTCTCTCAGTAGAGAAGCTTTAAGCCTGAGACTCCAGGGCATCATCTGGAAATTGTGGGCAATCGGGGGCTTTCAGCCATGGAGGCTGCTCAACATGCCCTTTGGAGACCCTGAAGGCACCCTGGATGGAAGGTGAGGCAGGAAGCAGATGTATAAATTAGGAAATATTAGAAAATTAGAAAATTCAAGTGGCATTCTCACGCTTGCAGAGAGTGAGTTTGTGGTAGGGCATGTGTGTGTATGTGTGTCATATGTGTGTGTATGTGTGTCATATGTGTGTGTGCATGTGTTAGTGTGTGTATGTGTATATGTGTGCACATGTTTGAGTCAGTGTGCATGTGTGTGTGTATGTGCATTGCATGTACATGTTTGAATCTCTGTGCCTATGTGTATGTATGTGCATTGCATGCACGTTTGAATCTGTGTGCATGTGTGTACATATGTGTATGTGTGTGCATGTGAGTGCACGCATTTGAATCTATGTGCATGTGTGTGCATGTGTGTATGTATGTGTATATGTGTGCACATGTCTGAGTCTGTGCACATGCATGGTCATGTCCACATATATGTATGTGCAGGTTTGTATCTGTGTGCATGGATGTGCGTGTGTATATGCCTGTGTATATGTGTGTTGTGTGAGTATGCATGTGCGTGTGTGTGTGTGTCTGTGATTATGTTCATTTTGATTAAAGAGTGACCTGGGGGCTGCTCATTTGAACAAGATATAAATTACACAATCATCCTTCATTGCCTTTAGTTTTCCAGCATGAACTGTGATGCTCTGGTCTGGGTTCTCAGAAGAGAGACAGGAATAGATAAAGTGCTGGGTTCCCAGAGCTTAAACAGGCACCTTCAGCTTCCAGGGACAGAGGATCAGAGCAGCACTAGCTCCATTAAGCTGCTAGAATGTTTTCTCTGGACTATTAATTCTTGCTCCAGGTGGGAGATGGCTGATGGTCTTGCAAGCCATGTTGATATGATGCAGGCAGCCGAAGGTTTGTATTTTCTTGCTGGCTTACTCATGATGTAACATGGTATCTGCTGGTGTTGACAGGATCCCCTGACAAACATTGCCCCCATCATCCCTTAGGCACAATTCTGGTTAGATCCCACTGGCCTGTCACTGGGGGCTTCAGTTAGTTGCTGGAAGTCACTTTGGAAGACTTTTATAACTTCCTCTGGCTTGTAGGCTTCATGTAACCCTGTCCTCAACAGCACGAAGACCCCACAGGAGTGGGGGACCCTGTGGTCACACGCTGCAACTATCCCCAGTGCTACCTCAAAAAACACAGAGTCACACAAGTTGTGTGCAGCTCATTAGAGCTCAGGGCCAGTTTGCCTGTGATTAAAAGAAAAGTGGGTCCATGGTAATGTTTTAAGTAGAACCAAGTTCACTAAAGAGCAATAGATGGGATGTTTCCCAAGCAGGGCACAGCAGACACTAGGACCTTTCTCATGAAGCCCAGCTTCTGCAATCCTGGGAAGAACAACATTTATCTTATTGGGCTACGAAGCTGTGGGGAAGACAAAACAGGGCCTGCAGGACAAGCTATATCACTTACAAGACCCAGTGCAAAAAAAGACCTCTTCAAAAGATTTTAAGAATTGCAGTGTGGCAATTCCTCAAACACCTAAAGACAGAAATACCATTCAATACATTGTGAGTGTGATTGTGTTGTGCACCTCGACTCCTCACTTCCAAATGCTCTGCCCCTCCCGTCCACGAACCTCTCCATCCTCAGCAATGTTTGGAGTGGCTCTTCCCATCAGCATGGAGCCGCATTGCAGGCACATGTTTCATTTCTTGCTGAGAAAACAGGCCACATGGTTATAATTGAGCGGTGTGCATATGGCTTAAGGTTCAAGTTAAAAAAGAATTTTAATTTTTTAAAAACTTTTACATTTCTGTGTTCAAATCATGTGACTATACATAATTATGCAAATATATTTTTTAAATCCTATTATTTTAACACAGCTGCGATTTGCTTTGCATTTCTGTTCTATGTGTGTGCCCCTCACTGTTGTAATCATGGCAAATAGGTAATTGTGAGCCTTTGTTTTGCATTTTGCATGATTTTGTGTACATTTTTTATATTGTGATATTTTTATGTTATTTAAAATAAAATACACTCATATATAAACATATGTTCAACACAAAAATATTGACAATATAAAAATGCATAATGTTACTAACATTCTGAAAAATCTCCATCCATATTTTGGGATAGGTCCTTTCAGGGTTCTGTGCATAAACATTCACATGTATTTAAAAGTGGGATCTCATTGTTCATGCTATTTCAAAGTCAGCCATGTTTACATGTGTATACATACACGCGCACACCCACATGAAGGATTTTATTGTGTGAAAAAATATACTGTGATATAATACTGCATTCTAGGTACGTAATAAATATTAAAGGATTCATTTAATAAATTCACATTTCTGGTATTTTTTAAAGAAAAGGCTGTGGCTGGATTCGAACTTCTGGGCTCAAGTGATTCTCCCACATCAGCTTCCTGAGTAGCTTGGACCATAGGCAGGCTCCACTCTGCCTGTGCTGTGTTTCACGGCATTTTAACTTTTTCCATTCCCTCCCTCTTTCCCTTCCTCTCCCTCCCTCCCTATCTTCTTTCTTTACTTTTTTTTTTCATTTAAGCACCGTAATAGTTTTTGAGGAATAATCCTATAGCCTATATTTTGTGTAATTGCTCATTTATTCTTAGGAGAGATAACTAGAATCAGAATTGTTAGGTTAAAGGCTATAGACATTTAAATATTTAACACAAATTTGTCAAACATTTGCAAGATATTTGCGATAATTTACATCCCCTCCAGCAAGGCATATGAATTTTCCCATTAACTTTCCAAATATAGACAATATCCTGTTCATAATTACTGTCAATTTGATAAGAAAGAAAAATAATGCCTTATTGTTTGAATTTGTATTTCTTTGGCTTTTAGTGAGGTTGGATTTTTGATGATGTGCATTCAACATTTTGTTTATTTGGTTTTTGTTGGTTGCCTATTCAATAGCTTGGACCATTCATTTGGAGAACATATACATCACGGTTATAATAATGGGCTGGGCATCAACCAAACCTCTGTCGAGATCCCAAATCTACCAAGCTGTGAAAACTTGGGCCAGTCACTTCACCTTTCTATGACAATAGCTTCTAACCAACAGGGTCATTGTGAAGATCTAAAGGGATAATAAAGTATCTGCAGAGTATAGTGCACAGTAAGCCCTAAATAAATATCTGTTTATTTTATGGGATTTTTATTAAAGTATAACACGAGTATAGAATTGTGCAAAAAGTCTAAGTGTACAGCATGAAGAATTTCCAAACACAGATTGTATCTGTAGCAACTGGATCACAAAATAAACATTGCTGGAATTCAGGAGCCCCTGGCACGCCCATTTCAGCCACTCAGACTCCCCCAGGGGAACCACTGTCCTAACTGTCATAGAACGGTTTTGCTTGTCATCAGGATTTCTATAAACAGATTCCAGATGGCTCCCAACCTCCATTGCTGCCAGGTGGCAGCGCTCTTGTGACAGCTTTGCAGCTGTCTCAGCCCAGGCATGGGGCTTCAGAAGCCATCTCACGTCTGGACCCACCAGTCACCTGGGCTCTGGCCTCCGCCATTCAAGTCACAACAGCCATTCGAGTCTCTCTGGGGAGACAAGCCATCCCCACCCTGACCCACAGTCTTATACAGCAGGTGCTGTTTTGCGCCACTGAGGCTGGGGTGGTTTGCTCTGCCATGACAGATAACTGAGCAGGGTGGAGCTGTGCATCCTCTTAGGGCCTCTCATGGCCATGGGAGTTAAGTAGAACCATCGCTCCTGCACACTTCCGGTGAGAGCATCCAGAGGCCCACCGAGAGTTAAGCGGAGGGACATAGACAACCCCTGTGGATGACTGGTGTTGAAGAATGTGTGGCCATATTTTAACACTGCCACTGCTATGTTTACTGTTTTGTGTCTGGCTTCTTTCACTCAACATTATGCTTGCACAACCCATTCAAGGTGGAGGTAGCTGTAATTTGCTCATCCTTCTTGCTGTGTAATCTTCCATTGCCTGCACGTAGCACAGTTTATTCAACCATTGTACTGCCCATGGACCTTTGGATGATTTCCAGTTCAGGGCGCATTGTGGTATAGTCCCAAGAGTGTGCTGTGACTGTCCCATCCACGTCTTGGCTGTGCACGCACACACATCTCTTGTGAACACCTAAGATGAGGATTGGTGAATGTTATGGAGCACACTTGATCAGCATTTGTAGGCAAAAACTAAGTGCCTTGCAAAATGGTGGCACCAATTTACCTTCCAACCAGTACGACGAGGGCCCTGCCTCTCACCCTCACTGACACTGGTGCTGCCTGAGCTTCTACCCATAGCCTTTCTCTTGTATGTGTTTTGATCCCATTATGATTTAATTTGCATTTTTCAATGACTACTGAAGTTGAACACTTTTTCCTATTCAATGTCAATTTGGATAATCATTTTTATAAAGCACATGGTCAAGTTTGGGATCCTTTTTTTTAGTGGGTCTGCCCGTCTTTTCCTTAGTGATATAGGTAAAAATGTTTGATGTGCCTTAAGGGTGAATCTTCTTTGAATATATGTATTGTGAATATTGTCAGTATCTTTACCTACATTGCAGCTTGGCTTTTCATTTTCTTAGTGGAATCTTTTGCTAAAGAGAAGTTTTTTAAAAAAAAAACAAGTTTTAATGTAGTCCGATTTATCAAATTTTTTTATTTATGGTCAATGCCTGTTGTTTCTTTTACATTTAAGAAATCTTTACCTACTCCAAGACCTTGAATATGTTCTTATATTATCTTCCAAAAGCTTTATTGTCTTATCTTTCACATATAAATCTCTGTTCTATTGTGTAACTAGAATGTTCTATTTGCGTAACTAGAATGAAGCAGGGGTCAAGATTCATTTTTTTCCCTTGGAGATATCTGATGAACCCATCATTATTTCCTAAAATGACCAGTCTTTTTCCCACTTCATTGCAGTTTCAACTTTACTATATTCAGGTGGCTGGATATAACCAGGACTGCCTCTGGCTTCTCTATGGCTGTCCCTATTCTTGTTTCTATGCCACACTGACTTAATAACTATTGCTTTATGTCTCAATGTGTCATAGTATAAATGCTTCAGGTTTAAACATTTTTTTGTTTCCTTCATTTGCTATTCTTAACTCTTTGCATTTCCATATAAACTATTTAGAATAAAATAGTTAATTCACACAAAAAAATGTGCTGGTGTTGTAGATGACATCTCATATTGTAACATTTTTCCAGCTATAGGGAATCTAAGGGATGAGATTGGCAGAGAGAAGCCTATCAGGTTACTACAATAGTAGTCTCTTTTGTTTTCTTTTTAAAAATCTGCTTCTGGCCTATATAGTATGTTTAATATGATTTTTAAAACAAATTGGAGATCTTATAGGTTCATTTGTACATCAATGTGCACCACTAGGTCTGTGGTTTGGGGGTGTATGTATGTGTTTCCTCCAGTTTGGGGGAAGCAATTTTCCATTCAACCAAAGATATGGAATCAATCTAAGTGCCCACCGTTGGTAGACTGGATGAAGAAAATATGGTGCATACACTACACAACCATAAAAAAGAATGAGATCAGATTTTTTGCAGCAATATGGGTGGAGCTGGAGGTCATCATCCTAAGTGAACTAACGCAGGAAGAGAAAGCCACATACTGTGTGTTCTCCCTTACAATTGAAAACTAAACATTGAGTACACAAAAAAAGGAACAGTAGACACCAGGGTCTACTTGGCTGTGGAAGGTGGGAGGACGGTGAAGAACAGAAGACTACCTATCTGATCCTGTGCTCACTACCTGGGAGACAAAGTAATCTGTACACTAGACTCCCACGACAAACAATTTATCTATACAACAAATCTGCACATGTACCCCTGAACCTAAAATAAAAGTTAAAAAATAGAATACAGTATTATCTTTGACCATTAGTTTTTATTGATAATTTTCAAGATGTTTGTTTAGCAATCAATAATTTTCATATTTTAGGCAAAAATCTGGAAATTATAAAAGTATTTGCCAGGTAACTCTTTCTGCAAATGGTATTATCGGTTAGTAATAAATGCCCACTGAATGCCTTGTATGTGCAGATCCATGCTGAGCATGATTGGTGGTGCCCAAATGGACAGTAATATATTATTGTCATTGATATGGTTAGGCTTTGTGTCCCCACCTGAATCTCATCTTGAATTGTAGTTCCCATAATCCCCATGAGTCCTGGGAGGAACCCAGTGGGAGATAATTGAATCATGGGAGCAGTTCCCCCCATGCTGTTCTTGTGATAGTGAGCAAGTGCTCAGGAGATCTCGTGGTTTTATAAGGGGCTATTCCCCCTTTGCTTGGCACTTCTCCTTCCTGCTGCCATGTGAAGAAGGACGTGTTTGCTTCTCCTTCTGCCATGATTGTAAGGTTCTTGAGGCTTCCCCAGTCCTGCAGAACTGTGAGTCAACTAAATCTCCTTCCTTTATAAATTACCCAGTTTTGGGCAATTCTTTATAGCAATGTGAGTTGTGAGAACAGACTAATATAGTCATCTTCTAGAAATTTTCATGTGATGAGATGATGGACATACACAACCTACATGCAAATATACATGCACACACACATGAATGCACTCACGTTTACACCTACAAGTGTACACCTAGACACTCATACACACACACAGACACACATGCACACTCACCAGCACAACCACACACATACCCTTGCACACACATAGCTCTAGAGAGAATGATCGGTGGGAATGTCTGTGTAGGGCCTCTTGGGAGCTGAAGAATGGGCACCACGTGACTTCTGGAATGATGCCTTTAGTCTCTTCCCAAGGTCACTGCTTGGGGTCAAGCACACCCTAGATTTTGGACAGCCTTCTCTGCACGCTGCCAGTTGTCAAGTGGCCTGAGCTTAAGATCTCCAAACCACAGATACGGGCTCCCGTTCTGCCAGCTGCTCATCGAGTGACCAGGAGTGTGTTAAACATCTCTGATCCTTAGTTTCTTCACCTGAATCATGAAGGCAATCATTCAAGAAGTCAATGTTGGTGGAACCTAAAATCAAATGGAGACTCTGCACAAGCACTTTGTCATCTAGTGAAAGGGCTGAGGGACTCTTAAATAACATGTAAACAGCAAATGGCATGGGGGTTTTAAACAAAAACATAAAGACACTTCACCACAAGAGGAAGCTTCTGACCGTGCCCCTTAACGCCGGCGTGTCCTCTGTACCTTCCCACACTCCTGTCAGCTCCGAGTAGGGCTCTGACTCCAGCAGCTCTGCCAGGAGCTCCCTGCATTGAAGGAGTCCTGTTGTCTTGAGTGCTGCCAGAGCCAATGAAGCTGGGCATTTCCTGGGACAGTTGTGACACTCCTGACCAACTGCGTTTGGCTGGAACAGCAGCCGGAAGTGTGTTTTCTCTGTGGTTGTGGCTCTCTCCGAGCAAAGCTACAGAAGGCAGCCAGCTCCACCCCAGGCTGTTCTGTGCTTCTTTGTCTCTGTGCTGCAGCATGAGGGACCCATGTCTGATCTACAGAGATTGCTTTCTTTGTGTGCTCTAAATGGAGCCCATCTGTCTTTCCTCCTCCCCACACTGGAGCTCACATATCAGTTGTTCTGAAATGTTGATGCCTGACTTATGCAGGCTACTGGCAAAGTGAATTTTAGTTTCTACGATCATAATGTTTCATTAAAAAAAAAAACAAACCCACACTATCTCGATTTAGAATGATGCTCCTCTCGCAAATTTACCCTGCAAGGAAATTGTTTGCCCAGTGCCTCAGCTTGTGGAGAACACATTGAGAGTTTCGGGCTGCAGATGCACAGAGAGTGGTCAAGGGCTGGGAACTGCAGCAGGTGGAGGGCGGTCGGACAATGCTGGCAGAGACAGCGCTGCTTCCAGTGGGTTTGGAAGGAGTCAGGCCTTAGCTCCTGACACTAGGACACGGGAATAACGCCCAGGGAGACGTTGCCTGAAGGGTGCCCGTGGGCATTAGTGCTGGTCCCGCATGGTAAGAGGCATCACCGAGTCTCCCCAGCACCCCATCAGGAGCGCCTGGCTCAGAGCAAGTGCCCAGGATGTCTGTGCAGACCTGGTGATGACTGAGGAAAGGCAGGGTCTGCAGAGTCATCTTCAGTCGCTGCCCGTGGGGTTCACGGCCGGTGTAATTCAGCCTCAGGAAGGAGGGGTCTCAGTGCAAAAGCACCAAGGGGAATGGCGGCAGACTGCCATTCATCTTGTCTGCCTGAGTATCATTCACAAAGAACTTGGAGTCACATTCCTGTCCCCACAAGCACGGAGTCCCTGGAACCAGTTGCCCACACCTTCCTTTCATGAAGAGGGTGCTGGAGACGGCAGGCTTGGCCCAGCCTCCATGCTGACATGCACCAACCCCTGTTCCTCATCCGTTTCCACCTTCAGTGTGAGGGGTCCCACAGCCCTCCCACGATGCTGTTCTGAGGATCCCATAGGGTCATGGATACACACTCCCTACACAGAGCCGAGCACAGAGCGTGCTCAACAGAAGGCAGCTACAGTGATAGTGATGACAATTGTGTGGCATATTGATAGAGGGATTTGACCTAAGCACGTTTTATTCTTTTTTGCTTTTCTTCCAGCTTTATTGCGGTATACTGACAAATAAAAATTATATAAAATTAAGGTGTACGATGCAATGTTTTTTGTTTTTGTTTGTTTGTTTTGTTTTGTTTTGTTTTGTTTTTGAGACGGAGTCTCACTCTTTTGCCTGGCTGGAGTGCAGTGGCGCCATCTCGGCTCACTGCAACCTCTGCCTCCTGGGTTCAAGCGATTCTCATGCCTCAGCCTCCTGAGTAGCTGGGACTACAGGCGCCCGCCACCATGCCCAGCTAATTTTTGTATTTTTAGTAGAGATGGGGTTTCACCATGTGGGCCAAGATGGTCTCAATCTCCTGACTCATGATCCTCCCACCTCAGCCTCCCAAAGTGCTGGGATTACAGGCGTGAGCCACTGTGCCTGGCCGCAGTGCGATGTTTTGATGTACATAAACTTTGTGAAACGATGACCACAATGAAGCTAATTAACACATCCATCCCCTCATACAGTTACCGTCTTTGTAGTGAGAACACTTAAGAGGAGTCTAGTAAATTCTGAGTGTGAAATTCAGTGTTGTTAACGATAGGCTCTTGCCTTGCATCAGGCCTCCAGATCTCCTTTGTCTTACAATTGAAAGTCAGTGCCCTGTAACCACAGCCTGCCTGTTTACCCCTCCCCTCAGTGGCTGAAGTTTGACTGATTCCAATTCCACACAGAAGTGAGATCAGGCAGGATTTGCCTTTCTGGGCCTGGTTTATTTCACTTAGCATCATGTGCTCCAGGTCTACCATGTTGTCACCAATGGCAGGATCTCCATTTTTTTTTCTTTGTGATGGAGTCTCACTCTGTCACCCAGGCTGGAGTGCAGTGGTGTGATCTCAGCTCACTACAACCTTCGCCTCCCGGGTTCAAGCGATTCTCCTGCCTCAGCCTCCCGAGTAGCTGGGATTACAGACACGCGCCACCATGCCCAACTATTTTTTTGTATTTTTAGTAGATACGGGATTTTGCCGTGTTAGCCAGGATGGTCTCATTCTCCTGACCTCATGATCCACCTGCCTCAGCTTCCCAAAGTGCTGGGATTACAGGCTTGAGCCACCGTGCCAGCCCTTCTTCTTTTTGAATGCTGTATCCCATCCTATTCCATCACCACATTTCTTTTGCCCACTCACCCATCCGCAAGCACATAGGTTGTGTCCACGCCTTGGCTTTTGTGAAGACTCGAGCATATCTGACTGGAATGACTATGACACACAGAAGGCATGGTGTGCTAAACTTCTGACCACGCTGTACCCAGGGGAGTGTCTCTCATGCCTCTTCTGCAGGTGCTATGAGCTACCTGGGCTCCAAAATAAACCTCCTGGCCCTGGAGCCAACTCCAGGACAGAACCTGTGGTCTCAGCAGCCACAGCACCATCACCACGAGCACTAAGTCAACCAAGGGACCCTGGGGCAATAGTCCCCAAATAAAGGACAGAGTTGCTCAGATGCAAGAAATGTCAGGCAGACGTCGGCTCACAAACTTGCAGAAGACTCTTATCAAGCTTCACGGAGGAATGAAGAGTATCTTTGAATATAAATGATAGAAGACTCAAAAAGAAACATTATTAGTAGCTTTGTCTTGGCTGGCTCTGATTTAAACTTCCCTTTGATTTTTATAAGATTTCTCTTCCCTAAACAATAAGTGATAAACTGATAGTATCATTTACATGCAAATTAACGTGTAAACAATATCTATGACTTTTTATGCCTTGCCGTTGAAAGTTTTTTAAAATAAATTGAGACTGATGACTTAAGTTATTTCATTTGGTTTCTTGGAAAACACAGGCATGTAAAGAAGAGTAAAGGGAAGTTATTTTTCTGCTCGTAGCAATATTGAGATGAGACGTTCCTCTTTTAATTTGAATTAAAGATAAATATTAAAATAGAATTAATTAAAGTATAAGCAGAGATAATTAAAACAAATGTGGTCACTGAAGGCTTAAACATTAAAATAAATTGGGTTCATGTAAAAGTTGGGCAACATTGAATAATATTGCATATTTAATCAGGGCTCAGCTGAAATTGATTGAATATGCCCTTGAAATTAACTATTGATCATTTTTAACTGGTCGGATGTAACCCAGTTTATTTTCCTATGGATTTTCACTGAATTTCATAACTTAAGCAATTTCTAAAAATATTTGTTTACTTCTTATTGTTAGTAAAATGTTTTGATGTCAGCACGGAAAGGGGTAGTACAGAAAACATTTACGGAAGTATTTAAATAACAGTGAGTTTTTGTGCAGCAGTCAGTGTAGTTGTGGTCCAAGGAAAAGATGAAGAAAGAAAACACAAATCTACATCTGCATTTAATCTATAGATCAGTAAATGTATCCATCTAAGCAATCCCAGTATTGCATTTTCAAATAGGACATTAACATATCAGTTTAACCCGAAAGTCAATCTCCAGCAGTCAGTTGAAATGATTGCGTATTCTCACCCATTTTCATATCATGTGCGAATTTCTCTTTATTTCTTAGTTGGTCTTCATGGTCAGGTTTCTTTTCTAGGACACTTTCTTTTCATTGATGAGACACATCTCCAATTCTAGGACCTTCCCTTTAGCCTACTGAATGCAAGGCGGAACTCAGACATAGGTTCCATGTTAGCAAGGTCTTACCTGCAACTTCATGACAAGGGTCTGAGTTATTGCATCAGAAAGGATCCATGCTGTGAGCTCTCCTGGGAACCCAGAGAAAGAACAGCTAAGTGACTTAGTGTGGGGGGGCGGGAGAGGCATTGAGAATAAAAGTTTTATGTGTTGTCAGTTACTGGCTTGGATAAAGTTTATGATTCCATTTGATGGCACCTCTCTTAGCATTACTGAAGCAGAAAGAGGATTTTTAAAGAGCTTGTCAATAAAAATCACATGTCTACCCAGCATTTTCCTATATGCAATATTTAACCTCTCAATTTCCTGGATATATAGCTCTGTTTCTAGTAAGTGTCTACTTAAAAGGAAAAGTGGTTCAGTTCAGTCTTAGCAGGACTCCCTTGGAGGGAAGCATTTGAGTTCACAGGAGCTCCTCATGCCATGTGTAGACACTAATCAAGGCCATCCCTAATGTCTGGGTATGTGCTTGTGATCGACAGTGTTCCCTGATGCGGAAGGTGGGAGGGCCTGGCTGTGTGAGGTGGGCTTTGTGTTCTCACACATGTATACACCTGTTGGTGCCTGCAAGGTGAGCCCTGTGACATGCAGGAAACTCCCGGGATCTGGCCAGGAATGCCGGCTCTGGACACGGTTTCTCCCCAACATGTGTTTTCATATTTGGTAAGTTTTCAAGCTTCCGTGAGTCTTTTGTTCCCATCTGAAATAAAATGGGGCTTCACCTAAAATATGGGCAAGAAAACCAGTAGTTTTCAAACATTTTACACAGCAAAGCCATTAAAAAAAAATCTCCGGAACTCTAGGAGATCAACTGAAACAAAGTGAAGCTCTCTCGGGGCCTGTGCATTTGGGCCAGGGGCAGGGAGGGATGTCCCGCCTTCCCCAGCAGCGGCCTCTGACGCATCTCCGAGGCTCAGGGCGGGTCCACGGAACCTGACTGGATAACCATCAGACCATCAGCACCATATCTCAGCTCCAAGAAGAGACAGATTTGACTAGCAGCCTCCTGTGGCCTTGATCACATTATTTCTTTCTTTCTCATGAACTGAAAACTTGTCTCTGAAGTGCTGCTCTTCTGAAATAGTTATTATTTGGAATGTGAAAAATGTTCCTCTGGATAAATGGATAAGGCAGGGGAAATGCTAGTAATTATCTTCAAATTTCACATTTTTGCGTTTATTGTGAGGACATGTATTTTAACTATCTACTGCTGCGTAAGAAAGCATCTTCAGGCTTAGTGATTAAACACGACTGCTGTATTCCTAATGGTTTTGTGAGTCGATGTGGGATGGGCTTTGCTGGGTATTTTTCTCTGTTTCAGGGGTGTCAGCCTGGGCAGCAGGACTAGTGACCCTCAGTCTCTGTCTCCCTCCACCTGCAGTCTCCTCACTGGATGAGGACCCTCAGGGGCTGGGCTTCCCATGCATGCCCGTCTCTGTGGTGGATCCACCTCTCTCTCTCTCTCTCTCTTTTTATTTTTATTTTTGAGATGGAGTCTCACACTGTCGCCTGGGCTGGAGTGCAGTGGCGCCATCTCGGCTCACTGCAAGCTCCGCCTCCCGGGTTCATGCCATTCTCCTGCCTCAGCTTCCTGAGTAGCTGGGACTACAGGCGCCCGCCCAGTTAATTTTTTGTATTTTTAGTAAAGATGGGGTTTCACTATGTTGGCCAGGCTGGTCTCAAACTCCTGACCTCGTGATCTGCCCGCCTCAGCCTCCCAAAGTGCTGGGATTACAAGGGTGAGCCACCGCGCCTGGCTAGCTTCGTCTCTTACATGGTGGCAAGCTCTAAATGGAAGCCTTCCAAGAGCCAGGAGGAGGAAGCTGCCCGGACAGCTAAGAGCTTGGTCCACAGGGGCTCAGTGTCCCCGCCCTCCAGATTCTATTGGTCAAAGCAGGTCTCCAGGCCCACTCATCCTCATGGGAGGGGAGGAGGTGGGGCAAAAGACCACACTTCTAGGTGAGGGCATGGCAGGACCTGCCACAGAGGAGGGAACGTGACGGCAGCCCTTGCTGCAGCCACATTTAGGAAATAAAATCCTCCATATTGGGAATTCTCAGTCATTCACCCCAGGAGATGCACAGATGCCAAACGCTGAGGTTGCAGAGGAGGAGGTCGAAAGCCCAGTGTCAGTGGATAGGCAG
The DNA here is from genome assembly GCF_000001405.40 of Homo sapiens. NCBI lineage: Eukaryota > Metazoa > Chordata > Mammalia > Primates > Hominidae > Homo > Homo sapiens. The sequence goes on along the minus strand of NC_000010.11, from coordinate 130,811,335 downwards.
GTGGGAGCTGGGTGAGAGGCTAAGAAAAGACCATCCACCTGCTGTCTGGGGGACACGTCCTCAGGGAAGGAGCCCCCTGCTCTCCTTGGCGAGGGCTCCCACCTTCGTGTGGCTCCCCCGGGGGCCCATGAGGCAATGGTGCCTCCACCCAACCCCCACTTGGAGGTCACCTCCCAAAAGCCTGAGAGGAGAGGCAGCCTTAGGACAGAGAACACATGCCTGCTCTTGAAAACCACAGGGGCAATGCGGTGGGCCCCACAGTGGACGGGTATGAATAGGTCATGTTAAGAGAGCTGGGCGTTGGCGGGTGGGGGTGCTGGGGAGCTTGTCTCTGCAGGTGTCACCTCCATGCACACCGCAGACGCCCTGTGCTCACTCAGAGCCAGCTCCCCTGTCATAATCGGAGTCATGAAACAGTCGCCACGCAGGAAAAGCAGCAAAAGGACCCCCCACTCCAGGATGCGCTCACGCAGGATGGGCGCACTCAGGTGCTTGCAGGAGCGCTGTGCGTGACTCACGCTGCGCAGGCGCTGCCTGCGGACAGCCTCAAATGCGATGGAGGTAGTCGGAGAGAGGTACCTGTGCCTTGCCGGGAGACGCTTTTGCCATAAAATGACCCACTGCAAGTTAAACTGAAATGTAACCTTTTTTTTTTTTTCAAGTGAAAACTAAAGGAATTTGACTCAGTTGGAACAAAGATTGGGAAAGGTCCTCATTTACATGAGCTGAATTGGGCAGCAGTGAAGGCTTCCCTCTGAAGCGCCTTCTACCCAATGGGCCTCTGGAGCTGGGGTCCGGCTTCCCCCAGCAGCACAGTAGGGCGTCCTGGCCACCTCCTCTGCACTCTCGAACTAGAGTGGTGGGCTAGGATGGGACACTGACGCTGGGCAGGGGAGATTGACAGCACTTTATTCGTCATTCTCAGCCCAGGGGGGTAGGTCCCAGCCTGCATGCAGGGCCACATGGACCAGAGGGAGCAGCCAGGGGTAGTGGGAAGCTGGCTTTGTAGTAACCAGGGGGTGCCCTTGGTTCCCGCAGCGGGGGTGTGGTTGGCTTTGTGAGTCATTCTGTGGGCGGCAGAGAACAGAAGTCCCCGACTCAGGGGTGAGCAGGAGCTGCTCCTAGTCCCTGCTGCAGGAGAGTGGATTTGCTAAGGGGCCTTTACTGTGAGAGCAGAGCTGAGAGGGGACTCAAGGTTAGGCCAGATAAGGCCCTTCTGGCATCACCAGAGGTCAAGGCAGCCTGTCCTATGAAGTCTTAATTCTAGGTCTTACACCACGAGGGCCTTTGGCTTTGACCTGGCCAAGTCCTGCAGCCTCCTCTCCGCATAGCTGCCTGACCAGTGCAGGGCCGGGCGAGGGCTGTGCTCACAGCGACGCAGGGAGGGTCGCTGGGGAGCAGCTCGGGCTTATTTTCCACGCAGCGTCCTGAAGATGAGCCTCGATAAATACAGCACAGCTCGCCCCCAGGAAGCTTGGAATAATCATTAGAAATTCATTCCACGTCACTGCTTGGGAAGAAAACAACTTCATCCCGACCCCCAGAAGCTTCTATTTGGCCTTGTAGAACATTAACAAACATAAATGTTGTGTTTTCCTCTGAAAAATACATGCTGAAGGCCATTACTTATTTAGCTTACTGTGTTATTTGAATGATTTGAAACAGAATACACTAGGAAAATAAAATATAATGCATACCCGTGCCACACACCATGTTTTCTGTTTCTTGGGCATTCTGTGCCAGACCCCTCCCACACTTATGGGGATGAGGGTGTTGATGGAATGACACGTTTATTAAGGAAATGGGACCCACGATGGTGGGACTGGCTTCCCTGCTCTGTGTGGGGACCTGTATAACACAGTGGGCCCAGGGCCTCCCGGTGAGCTGACCTCCTGCTCAATGTGCACGGCCAGCCCCAGAGATCCCAGCGGGCAGGTCCATGCTCTGGGCAGGCTGGGAGGATGAAGGAAACAGTGAGAGGAGAGCTGCCCATGGGACCGGGGACCTCAGGAGCAGTTAGCCCAAGCATCAGCCCCACCCACAGAAAGTGCTAGAGAACCTGCGGGTCCAGCCATGATCTACCACCAGCACCCCTGGGACACAGGAATGTCCTTCCCACCCTGATGTGGAATCTTCGGACGTGGGAAGGAAGCACCTTGCTGCTGCATTCAGCTGACACGATCCGCGTTTCTGAAAATACACTATGGAAATGAGGAGAAAGAAACTGGACATTTGCAAGGTGCACGCCAGAGAGAAAGACAGTTGTGTTTCAGCTCCTGGCTCTCTTATAGCAAACTCTGAAATCCGGGGTGGGCTGTCCACTGCAGAGCCCCATCCCTCGAGGCACCCTTGGTTCTGTGTGCATAATCCATTTTCTCAGGGGTGCTTTTCTTTGATTACTGCCGGAGGGAGCCAGTCACAATCCTGATCATTCAGCCCTGGAGGGCTGTGGAGGGCCTGACCTCTCCTCACAGTGCCCTCTGTCCAGGGTGGGAACCAGTGCAGGAGCCCCCGGCCTGGCCTCCATCCTCTGGAGTTGTGAGGGGCCTGGGGGTTCTAGGTTACCTCTCAGTGTCATCCCCTCCATCAGCAGAACAGACCTGGGGTCCCCTTTCCTCTCCACCTGATGAAAGGCACAGGGTGTTTTCTCCATCACACATTCTCTTTTTTTCTCTGCTGTTCTTTCCTGAGTTCAAATAAATGTATGCTCTGTTCAAAACCCTTTGGCAAGCAAGTGCCTCTCAGTGAGCTGAAAGGCCTTCCCCGAATGCCCGGTGAGTAGCCTTGGTGTGGACCAGGAGGCATGTCTGAGCTGACTCTTCCCTGTTCCCAGACATGCCCAGGAGGTGCTAAATGACTGGAGATGGGGATGACACGCAGCCCTCCTGCAGCCGGTTCCTGAGCTGCCTCCACCCTGGGTACCCCATTCCAGAGTCCCCACCCAGACCTGGGCCCAGAGCTGCTGCAAACTGGCTTTTGAGGGGCTCAAGGCTTTGAGGGCCAGAGGGCAGCAAGGGGTGAGGAAGGCCAGGTACCTGGTCACTGTGTCTGTTCACTGATGCCCAGCTCTGCCCAAGACTCACGCTGATGGAGGGGTACTGACAGTCAAGACCTAAAGGTACCATGTAGTAGTCCTTCTGGTTACACCCTTCCCATATTTCATGAAAAGTCTAGAAATTGGAAATAAAAATTCCTAGGAGTTTTGGGTGTTTGTGATACCAAGAACTACAAATTAAGAAAGACACAGAGAGCCTAGCGAGTCCATGATTTATGGGGAAGACATTCATAGGCAGTGCATCCGGCATTAGGTGAGCCAGGCAGGGCAGCCAAGTCTGGGCAGTGAGAAGCAGCCCAGGCTGGCTGTGGGCACAGGTGCCGGGCAGGGGTGCTGAGTAAACCCCTCGACTCCTACTGCGGGCCCTTGGCCTGCCTTCTCAGCTTGTCCTCTCCTCTTTGTCCACCCCTAGCCCATACCTTCCCCTCAAAAGGCCACAGACAGTGAGCTGTGGGGCACAGGAGATGAGCTGTCACACACAGAACGGATTTGCCATCCACACCCATTCTTCACTCCCGAGGGAGAAGCGTTTCCATCCATATCCGGCTTGGGAGGATCATGTAAGAACAGTTCCAGGGTTAGGAACTGAAACCTAATACCTTCATTAGCTTAAATAGCGATGAAATCACAGCCATACATGAAGCAAACCCTGGTGAGACTGTTATTAATATTTAACGTAAATGGTTTTGAAAATGTCCTAGGTACCAAGATGTGGGAAAGGAAAGTCTCTGTGCTGCGTTTGTGATATGAATAACAGGCATTCGAATGCAAGGAAAAGCCCCTGGGTGAAAGGACAGAATCCCAGGCTGAAGCTCTGTCCCCTGGCACTCCTGGCCTGGGTTGTGCTGAAGGACCTGTCCCCTCCAACATGCCCTCCCCCCTGGCCCCTTCACTTTGCTAAGACCCATTCTCCAACCTCAAAAGTACCCCAAAAGGTGGCAGCAGCCTGCTTGGGGCATGCTTTGGTGTTCCTCTGAAGAGGGAGGTGGGGAATATTTGGAAACCCAGCATCCCTGCAGCGTGGCTTTCCTGTGGAGGTGGACCCAGGGAGAGTTGGTCTGGGATGCAGGGACGTTGGCCCCGTCACAAGATTTAATGCCATACCGTCCACAAAGCACAAACTCCAAGTCAACACGGACCCCCTCTGCTTTCAAATGTGTTCATCATCCTTTCTCTCAGGAATACTTTTTTTTGATTGCTCCAAGAGGGAGCCGGTCAAAATCCTGGAAGACGTCGTTCCGGACTCCATAATCCTGAATGTTGACATTTTGAAAGATCAAGGTCCTCAACATATAATTCTGGAAAAATAATTTTTAAAAGTTTCAAGACATTTATTTACACTTTTAAAAGGAGATTTAACCAAAACATATAAAAACACAACAGAACACTTTATAGGCCACTTTACACAATAAAAGGCAAAAATAACAGACACATTTTTGCAAGTATAAAGACTCAGGTGTACTAAGGACAGCCGCATGGGTGTAACAGATACAGGCGCATGGACTGTGCTCATAAAGAAATAGGTCGAGAAGGGAGAAGTGCCGATGCATGTCACTGTGGCAGCCATTGTGCACACCCAGCTTTGTGGCCCCTCACCGACCATGGCAGCCATTGTGCACACCCAGCTTTGTGGCTGATCACCGACCGTGGCAGCCATTGTGCACATCCAGCTTTGTGGCTGCTCAGCGACCGTGGCAGCCATCATGGTGCACACCCAGCTTTGTGGCTGCTCACCGAAGTGCCAGGAACAGCCTGAGACCAAGTCCCGACTAGCATGAGACAGTCGTCCTGTGATGGGATTTCCAGGACTTCACCCCCTAGGGATTTTGATTTTTCTCAGTGTTAACATCTGGGGTTGCAGTGATTGGGATTGTGTCTTTCAGGATTAGTATCCAAACCCCTGCAAGTCCCTTGCTATCAAAAATGTATATCTGAATCTCTTTCCAAATGTGTATTTATCTTGATGACTGTGACACCACTATTTTCACAATGTATGTATGAGTCACCCTCACCAAATACCCTGCAGAATGTTTTCTCCTGAGTACAACAGCCTCTCTTCCCTTGACTCCTAAACCGTATCTGGAAGGTGGCGGGTAGAGAAGGAAACCTGGTGGACCCTAGGTTTCCTCATGTGCATGGGTGTGTGAAGAACTGAGGTGGAGGAGTCTTTTAGTTCTGGCTATTGGATGCCTCCCTTCTTGCTTTCTGAATGCAGAATTTCATTAAAAAGCTGTATCAGTGTCCTATGGTAGCCATAACAAATTCCTGCAAACCGAGTGGCTAAAAGCAACAGAAAGCTATTCTCCCACAGTTCTGGAAGCCACAAGTCTAAAATCAAGATGGCAACAGAGTTGGCTCCTTCTGGAACTATGAGGCACCACATGGTCCAGGCCCCTCCCGGCTTCCAGGAGTCGCCGCCCTCCTGGTGCTCCTTGGCTTCTGATAGCATCGCTCCTATCTCTGCTGGTGCCTCCCTGTGCCCCTTCCCTCTGGGTCTGTGTCCCGGGTCTCCACGTGGCCTTCTCTCTGTGTGTCTCTTCTCTTCTTCTAAGGACACCAGTGGCTGCAGTAAGCCCCGTCCTAATTCACTGTGACCTCATATTAACTAGTTACATCTGTGAAGACCCTGTTTCCTGAGAAGGTCACATTCTGAGGTTGTAGATAGACATGAATTTTGGGGGAACACTCTTCATCCCACTGTAACAGCAAAAGTCCTATTTCAGTAAGTTCTGTGGCAGCAGTCATGGGGAGGGGCGTGCACCCTCAATGCTCAGGGGGTTGTGTCAAGATAGCATTCCCTGAAGCCCCTGCCAAATGTGCAGATCTCCAGGTCTCTGGCCTGAAAATGCTGACTGGTAGATCTGGATGAGGGTATTGAAGAAATAGCCCAGAAAATTCTTATCTTCATGGAAGCTGGAGAAGCTATTTAGAAATCCTGTTGATTGGGGAAATCCAATCAACATCCCAGTAAATGAAACTTCTACATGGGGAGGAGAAAGTTGGAGCAGGTTTATCAGAGGAAGCTAGGTGGGCACTGAAGGCTCCCAGCCCTGTGGGTACCAGCCAGCTTGTCCGTTTTTGCCACCTGATATTCAGGAGTAGAGAGCAGCTGCAGGCAGGAAAGGCAGTGTCCGTGGAGGGGGAGCCTGGGGAGACACAGCCCCTCATCTTTCCAGGCCTGACAGAGCTCTAAGGGAGGAAGTGGAGCTGGAGGAATGGTGTCGCAGCCAGAGACCCGGGGACGCAACCTTCGGACAATTGTCAGGGTGGACCCTCCAGCCACAGAGGAAGGAGGAAGCCTACAGCCCTGGGGACAGCTCAGTTTGGGGGTCCTGATGAGAGAGGAAGAAAGCATCACCATCACCCAGAAATGTTAGGAGCAGACAGGAGTCACAAAGGGGACCCAGGAGAGCAACGCTAAGGAAGGAAAGGGGCCACCTACCCAGAGGGGAGGAGGAAGACAGTAGGTAACTGGTTCACTCCACAGTGACTTACCAAGAGCCTTTGATGGGGGGGACAGGGCTTGGCTCCTGACACAATGGCATGTTCTATGCTCCAGACACTGCGATGGGGACTTCCAACTCCACCTCAGACTCACACCAAGGCAGAGTCTGAGGCTGATTTTACAGACGGCAAAGAAACTGGGGCACTGAGAAATGTCTTCATCTGCCTGAGGTCATGAACATCATAGCCTGGGGAACTGAGATGCAAGCCCAGCTTGTCTAATGTGAGTCCCGGCTTTCTGACTCCACGGCAACACCTTGTTCTGAGAAGACTCTCAGATCTCACAGTCACCAGCCCCCACCTGCACCCCACTCCCTCCCTGGCCTCACTGTCGGGAGTATTTTTAAAATGCATCTGCCTTGTCCTGAGTCCTTTGCGACCGTATAGAGGAGATCCTTCTGGTGACTTTCTGGATCCAAAGGAGACTAAGAGCACCTGTTGTTTCTCTTGCAAGTCTACGAAAAGCAACCCAGGAGAGAACGAAGAGAGTCCAGGCTCTGGAGTGGCCTTGGGAGAGGTACTTATCTCCATGAGCCTCAAGTTTCTCACCTGTCAAATGGGCATAATAATGGCCCATCCCTCATGGAGTTTTTGTGTGAATTAAATGAATGAAAACATAGGTGGCCGGTCTCAGTGGCTCAGTCTGTAATACCAGTACTTTGGAAAGCTGAGGTGGGCGGATCACCTGAGGTCAGGACTAGCCTAGCCAACATGGCAAAAACCCATCTCTATTAAAAATTAACTAAATGCTGCATGCCTGTAGTCCCAGCTACTTAGGAGGCTAAGGCACGACTATCTCTTGAACCTGGAAGGCAGAGGTTGCAGTGAGCCGAGATCACGACACCGCACTCCAGTGTGGGCGACAGAGCGAGACTCTGTCTCAAAATAAATAAAGAGGAATAGAAAAATAAATGAATCAAAACATACAACAGTACCTAGACCAGAGATCGTCATACAGTGTTTTAATAAATGTCAGCAATTTCTATCATTCCACTCCCCTAGCCCACGTACAGGCACTTGGTTTGATTTAGTGTTTAACCTTTTTGCTCCCGTGCTAAGTCCTCTAAACTTGACTCATAACAGAATATGGGCTCTCCCATGAGGTAAGGCAGCAGCCAGTATGCCCATGACCGGGATATGACCCACTCAAGACAAGGGCAGGCATTGATACCAAATGGAAAGGCCCCTTATTCTAAAAGGAAAGCAAAATACCCTTCAGCCTTCAAGTTTTCTTTTTTCTTTTCTTTTCTTTTTCTTTCTTTTTTTTTCTTTTTTTTTGAGATGGAGTCTTGCTGTGTCGCCCAGGCTGGAGTGCACTGGCACAATCTCGGCTCACTGCAACCTCCGCCTCCCAGGTTCAAGCAATTCTGTGTCTCAGCCTCCCAAGTAGCTGGGATTACAGGTGCATGCCACCATGCCTGACTAATTTTTGTATTTTTGGTAGAGATGGGGTTTCACCATGTTGGCCAGGCTGGTCTTGAACTCCTGACCTCAGGTCATATGCCTGCCTCAGCCTCCCAAAGTGCTGGGATTACAGGCGTGAGCCACCGTGTTCAGCCAGCCTTCAAGTTTTCTAAAGACACAATTGTCTCTCCTGCTTTTCAGCCAACATGGCATATCAAGTGGGGAAAATGTGGCCACGTGCCCACTGCCCACCCCACCAGCAGTGCACACCACGGACTGAGCCACCCGCCCCACAGCCTGGCTTTCTCCTGCATTTGGGATCCTTCTTGATCCAGGACCCAGGCCTCACTACCAACTGGCTGGTTGAAGTTAACCTAGGGTTGAAATCGATTGGTTCTCCCAGTCCATAGCTTCATTGACTGGTTAAAGTTAACCTAGGGGTTGAAATCTACTGGTTCTCCCAGTCCGTAGCTTCTTTCCCCTTACCCATATTATATTTCTGAACCCATGAATATTTGAAAGGACTCCCAGGGAGGACATTAAAACACCAAGCTTACTGGGGCACAGGGACCTGGTTCTGGATTCCTGTTCTCCCGAATGGACGCCATCCGATGGCAAAGTTGACATCCAAGGGAGCAAAGTCGACTGTTCCGAAGCCCTCCATGTTTACAGATCTTAACATTGGTGAAGCAGCAAGGATGTTCTTGTTAGGAAACATCCTGAGAGCCCTCTGCTAAAATACTTTCTCAAGAAACAGAGACATCTGTGAGGCATAGCTCTTCCTGGGTGATGCGCATGTGCAGGGGCGGCAGGTGCAACCGCGCTCTCCAGGCAAACACCTGCGGGAGGCGCGGCGGATGCCCGGCCCAGTAATAAGAGGGAGCACGGAGAGGAGGCTCTGGAGAAAGAAATGCACTTCCCTTGCTGAGAGAAAATGTTTCATTATGGTATTTTCTTACGATTTCTGAGTCAATCTTGTGAGCAAATACAGGATCTACTTAGGGGTTATTTATTATAAATGAAGTAAGTGAAAATGCTCTGGAGAAGAAAGAAATATGACCACCAGGAAGAACCAGAAATTGAGCTTTCAGCAAATGCACCCATGGCTGGTGTTTCATCTGCTTCTCCCTCTATTTTCTCTTCCTCAACTGCTACTTGAACTGACATGAAGCTAATTAGATTCTGCTTTTTCAAGAGAGAAAGAGTTATTAATTTTCGTATTTAAGACTCTGCAGTCCTCGTGCCTTTACAGGGACTCTGCCTTCTCCTGTGCTGAGCAGAAGCCCTGGCTGCCATTCCCAACGGTGGACCCGGGAGCCCGGGAGACCGAGCGGGGCCAGGAAATCCCACAGGGAAAGCCCTGCCTCTGGAGACCTCACGGGGGTGGAGCCCACAGGCTGTCCGGGGACTGCGGTCCCAGGCACCCAACTCCACCCGACACACAGACACCCTGACGGCCAGCCCGGCCCAGCACGGTCTGTGCAGGGACCCTGGTGAAGGGTCCGTTACTCATTCGCTGAGGTCCCTTTTCTCACTCTGGACACGGCTGCAGCGTCTAACGCAGTGGTCATTTGGAAGAGAAAGCTGTATTTGCTCTCTGGTTCACTTGATCCTTAATGTTTACCTTTCTTTTTGTTTGGATGCATGTGCTGGGTATCATTTTTTTCCTTAATAAAATGCTTTTGTGTTTCACGATATCACATGGAAGATATTGGTCATGGATAAGTTTACTCCCTCACTCTCCTGGCTGGAAATAGGATTTTAGGAGGCTTTGCTCTGCCCCAAGCAGCAGGGCCATTGAGTCTAGTTACATATTAGGATTCAGCCATGTGGCAAGACCCTGTCTGCCCTTCCCCCATCCGGCAGCCGAGTCACCACTCTCCAAGGTCTCTGGGTAATGACGAGCTGCACGCCGGCCGCCTCAGTCCCCCACAGCCACCAGCACAGAAATCTGCACACACAGGTGCCACTTCTGCTACCAAATGAGCTGTCTTGAGGCTTGGATGCAGGCTCAGCACAACGCCGGACTCAGTTACTGTTTTACTCAATTGTTAATTGATTAATTAATTAATTCTCATGTCTTGATAGACCAGGAACATTTTTACTATTTAACAGGATTTTTGATGGTGGCAGAGAAATGGTCACTCACATCTGGACAGAGGAGTTTGTAGTCCTTCAGGCTGCCAACACCCTTATTTAGACACAAAACTTTTGCTTGACCACGTGTATATGTCTTAAATATCAGAACACATTTTAACCATACATATTTAAAAATATTTTAAAAGGGGCCGGGCTCAGTGGCTTACGCCTGTAATCCCAGCACTTTGGGAGGCCAAGGCAGGTGGATTACTTGAGGTCAGGAGTTCGAGACCAGCTTGGCCAACATGGCGAAACCCCATCTCTACTAAAAATATAAAAGTTAGCCGGGCATGGTGGCGCACACCTGTAATCCCAGCTACTCAGGAGGCTGAGGCAGGAGAATCGCTTGAACCTGGGAGGTGGAGGTTGCGTTGAGCCAAGATCAAGCCACTGTACTCCAGCCTGGGCAACAAAGCAAGACTCCGTCTCTCTCTCTCTCTCTCTCTCTCTCTCTGTCTCTCTCTGTCTATATATATATATACTAAAAGAGAGAAAGAGACTTCTATACCAATTAAATAACCTGTGTAGGAACAGAGAGATGTGGAAATAGCTTGCTGGCGTGTACAGGCCTTCCCACCACAATAGTCCCTGAGTCCTCACAAACATTAAGCTTCCAGTCCTTCCTAAAACCTTACCAACAAATATGTCCGATCCCGTTCACTCCGCGTGCGTCCTGAGATAATCAGGTTTTCATTTGGTTCACTTACAGAGTTTCACAGGCCCACTGCCAAGCCGCATGCACTTCCGGTGCAGCAGGGCCCCTCTGAATTGTTTTCACCTCCTGAGCCATGCCGGGTGCCCAGAACTTCTCATCCCACCAGGCCCTTTCATCGTCTCATGCGGCAGAGACAGGGTGTCATCTGGGTGCAGCTTCTCTGCAAATGAATTTGAGGGGGTCTAACGGATATAACAGCTGGTAATCCTCATGTGAAATGAGGCAGGGGAAGCCCTCATCTGTTTGGAGGTCATGCACCTGGGAGAGGCTCTCCAGGCCGATTTGGAGCCATCAGCCCTGAGGGCCCAGTGGCCTATCTTCCCAGGCACTCCTGTTCTCTCCAGAGGAGTGGCTCTAAGCCAGTGTCTAAGGTCTTCTCCAAGCATCTGCGGATTTGTCCTCAGGGGCAGGCTGCCGTCTGAAGGCGAATGGCTCTAAGCCAGTGTCTAAGGTCTTCTCCAAGCATCTGTGGATTTGTCCTCAGGGGCAGGCTGCTGTCTGAAGGCCGGACTGCCATGGAATTTGCCCACAGCACATGTATGGAGCGTTTATTTTTGTGAACTGTCAATCAGCTGAGAATTCAATTCATGCTTGTGTAAACAGAAGGACTCTGTTCTTATAGCCTTTCCCACCATCTCTAGGAAATGGGCCTTTTCTCCACAGCTCAGCAGTTGCGTATTTCAGTCTGGAAACTCGAGGGAAGATCAGATCTCAGGGCTGTGGTTTCTCACCAGCGGCGAAGCCCACAGTTCTCCAAACAGCAGCGCTGCCCATTTCCCCCTGCGGTATGGGCCTTGTGCACTTCAATTGCATAAAATAAGTGGTCTGTTGGCAAATAGAATACAAAACCTCAAGACCCATTTCCCATTTTCTTTTCTTTTTTTTTTTTTTTTTTTTTTTTTTTTGAGACAGGGTCTCACTGTCACCTAGGCTGGATTGCAGTGGTGCCATCAAAGCTCACTGCAGTCTCAACATCCTGGGCTCAAACAATCCTATACCTTAGCCTCCTGAGTAGCTGGGACCACAGGCACACATCACCACACCAGGCTAACGCTTGTACTTTTTGTAGATACAGGGTCTCAATATGTTGCTCAAGCTGGTCTTGTACTCCTGGGCTCAAGCAATCCGTTCACCTAGACCTCCCAAAGTGCTGGGATTACAGGCATGAGCCACTGCGCTGGCCAAGATCCATTTTCAAGGGAAAATGAAGGCCAAGAGTCTGGGAGCTCTGCAGGTGTCCTGACCGTTGCCCACCCTTGTCAAGGACTTTGGAGCCAGCATCCTCTGGCTTCCCATCTAGGTCCCGCTAAATTTCTGTGTCCTACCAGACCCTGTCCCCATCACTCCTGTTGCTTCTCAAGTTGCCTTTTTCTATCCTGGTGAATGTTCTCACCTGCTTGTCACCCACCTCCCCACACAGGTACATAGGAGTGCTATGAGCACTGTCCAACACCGTCTCCTCACTCAGGACCAGTGGGCCAACATGCAGCAGGCACTAAACACAGACTACATGTCGTATTATATAAAATTGAGATTAAGAGCGATTATTATATTTTATAGAATGATAATTGATATGTAATATGTATATAGGGACAATTCACTCACTCATTCAAGAATATATATGTGCATATTTTACTACAGCTATTGTTTATTTTTGCCAAGTGATAATGGTTTTCTTTTTTTTTTCTTTTTTTTTTTTTTTGAGATGGAGTCTCACTCTGTCGCCCATGCTGGAGTGCAGTGGCACGATCTCGGCTCACTGCAAGCTCCACCTCCCGGGTTTATGCCATTCTCCTGCCTCAGCCTCCCAAGTAGCTGGGACTACAGGTGCCTGCCCCCACACCTGGCTAATATTTTGTATTTTTAGCAGAGACAGGGTTTCACCGTGTTAGCCAGGATGGTCTCGACCTCCTGACATCGTGATCCGCCCACCTCGGCCTCCCAAAGTGCTGAGATTAGAGGCGTGAGCCACTGTGCCATGTGATAATGGATTTCTATATAAGGTATTGATGTACATTTCACTATATACTATGTTTACATGAACAGATAACTGATTTATAGGAAAATATTAGGTACATTCTAATCTAGGAGCTCCTTGGCTGTAGAGAATATTGTGGTGGCGGCTGGTATTCTGTAATCTTGTGTCTACCCCTCCCTTCTGAGAAGCCATTGATTGAGATCTCGCTGAGGCCCCTGCAAGTCCTCTGAGGCAAACACCCTTTAGATTAAATATTAAAGAAAGTTGAGAAGGAGGGAGAAGAGAAGCCTGGGACATGACTCCTCCCCAAAAGCACCTTCCCTTTCAAAAAGCAATGGGCAAGTGGAAGTTCTGGATGCTCTTGTGAATAGATTGCACCAACTGCATAATGTGAATAAAATCGGGACTATGTAGGTCGGAGGGTATCCCTGTCCTGCCCAGCCTCCCTGGGAGTGAAGGCGCGCTGGGCTGAATGCCCAGGCTCTGCACCAGCATTCCCATTGCTGGGAAGGCCCCTCGCTCTCGCTCATCAGGACCGTGGCGTGTCTGGAGTGCCCGGAGTCGCCAGGCTTCGGGAAAGCACCAAGGCTGGCACTCACGGATTGCTGATGTGCTATTATGACAGGCACCGACTCACCTAAACTCACAGCAGTCCTGCAGAGTAGGTGTTATTATTCGCACAGATGAAGAAACCAAGACACAGGAGGTGAGCTTGCTGAGGATTTAGAGCCACAAAATGCTGGAGCCAGGGTTTAAACTGGCCAAGCACACGTAAGCACCACGTGATGAAGCCTGGAGCTCATGTGTGCAGATATCCGTGTGACAAGCATGCTGCGGGCAACATGGTCAGCTTTTATCTTCACAAAGCGCCTCCTAAAATAGCCTCAGCGGGCTTCCTGAGAGGAGGGTTGCATACAGGTGTTTCTCAATCTCATGATGCCCTTCTCCAAGGCTCCAAACAGTTGCAGGGCAAGGGAAGCCCCGGCCTCCTTTCCACCTTGCTCCTGATTCTTCCAAGAGAAAAGGAGCAATTTTCCTAAGTCCTCAGAGTCCAGGAGATGCCTCTGCTCATGTTTCGGGTGGAAGCCACTGTGTGTCCAAATGTCCCACGTGCAGCCATCCTTTTGTCACCTCCTTGGACTAAGCCCTGGAACTGAGACCTCAAACCCAGCTGTCTTTCTTTGCCATCCCACACTGTTGCCCCGTCCCACCCCCAGATTTCTCCCTAGTGCCCTGAAGCACAAACCTCAGCTCAAATTGTGGTGGGGGCAGCATGGAGTCACACACCCCAACTCAACTTCCTCAAAGAGTTCAGTGTGACTATTTCACCCCAGACCCACAACAAACTGGAGGCTCCTTTTTCCATGATCACGGCCCCAGGTTGTGGAATTCCCTCAGGAACCCCCCAGGGATGAGCGAGCCCAGGATGCCAGGAGCATATGAGCTGCCTGAGCCCCCAACCAAATGCCATCCGACAGCCCTCAGCCGCTTTTACCTCCAACAACACTCGTGGTCCATTCACAGCTGACGGAGCCAACATGGAGATGGCATCTTACAACATCATTGTTTCTGTTCTACAAATGCCTTAAAAGAAGGCAGCAAGCAGATATCCCAGCGAACGGCAGCAGAGTTGCAAATTCAATCAGAGTTTAAACCTGAACTACTCCCAGAGGAAGAAGAAGACCTGAGGTTACAACCTCATGAATGATGCTCAGAAAGCTGGGGCTGCTGGATAGTACCTGGTTCCCCAGGTATCCAGGCTGAAAATGGCCCACCCTGCACCAGCAATCAGACACGATCTGCAGATGAAAAAACCCCAGACAGGGTGGAAGGGCCCCGTGGCGCCATATTCCAACCCACGGTTAGCATCTTACCCAATGTGCAGCGGTGCCTCCTGCTACTTTCTTTGAACACGTGGGACCCATGCTGGAGGCTGGAGGCAAAGGCCAGGGCTGCCCTGTTTGAGCACCCCCTTGAGAGGATGCAGAGTGTCATGATTGGAAGGGTCGGCCGCTCTGAGGAGGACAGGAGAACTAAGGAGCAGAGTTGGGGTGGGGGATCCTCAAGGCTTTCCTGCACCCCTACTGCGGGAGGAGAGGCCTTAGGTTAGAAGCCTGAGCTTCCATTGCAGAGTGTAAGAACAGGCAGACACAAGCAGGGCCCTGGGTGCTGGCACCTGGGTTTTCTGATGGGAAGAGCCTGCTCAGCCATGTCCAGAAAGCACTGGGCAAGACCAGTGTTTTACTGGTTAACATCTCACAACAAGCTAGGGTGCAGACGCGGAAGGCTGACTTCCAGCCTTTGCCAATTCCTGTGGTGTGTATTCATCCCACCACTCCAGGCTACAGATATGAAGTCTCTGCAGGGGAAGAGGTGCACGTCGGTGCTTGGGAGCCTGGGCAAGCGGGCTCAGGAACACCACCGGGCACACCCCATCCTTGCTCTCCCTGGTGTAGAACTAGGCAGCCTGCCACCCTCCTCCAGCGGCCTCTGCTGACACAGCATCCATGAGTCCCAAGCCGCTGTGATGTCCCCTGCAGACTGGTGCTTTCAGCACAATCACGTTCCATCTCCCCTGGCAGCCCTGAGTCATCTGTTTCCTCTTGGAATGTTTGCAGATGAGTTGCAAGAAGCAGTTGCAGAGCTCCAACAGGTTCCTCTTCAATAAATCCATCCACGTGCGCTTACAGCACTTCTATTTTCCCGGCCCCAGTGACTTGCGAAGTGAACCCAGACTCGTGTTTCTCCTGCCTGACCTCACTTCCATCCAGTTCCACAAACCTCCGTCCTGCCAGCCCCTCATCACAGGCTTGTCACCTGGCCGTGGGTCTGAGTGGAGTGTGATGACACCCAGCTGTCCCCGTGGGCAGGTGCTGCCCTAGACACGGAGCAATGCAGGAGATACAGGGCTACCAGGGAGTGCCAGGCGCCCAGAGTCTGTATCTGGAAAACTGACTGACTGAATGGTTTATATGTCCAGGCTACTGAGGAGGGAGGTCTTTTTACTGAATCACTGCAGGTATCCAGGGAGTGGCCTGGGAGGATGGTGAGGGCAGCCCAAGAATTGAGGGGAAAGTGGACAAAGCAATTCAGGGGAGTCTGTCTTGCCTTTCCACTCATGCAGTTTATAGAAGCTTTAAGAATTGATGAGTTCGTATTGTTCTTAAATAGTGCATGCAAATGGTGAGTGTCCAGACAGATCCGCAGTATGTTCCTGCCTCCCGTCCTGTGCTCATCAGCCCCCTGGCAATGCCCTCCCCCAGGGCCCTTTCTGCAAGAAAGATATGCACTCACCTCCAGGCTGCTGGTGAACCTAGTGTATTTTTCTACTTACCACCCAGAGCAGCAACGGATATTTCAAGGAGTGTTGTTTAGTGTCCTTGGTTATGGTTTTGTTTTGTTCTAAAAGCTTCAGCTATTTTCTTTTATAAAAGTAAGATTTATTTATTATAGGAAATGTACAAAATACCAAACCTTGGAAACGTCTATATTTCTACAAATGAATCAGTGTGGGTTCCTGGGAACAGCATGGATTGGGGGATCCGGTGAAGCTGGTGTGAATGCCATCTTCCCAGCAACCATGCAACCTCTGCGAGCTACCTCACCTCCCCATAAAACAGGTGCAGTATTGTTTCAAAGTTGGCGTGCAGGTCAAATATCCTGCACCATCCTGTGCACCTGCAAGACGCTGAGCACACGGGCACCTTAGCCTCTGCCCCGAGGCATCCATATCTCCCGCCAGATGGAGAGACCTTGAAACTAGTGATGGTAGTGTGCCACAGTTAACTTTGGTGTCAACTTGGCCCATGGAGTGGCCAGATATTTTTTCAAAAAATTTTCTGGGTGTGTCTGTGAGGGTGTTTCTGGGTGAGATCAACACGTGAGTCTGCAGACCCAGTCAAGCAGAGGGTCCTCCGTCATGTGGGTGGGCCTCACCGGTCAGCTAATGGCCTAAACAGAGTCAAACCTGACTGAGAAAGAATGCCTTCTCTTTGCTCTTTTTGGACTGGGACCTGGGTCTTCTCCTGCCTTTGAATTCAGACTTGGACTAAAACTTAAACCATCACCTCTCTTGGGTCCCCAGCTCACTAACAGCAGATCTTGGGACTCGTTGGCCTCCATAATAACATGAGTCAGCTCCTTATGGTGAGTCTCTCAGTTCCCTCACTACACGCATTCACAAACACACACACATACACACACACAGACACACACACACACATACACATATTTCCTATTGGTTCTGTTTCCCTGGAGAACCTAGACTAATCCATCACGCTTTCTGTGTCCAGCGTGACAACATTGGCATGGAGTTTTGAATCACTGGATGAATTAGCAAATGAATAGGAATAAGGAAAAACTCAATGTGGGTTTTAAAGACCATACGGGCAGGCTCACCAAGGTGAAGATGTTTTGGGAAGAGACCTCAGAGAGCATGAGCTTCAAGCCCAGGAGGAAATGGAGCAGGTGTCAGCAGCAGCATCTTGGGCTCAGTGGAGCAGGTGGCAGGTGAGAGGGGCAGATAAGAGGTGGGGGAGGGAGAGCGATGCAACCAACGTTTCTGAGCTTCCAAAGATGCTGATATTTTGATGTAAGATTTAAAAGAATGGTTGGGTTTGGGAACTGGACAGTGGGGATGGTTCCACAGTACCGTGAGTGTACTTCAGGTGGAACTGGGCAGTAGGGATGGTTCGACAGTACCATGAGTGTGCCTAAGGTGGAACTGGAGAGTGGGGATGTTTCCACAGTACCAGGAGTGTACTTCAGGTGGAACTGGACAGTGGGGATGTTTCCACAGAATCGTGAGTGTACTGAAGGTCACTGAATTATGCATGTTAAAATGGCTAAAAAGCAAATATTATGTTTGTGTATTTTACTATAATTTAAGTAAAGAATGGTTGAAAAATGAGTTAAAGGTTTGTATGCAATACAATATTTAGACTATTAAAGAATTTAGGAAAGTCATGTCTGCACTTGGGAAGTGGGGGAGTCGTGACACACTTTCCAATCTTCCGCTGGCCTGTGAATGGCTTCATGTTCTTCTGGCTGTTTTACTGCACTCACAACAGCTGGAGGGCAGTGCATGGGTTGTGCCCAGTGGTTCAGGTGCTGACACGCGGGTCTGCCCAGGATCGGTGCATGGGAAGAAAACATATCCTCCAGGTCTAGTTCCTCTGGAATCAGCAAGGATCCCATGGAATGAGGTTTGTTGTGGATTCCCAGGAGAACTCTGAATAGCACTGGGGACCTCAGGTGCACCCATGGGAGCTGCGGCAGCCATCACAGGCCACATGGCCTCTTGCCCTCTCGCCAGCACAGTGACACACAGAGCCTGCACTGCAGACTGTGCAGGGGAGACGGGATGGGGGCTCCCAGCTGGACCTGGAACAGAAGACCCCATCCTGTCTCCCCCAGCCGGCTTCCTTGTGTCATTTGACACCACGTATGGCTCAGAGTTGGTGGAAGAATGAGGTGACCTACATCAGCCCAGGAGGAGGGTTGCTTGCCGGCCAGGAGAGTGCAGACAGATGTGAAGTGACAAACGCCACCCTTGATAGATGAGGAGATGCATTGGTGAAATGAGAGGGGTGAACTCTAAATGTAAAGTATCAATCATTAGGTTCAGGCTGCAGAGACACACGGAAGGTGCTGAGCTTGACGGCATTCTACGACCCAGAGGCACGCTCCCCAGGGATTGCTGCCGGGCACTCTGACTCCAGGTCCCTGGGGACGAGAAAGCTCTAAGTGGGACCTGCTGTTCACACTCCCCTCCCTCTCCTGAAACCTGCTCAGCCCAGACCCTGCCTCCTACAGGAGCCTGGCCGGAGCACCCTTTGTGGACTCCCCATGGGACCCCTCATGGGCCATTCCGCACCCTTCACTCAGGCCCTGGAGCCTTCCCTTCGCGGCTCCCACAGAGCAAAGCAGCAAAGCCAAGCTCCCCAGACCACCTGACCTGCAGGTGAGCGCAAATCCACTCCGCAAAGTGAGCAGGGCTGCGTACAACCACACCTCTCTTGGGGCCTTTTCTCCAATCCTCCGGGAGACTACAGCATTTGGCCTCAAATCCGCAGGGTGGCATGGTAAGACTCAGCACCTTTAAAGAGTCCTGCTAAGAATAGCAGCGGTGCCAACCAGCAGTCTCCCTGGAAACCTGGACCAAGAGGAGCAAGGGAAGGAGGGTCACTGAACAGAGGATGCAAGACCACAGTGGGACGAGGCATGGGGGGACGCTCTCACTTGGGTACAGGGCCCATGTGGAGACACTGGCCAGCTGGATGAGGGGTGCAGGGCAGGCAGGGAGGGAAGAAGGGAGGGAGGCTGCTGCCGAGGGTGACAGGAACTGAGGCCTGGGGCCAGCCCAGGGGAAGGGAGGACTTGAGATTGTCCTTGGAAACACAGGGGCTCTGGGAGGGGGTGGGCCAAGCCTCATTGGAGCCCTAGGTTCCTGGGGTTGTTCCAGCATCCACCTCCCCCGGCCACCTAGGCAGGGACTGAAGCAGCCATGGTCTACAGACCCCACTGGCCTTCTGGCCCCTGAACTGGGTGATGGGGGCTCGGGGCCCTGGGAGCACAGCGAATAAGGCAGCCAGGGGAGCAGAGGACAGCGGAGGGCAGGAGGGGCTGACGGGCGGGCGGGGTACGCAGGACAGAAGTGCACACATGTGTGGGTGCAGCATGCACATACGAGTGTGAGTGTGTTTGTAATGTGTGTGCCTTATGAGTACAGGACATAGGGAGTATTTATGTGTATGTATATATGCATATGCAGGTGTGTACGCCTGACATACATGAGGCATATGGAGATGTATATGGGTGTGTGTGTGAGTGTGACTGTGTGGGGATTGTGTGGTGGGGGTGTGTAGTGTGTGTGAGTGTGTGAATGTGTATATTTTTGAGGTGGGTGTGTATCTGTATGTGTGGGGTGTGTGTGGTGGGGGTGTACGTGCTTGTGTGGTGTGGTGGGGGAATGTGTGATAGGTGTGTATGTTTGTGTGTTGTGTGAAGTGGGAGTGTGTGTTATGTGTTGGGAGGAGTGTGTGGTGCATATGTACATGTGGTGTGTGGTGGGTGTGTATGTTTTTGGTGTGTGTGGGGAGCGTGTGGTAGGTTTGTAGGTTTGTGTGTGTGGTATGTGAGGGGAGTGTGTGGTGAATGTGGGTGAGTGTGTGGTGGGTGTTTGTGTGTGGTTTGTGTGTGTGGTGTATGTGACTGTGTATGTGTGGTATATGTGGTGGGGGTCTATACGTGTGGTGTGGGGGGGATGTGTGGTGTGAGTGGGGTGGAATTTGTGGTGGGTGTGTAGTGTGTGGTGTGTGTGGGGTGTGTGAGTGTGTGTGTATATGTGGGTTTTGTGATGGGGGAGATTCTGTGTGTGAGTGTGTGTGTATGTGTGGCTAGTGTGTTGGGAGTGTGTGTGTGAATGTGTAAGTGTGGGTAGAGTGTGGTGGGAGTGTCTGAGTGTGGGGTGTGTGTATTGGGTGTGTATGTTTGTGTTGTGTGGGGGTGGTGTGTATGTGGTGTGTGTGTGTGGGTAGAGTGTGTTGGGATTGTCTGTGAGTGTGTGTGGGGAGTGTGTGGTGGTTGTGTATGTGTCGTGCATGTGCTGTGTATGTGGTCTGTGAGTGTGTATGCATGGGTTGTGTGTGGTGGGGGAGTCTTGTGTGTGTGTGGGTAGAGCGTGGTAAGAGTGTCTGTGTGTGTATGTGTGGGTTGAGTGTGGTGGGAGTGTCTGTGAGTGTGTGGAGTGTGTATGTGTGGGTAGAGTGTGGTGGGACTGTCTGTGTGGGGGGGAGTGTGTGGTGCGTGTGTGTCTGTTGTGTGTGTGTGGTGTGTATGCGGTGTGTGTGTGTGGATTCAGTGTGGTGGGAGTGTCTGTGTGTGGGGGAAGTGTGTATTGGATGTGTATGTTTGTGTTGTGTGTGGGTGTGTATGTGGTGTATGAGTGTGTGTGTGGGTAGAGTGTGGTGGGAGTGTCTGTGTGTGTGGGGGTGAGTGTGGTGGGTGTGTATGTTTGTGGTGTGTGCTGTGTATGTGGTCTATGAGTGTTTATGCATGGGTTGTGTGTGGTGGGAGTGTCTGTGTGTGTATGTGTGGGTAGTGTGAGTGTGAGTGTGTATGTGTGGGTTGAGGGTGGTGGGAGTGTCTGTGTGTGAGTGTGTGAGTTTGTATGTGTGGGTTGAGGGTGATGGGAGTGTCTGTGTGTGAGTGTGTGAGTTTGTATGTGTGGGTTGAGGGTGGTGGGAGTGTCTGTGTGTGAGTGTGTGAGTTTGTATGTGTGGGTTGAGGGTGGTGGGAGTGTCTGTGTGTGAGTGTGTGAGTTTGTATGTGTGGGTTGAGTGTGGTGGGAGTGTCTGTGAGTGTGCCTGTGTGTGTGAGGGGGTGTGTGGTCGGCGTGTATGTTTGTGTTGTGATGTGTGTCTGTGTGTATGTGGTGTGTGGGTTGAGTGTGGTGGGAGTGTCTGTGTGTGAGTGTGTGAGTGTGTATGTATGGGTTGAGTGTGGTGGGGGTGTCTGTGTGTGGAGTGTGCGTTCTGTAATTGCACACTGGCGTTTACTGAACACAGCCCTGTCACACCAGGCCCTGGGCTGAGTGCCTTGCGCCTGTACCTTCCTCACACTCACACTTTGCTCAACATGAGAAGGGCCGCCCGCCGCAGCTGGGGGACCTAAGCCGGACAGAGGGGAGCCTTGGATTGAATCGGGCTCCGACTCTAACTAGCTCTGCAAAATTTCAAGCAATGGCAGCTACAACAGGAAGTGACATTTAAATAAATAAATACAGCCCACTAAATGGAAACCCAGTGAGGCCCAGCCCAGCCTCCCCATAGCTGCATCCCAGCCATGCCTGCAGGACGCCACAGTCTTCCACCCTGAGGGGAAGTAGGACCCACGGAAGGTCAAAGTGGAAAGAAACAACTCAGCAAATTGCAGCTTAGAGATATTTCGGAAACATCCCAAAACATGTGACCCCACGAACACACTGCCAGCCCCTCCCAGGCTTTGGGTGGCTAGGGACCTGGGAGGCCTTGAGAGCTTCAGGTTCATGGGTTATTCTGGCTTCCAGCGGGCAGTGTGGATATCCGTGCAGTGTGGACAGTTTCCACACTGGGCCCTTGCTGGGATGGGCAGCTTCCTCCTCATCCCTCCTGTCCAGGAGCCTAAGGTTCGGAAAAGTCAGGGTAGGGTCTGGACGTGGCTCATCGGAGGAACTTGGCTGCTCTGAAACCTTCTCCGAGGGTGGAAACAGAGCTTGGCCGTGAGTGCCCTGGGGCTGCTGTGGGAGAGTACCACGAACTGGGGGGCCCAGGACAGCAGAAAGAGATCCGCTCCCATTCAGGAGGCCAGGAGTCTGAAATCGAGGCAACAGTGGGGCGGTGCATCCTCTGAAGGCCCCACCAGAGAATGCTCCCCTGCTCCCCTGCTCCCCTGCTCCCCTGCTCCCCTGCTCCCCTGCTCCCCTGCTCCCCCTGCTCCCCTGCTCCTCCTGCTCCCCTGCTCCCCTGCTCCCCTGCTCCCCTGCTCCCCTGCTCCCCTGCTTCCCCTGCTCCCCTGCTCCCCTGCTTCCCCTGCTCCCCTGCTCGCCTGCTCCCCTGCTCGCCTGCTCCCGGCAATCTTCAGCATTCCTTAGCTTGCAGCTGCATCACCCCAGTCTCTGCCTCCTCGTCTCCTGGCTTCTCTCCTGTGTGTCTCTCTCCTCGTAAGGACACCAACCCCTAATCCGTTGTGGCCGCATCTTAACTTCATTCCCTCTGCAAAGACCTCCCATCTAAACCAGGTTGTATTCACAGGTACCAGGGATAGGTCTTTGACACATCTCCCAGTGGAACCCAGCGTGGAGGAATTTGGACTGAGTCAAAGTCCTACCAGTCAGAAGGGACCATCACTGTCAGCTCAGGGGGCCTGAGACTTCTCCCCTACATACAGACTGAGACTCCTCCCCACATACAGACTGAGACTCCTCCCCACATACAGACTGAGACTCCTCCCCACATACAGACTGAGACTCCTCCCCACATACAGACTGAGACTCCTCCCCACATACAGACTGAGACTCCTCCCCACATACAAACTGAGCCCTCCCCACATACAGAGACTTCTCCCCCACATGTAGACTGAGACTTCTCCCCACATACAGACTGAGACTTCTCCCCACACAGATTGAGCGCTGCAAGGCTTGTGATGCTCAAAAGGTCTGAAAACATCATCGCTGTTTTCACTTTTCCTTTTGTCTCAGTAACGGCACAGGTACAGACAGTGGCTCAGCCAAGAAGGCACCTGGGCTCAGAGGGAGTACGACCCGGGACTCCCTAAGAGAGAAAGCAGAAACACAGGTGCAAGCAGAGGGACCCTCCAACCTGGAGAATCCCTGGTAGGTGGTGCATCCCTATTGTCTCTGGAGGAGGCTGCAAGTTCCTGGCCCCTAACCCTCGCTGACCCCAGTGCTGTGTTTAGGGGTCTAAAGACGGGCATTGCCAGCAGAATTACAGCTCCCGCCTGTGTGCCTGGAGGAATGCAGTAAGTGCAGCCTTTTCTGAGTAAGCACAGTCTTGCTTTTGCAGACCTGTGCTCCCTGCCATGTGCAGGAGCTGGGCTTGTGAGAGGAGCAAAGTGAGGGCAAAGAGAATGGCTGAAGCTCT
Organism: Homo sapiens; assembly: GCF_000001405.40. NCBI lineage: Eukaryota > Metazoa > Chordata > Mammalia > Primates > Hominidae > Homo > Homo sapiens. Next base: position 130,787,900 of record NC_000010.11, on the reverse strand, counting down.
TGACTTCAGCAAAGTCAAGAGTGATCCTGTCCCAGAACCCCAGAGCCTGCCTTCAGGGGGGAGGTGGGCAGGGCGGGGAGAGAGAAAGGGAACATGCAGCAGTTCATCAACGTCTGTCCCCTAGACGACCTTGTCAGGGCCACCTCTAGAGCCCTGTGGATGGGACTTCAGCCCATCCACAGCCTTAGAATAAAATCAACTGGATACCTGAGAAATCAGAGGTGAATTTAGACCTTGGCTCAGTGATTATATATATATATGTCTGCATGTAATCATAATATCCAGAGCGTGGGGGTAGGGGCAGGACAAGACATGCATTTCTTGAGAAATGAAGTGGTCTTTTGAAGCCTTAAGAAGATCATGGCATTATCTTGCAGAGTAAAATCCGTATCCAGGAGAGCAAGAACAAATCAAAACAGCCCTGCTCAATCTGCTCTGGAAGTGAATTGAGCAACTGCCAGGCACGTGGTGTCCCAACTGATCTAGATAAAAATCAATTTTGTTATTTCTCATTCTGCAAAACTGGAATTAAGCCTGGGCAGAAAGAATATCTCCATTTCCAATTCAGCAGAAAGCTTTTTCCTTTTTAAATAACTACAGGCTTACTCTTTGTCCAGTCCCTTCCTTCAGCCCCCTAATAATAACAGATAATTATTTTTTTCGGAGGCTAACAAAAGACGGCTTTGAAATTTGAAGGGAAGCGTTCATAATATTTAAAAATTGTTTTTTAGAGAATGAAACTGCCTTCCATGCATTTCTTGAGGATAGAAGCAAGTCGAGGACCAGCAGCCTTTCGAGGGACCCTTTCCCTGAGGCTCCTTTTCAAGAGACCCTTTTCCCTGAGGCAGCCGCAGTCGGGCTCTAGAGGTGGCCCTGACAAGGTCGTCTAGGGGACAGACATTGATGACGGCTGCATGTTCCCTTTCTCTTTCCCTTCCCTGCCCACCTCCCTCCTGAAGGCAGGCTCTGGGGTTCTGGGACAGGATCGCATTCCCCAGGCAGAGAGGACTCTTCTTGGGCCCTGCTGAAACCTGAAAGCCTGGGAGGGCACATCCTGTCCCAGACTGGGAGGCCGTACAGATCTTCGGTAGTTCTGTGCCTCGGGGTCCCGAGTGGGAACAAACTCGGCCCTCCAAGGGGACACTGGGGAGCCTCAAATGCGGAGTCTGTAGGGAGAGCCACAGCAGGGTCCAGGCAGTTCAGATGGGATGGGAAGCCCCCGGCCGGCAATGCCACAGAGCCTTCCCAGCCCTCGGCCTGCAGGGGCCCAGGCAGGTGCAGCTGAGCAGAACCCAGGTGAATCAAGCAGAGAGCTGCCCAGCGGAGAGCGACCACTGCCTCCCCAAGCTGCTGAGGCCACGCACAGGGAGCGGGGGGGGGGGGAGGGGCTCCGGGCTCCTTCGGGTTCCCTGCCCAGCCGCTGGCAGCCGGGACACTGGCCAGAGCAGTCCTGCCAGATCCAGGCTCCCACAGCACCCCACAGGGCAGCGCAGGTGGGAAGCAAGTGGATGGTCTCCAACTTCGAAGCCATCCCAGCAAGCCCGCGGGAGAGAACCGTGCCCATAGAGGTCTCAACAGGTTGTCCTGTGTGTCCACAGCCTCAATAGGAAGAGATTCTAGATGTATTTTGTGCTCACTGACGTGTGTTTGACATTTCTCAACAACCCGTTTATTTAGAAACATCAATAAATGAATGTGTAATTGGAAATGTTTTGGCAGGGCCTCCACATTCTTCAGCCTTGACGAGTGATCCTTCATCGCTAGTGACGGCTCTCTGCCTGCATCAGAGTTCAGCAGGTGAGTCTGTCCCCACCATCTCTGGCTTGTGCGGCAGGGAGGGTTGGCCCGTGGCTGTCCTGCCTTAGGCACGGGGGCCACAGGGGCTGGTGGGGGTCAGGAGAATAATCATTTGGGAGCCATCGAGTAACTGAACAGTCACTGAATCGCCAGTTCAGTAAGAGATGAGTGGAGAAACCCAAGTCCCTGGAGGAGAGACACTGCGTGGACCTCGCCTAGCTAACGGGCACGGAAGTCCCTGGAGGAGAGACACTGCGTGGACCTCGCCTAGCTAACGGGCACGGAAGCCCCTGGAGGAGAGACACTGCGTGGACCTCGCCTAGCTAACGGGCACGGAAGTCCCTGGAGGAGAGACACTGCGTGGACCTCGCCTAGCTAACGGGCACGGAAGCCCCTGGAGGAGAGACACTGCGTGGACCTCGCCTAGCTAACGGGCACGGAAGCCCCTGGAGGAGAGACACTGCGTGGACCTCGCCTAGCTAACGGGCACGGAAGCCCCTGGAGGAGAGACACTGCGTGGACCTCGCCTAGCTAACGGGCACGGAAGCCCCTGGAGGAGAGACACTGCGTGGACCTCGCCTAGCTAACGGGCACGGAAGTCCCTGGAGGAGAGACACTGCGTGGACCTCGCCTAGCTAACGGGTACGGAAGCCCCTGGAGGAGAGACACTGCGTGGACCTCACCTAGCTAACAGGCACAGAAGCCATGTCTGGGACTAGGAGAGTGAACTCAGCTCCAAAGGACAACTGGGAATTGCTTCGGGAGAAAGGAGGGTGGAAGTGTGTTCCAGGCAGTGGAACAGCCTGCAGGAAGGCCAGAGCTGGAAGGGAGCATGGCTCAGAAACAGGATATGGCTGGTGTCGGAGGGGCTATCTCATGATGAATGGGGAAAGGGCAGGAGAGAAGGGGTCACTGTAGACACAGAGGGTCTGTGCTGATCCCTGTCCTATATCTTCAGGGTGTTGGGAGTCCGTGAAGGGTCACAGCTGGCGGTGGTGAGATCCACAAGTTTCAGGGAGAATTCACCTGCAGTGTAGGTATCAGGTAGATCAAGGCAGTGGGGGCGCCGGGAGCAGGTAGAGGAGGCAGGTATTCAGGCCAGAGAGGCTGAGCTGGGCGGGCGGGCCGCAAAGGCCAAGAGGGAAGAAGGTGAGGCTTAGAAGGAAGCAGAGTGTCTTCAGAAGACGTCCTGTGGACGGGCACCTGTGTGCCTGCCACTCCTCTCTGTGCGCCTTGCCGGAGCTGGCATCCTTGGGTCATTTGAGTGCCGTTTCTTCATCTCACCCCTTCATGTGAAGAACAGCCATGAATGCACCCTCATCTGCAATCACCCACCAGCATGCAAGGTGCGCACAGGCCCAGAGCTGTGGTCTCCTCATCCGCAATCACCCACCAACGTGCAAGGTGCGCACAGGCCCAGAGCTGTGGTCTCCTCATCCGCAATCACCCACCAACGTGCAAGGTGCGCACAGGCCCAGAGCTGTGGTCTCTTCCTTACAGGCAGAGTCGGCTCCCCAGGGCCCGCCTGGTGCTGGAAGCTCAGTGGGCTCAAGCTTCATGCCTGCTGAGCGGGACAGGGCAGCCTTCCCTGGCTCCTGCTGCTGGGAGCTCCCTCACTGCTGAACATGAACCCAAAGGCTGTGGCCTGTTTCTCATCCTGCCCCCGTCTTCCTTTTGTGGAGAAATTGCTCAGGAGCAAATGGAAAGCTGCTGCCTTTGGAACTCGAGGCTTCCCAGGAGACACAGCAGCCTGAGTCCTACTCCAGCGGCCTGTCCTAATAAGAAGAGATTTGAACACAGAGACACACAGGGACAGTGCCATGTGATGGCTGCAGCGATGTCTACAAGTCACGGAACTTCAGGGATCGCCGGCTACCACCAGAAACTAGGGGAGAGGCATGGAACAGATTCTTCCTGTGAGTTTTGGGAGGAACCAACCCTGCCCACACCTTAATTTTAAAAGTCTGGCCTCCAGAACTGTGATAGAATATGTTTTTGTTGCTTTTAGCTACTCAGTTTGTGGTACCTGGTTGTGGCAGCTCAAATAAACTGACACCCAGCCTTTATTGCAGACGGGGAAAGGGGCACCGGGTAAAGGGCCGTCCAGACCGCAGCCCTGGCGAAGGGGATGCCCATCTTCCTTCTGTGGAGGACAGAGGAGATAAAAGAGCTTGTTCGGTTGGAAGTACCTTATTTCTATGTGCAGAGACTGATGTGAATTCACAAATGGCATCAATGTGCCTAGATATTAGGGTACAAGAGTTCTTCGAGCTCACAAGGACCTCAGAGGTCCTGAGTCTGCTGTGCATTTGGATGTGAAGTTTGGGATGTTTGCCCCCACCAGCACCCCCTCACACAGATGCCCCGGTGGACACCCCAGCAGACCCTCCCTCGGCCCCTTCTGCAAGGCGGGACTTTTCATGCTAAAGGGGGTGGGTTCCTGACATGTCCCAATTCCAGAGTAAAACGAAGCCCCGCATCTCCCGTGGAGCGTAAACACATCAGGATATTTATGTCTTATATTCCTGCTGGGAAAATCTCTTCAGAATGCTGAAACCTAGAGTCACTGGCCAAAGAGAGCTGGTTGTTAATTGGTGGGGAGTTGGGAGCTGTGTCACCCACAGCCTGGGGACGGAGCTGGACATCCCTTCCCCAGCTCCCTGTCTTGCTCTCTCTCTATCTCCAGGCATAGAGAAAGCTGACAGGCAAGTCTCTTTCCACTGATAGCTGGAATTTGGCATTGATGGTGTGAGCTCTCTGCAATCAGCTTAGAATTGCATGGTGCTGCGATGGAAAATGGGGTTGACGCTGAGGCCGAAATACCGCTGTGCTCAAAGTGAGTTGGGTTGTACTTGAAGAGATCTCATCATAGAAGCTTATTGTGTAACTTATTTTTGGGAAAAAGAAATCCCTGTAGGCCCACCTGTGGGTGTTATGAGGTTCCTGAACGAGAGAGGCTTTGAAAGGAATCCATGCCCCTGGGATGGAGGTGCCCAATTTCAGAGAGAGCAGACGTGAACGGGAGCCAGAGACGCTTTAGAATCTGCTTGAGAAAGATCATCTGCATTCATTTCATGCATGCTCCAAGAATGTGAGTAAAGCTTAGAGTCTTCTAAAAGAGTGGAATCAAACAAGATATGTGGAACTAAACATCTGTGTTTGCCACTCATTTTCCATTTACCCGGCTAGAGCCGCTCTCTGCCCTATCTGCCCTTCCCTGTGCCTGTGGATGGGCCGATGCAGTCAGAGGCCTTCTGACCCCACTGGATGTAACCAAAGGCGCAGGGGCGGGGGGCAGCAGGGAGGGTCCTAGCGGGGAGAAGAGCACAGTCAGGGCATAGGATTCACAGGCTCGTTCCCTGAAGGGTGTCTCAAGCTGGCGTGTCCCTCAGCCAAATGCCCATCTCCTCTCGCTGTAGCCCTCCCCCTGCTGGTCTCTCTGCCAGCTTCAAGCAAGGCCTCATCTCCACCTCCCAGTCCCACCTCCGGCTTCAGGGAACCAACGCCACACTGACACTAGCACCCGGACCCCACCCTGTCCCTTATGGCCTCTCTCATACATCGTCTCCTCACTTGCACTCCCTGAGCTGCCCTTGCAAGTGAGCCACGGCTTCCTGCAGGGCCCTGGCACACCAAGCCCCTCACAGTCACCGCTACTGATCTTTCCACTTGAGAGCCAGTGATACCGTGACTTTGTGTGGGTCTTTGAAGAAACTGTCCTGCTAAGTAAGTATCTGCTAACTCTTAAGCCACATAACATGCTAGTCTTTGTATCAACCCTATTGGGGTTTGTTTTTCTGTTGTGTTCTAGATAGCTACACCCCCCACCAAAATCATTTCATTATTATCAGCTGAGTCATGTCTAAAAAAATGTCAAGTTATGGAGACTTCATAGAGAAGGGAGGGGGTTTCAAGTTCCACAGCACTCTATGGCTGGAGAGCAATTGTAGGGGCATTTGAAGAGGTCCTGCAGGCTGTGAAAGGGTTGGCCAAGGGGAAGGATTGGAGAGAAGCTGTCTATGACACAACATCTAGGCAGTAGGTCGCCTTATGTGAAAGTTATGTGAGGCTGCCTGTCATTTCTTAAATATTTCAAAGCACAATAGACTCTAGGCAAAAAAGAAAACGTGCAATGCAGGCCCACACACTCATTCATTCATTCAGCAAATCATCATTGAATCCTATGCGCATGCCTGGCAATGTTCTGGGTGCTGGATCACAGTGAGTGACACCGGCATCACTCTCCGCCCTCTAGATACTCACAGTGCAGGGTGGTGTCATCCAGGAAGCAGGCGACAGAGCTGTGTGGCCGGCTCCACAGAGGACAAGGATGAGGTAGGATGCACACTTGTGATGGGGTGTTCCATGGTCAGGAAGATCAGGGAAGGCTTCCAGGAGGAAGTGGCATCTGAGCTGAGGACTGCAAAACTGTAGGAGTGCACCAGGCAGAAAGGGCAGGGGAGCGGGATCCCAGACAGAAAGAAAGATGGTGTTAAGGAGACAGGGGAAAGGGCCAAAGATGCGGGGCAAATGGATGTGGAGGGATGTGGGACAACCTGGGGTGAATTGTCAGGGAGGGTTATACTAAATAATTCTGCTTTATCTCCGGGACAAGGGAAATCACTAACGGACCTTAGTGCCTTAGGGACAGTCAGAGATTTGCATTCTTGTGAGATCACCCTGGCTGAGACCAGAGCAGAAGCAGGCGGCTCTGGAAATAGGGAGGAGGATTGCACGCAGGCAGAAACACACATGCACACACACACATGCACTCGTGCACACAGAAACACACATGCACACACACATACTCATGCACACAGCTACACATGCACACACATATGCACTTGTACACACAGATACATGCACACACACGCACTCATGCACACAGCTACGCATGCACACACATCAGCACACATGAACACATCACACAGGTATGCACATATCACTTATTTATGCACACACAGAGACAAACATACATACATGCACACACTAGTTCTAATAACACAGGCAATGTCACGGTTCTTGTGTGGTAGCTCCTCGGATCTCCTTGGTTTAGGCAACTCTTACAGTATCTGCCAGGAGGAGGTGGTTGCATAAAATCACTTTAAGTGAAGCTGGCCAGAGCCTGGATGAGACGTGCGCCGTGGGTCGCTCTGGGTCACTCCCCAGCCCTTGAGAGTGTCTGCATTTGACTCTCTCGTGATGAGCCAGGAAACGGCCCCATGAGCAGCTGTCTTGCTTCCTCAGTTAATTCTCCATCAGATATTTCTGGAAGGAGTGAACAAAGCTTCCTATCATAGCCTACATTCCAGGATGAAAAATTGCAGTGATCGGCCTTATCTTTCATGCTTTAACCTTCATTATGTCAAATGTTTTCTTATCATAGAAATTGAATAACTTCAATCCAGCACTGGGGTCATATTCCCCATAAGTAAAAACTAAAAGTACTCTCTGCCATCAGCATGCGCCGCAGGACTTTGGGCCGTCTCAACCTAAGGGACACGTGTGGATCTCAGGAGCGGGAAGAGCATGCTGTTTTCAAGCCTAAACCCACCCTTACACTCAAATGTAAAAGTTAAAAAAAAAATTCCTATTAATCTGCTGCCTCATGGGAACAGAACAACCCTCCTTTGTAGAAAACAGAAGACCGAATGCTCAGTACACAAAGTATGTGAGCAGCAGCGAATCTGTACAGGGCTGCAGTCTCCATTCTCACCTCAAAGGAAAGAATTCGTCCGAGGGGAATAAGGCAGAGTGAGAGACTGAGGCAAGTTTAGGGCAGGAGTGACTAACTTAGCACCTCTTGGTGCCGTTGAGTCATAGACAATGTGTCTGCAATCCTAAAAGAATAAATTAAACATAATTTGGCCAAGTTTATCTTTTTTTTTCCCTAGAGATAAGGGGAAGCAGTTTGCCTTGTGCCTCGAAGATAATAGAATTAGCTGCTCTGTCCTCCCGGGGCGGTGGTCTGGCCCTCTGTCCTCCTAGGGGCCTGGCCATAGCAGTGTGATCCTGGAGAGCCCTAAGGACCTCCCACCAGTGGATGCCTTGGGGAAGGAAGGGGAAGTGGAGTGTCATGGTAGGACAACAGCCCCATCACCTCCGTGTCCCAATGCAGAACCCACCAGTGCCCGTGGAGCAGAGTCACCCATGACGGCAAGCAGCGTGACCACAGGGGTGACCACCGGGGTGACCACCGACACCACAGCCCCAGATGCAAGCCCAATTCTGGCCTCTATGCTTTGGGCCTTGTAGGGAATAATATACACTTTTGGGTGAGCATTGTTCCCATTTTATTGATGAGAAAAGTGAGGCTCCCTGGACACTTTGTGCTCTCCTGGTTTTCCAGGCCCGTAGCTCACACTGTCTCTGATCTTCACAGCCACTGTTCAAGACAGATACAAATCATTTCCCAGGTGGGCATTTTCACCGGACTTGAAAATGTTCATTGTGGGGATTTAAGTGACTCCAGTTCCCTGAGACTGTGTCTGCTGCAACTGATTGGCCTGAAGAAGCTGGAAGGGGAGCGGAAGGAAGCAGAATACGTCCCAGTGGCTATGGAGACCCCTGTAAACCCACCCGAAGGTGGGAGCCAGTTGGAAGCCAGGCTGCAGGGTTCTCAGGGCACCCTCAGCCCAAGGACCACGGGGCCCACGGCTGGTGTTTAGACTCTTTCCAACCAGCGCCCTGGGTCACTCGTGTGCATGCATGGAAGTGTGCATGTATCTGCACACGTACGTGTGTGTCCATGCATGTAGGAGAGTGCCCATTAGCTCACTGAACCACACTGCAGGTGCACAGCCCCACAGGCAAGCTGGCTACACTTTCCACACTGGCAATCCGGAGCTCCAGTGCTCAGATATGTCTGCCGCCTGCAGAGGGAAGCTTGGTGACTCCAGAGCCCTGCTTGGCTCACAGGAGTGGTGACAGCAGTGATACTGGCCACCAAATCCAGCCCCACTTATAGAGGAATCTCAGCTTGAAGGCCTCTCATGGGGGTGGCGAGGGAGGCTTCAGACCATGTCCAGGAGCCATGGCTATGTGGCAAGACCACCAGGACCCCCCAACCCCAGGAAATGAACTAAGACCTTCTTTGGGCATCCCAGCAATGGTGGTAGGAGGATTAGGATAGGGACAAGGGGAGCAGGCCAGGGATTGATGCCCATGCATGCAGATGTTACCGTTACCAGCATTAATAGGACCAAGAGACTGGTGACGACAGACACATCTGTGCTGGCTCACATCACATACATGAAGAAACGGAGGGCAGCAGAGATCAGGTGACATGGTAGGCACCTTCAGCTCCTGGATTCAAACCCACCTTCATCCAACCACACAGCTGGGCTTTCAGCTTTTCAGCCAGATAGAAAAGAGCTGAGCTCTGCATGCAGTTCCTTCTTGCACGTTTGCCCAGCTGAGCAGTCTCCTGGGTCTTAGCATGCATGAAAAACATGGCCAAGTCTCTAAGTACCATAAGTTTACAATTTCAAAGATGTGAGGGTAATCATAGAAAACTTTTCAGCAATCTAAGTCCCCACCCCTTTCCAAGCACATTTGAGAGACCAGATACAGCTCCTGACCTCCCAGGTCTGAGTGACACACGGCTCCTTGGTTTTGGATGCCATTCCTGCCCCCACCTGGCCTCCCCACAGTCCTCTCTGAGGCCCGACACTCTTGGATGCTCCTGAAGCCTGCAGAGTGAGGCCGTGCTGTGGTGCCAGCACTGTCAGCCTGACTCTGGCTCTCAGTGTTGTCCTGCACAGGCTCTCCCCAGGGCTGCTTCATGCTGCACACTCCAGGCCCCTCTGAGAGGTTTCGATCCCGTGGGCTGGCGGGCCCAGGAATCTGCATTTTACCATGGAGTGATTCCGCAGCCATCATCTTTGGAGATCACAGCTCACTGTGGAAAGCTGTAATCACATGATGCTGTGTGTATCAGCCCTAGAATTGAAGGCTGTGGAGATCCCGGCCTTGACCATCGCATTTGCCCCCCAGCCTCTGCAGACCTCTGCCCCGCAGCCCAAGATGCTGGGGCATCCCTGACCTTCCTCTTGGATGGTCCAACTGAGAGCCGCTCCAGGTAGAGATTCCCGCGACCCCTGCCGCACCCCATGCAGATCCTGCCACCCAACAGGGAGGGGCCGGGGTCACCTCACCCCAGCTCATCTGATAAAGCAAAATTGCAGGTTTCCCGCCTGGATATCGCTGGGAGCCATCCACTGTGTCCCTGCCTTTCGGGAGGGAACCAGAGCTCTGGGAAGTGTGGGTACTCTGCCTTTGCCAGGAAGGTTTTGCTCATTTGGGCAGGTGAAGCCAAATTGTCCTGGGTTCTACGTGAGGCCCGCCTTCTGAAAATATTTCCGGGCCTGCCCAGGAGCATGTTTCCCAGCAGTGAATCTGGGTTTCTGGAATAAGCCCCATAAGAGCTACAGAAAAAGAGCTCCAGGGATGCACCTGCCCCAGGCCTGCCAGACCCCTTGCTTCCCTCCCAACCAACTAGTTCACCAGCCCTGGGTGACCCCTCCAATATCCCTTGGGATCAAACGGGATCCTACCATGGCTAGCCCTAAGTCTGGGCCCAGCTTCCCTTTGGTTCTGTGTAGACAGAAAGCTTAGGGTGCACTCAGGGAAGATGGCCTTTGGGCCACACAGGCCTGGCCCTGAGCTGACTGGTGCAGAGCCTGGCACAGGTGGCATTTGGTAAACCCTGGCTGTACACCCTTTTCATTGCTGCACATGGCTTGGGGAAGCCCAGGCTCCTCCAGTCTGCCCTGAGTGCTGACATCTTGCCTTAGAGAGGCCTTCCTCCAATGCTGTGGCAAAAGCAACCACACAGACTGTACCTAAAGTCAAACATTGCTGCAGGTGACCAATCCCCTCCACATGTTTTCAATCCAGGTATCGTTTACCACGTGTTTGTTTACTGACCCAGGGATTAGATGGAATCACTTAGGAAAAATGTTTAGAAGGAGAAGATACAATTTAGTGCAAATCAGTCCTGTGATCAGCGGCCACCTTCCTTATTCTCTCCCTAAATTCTAGGTTCAGATTCCATTTCCTGATCGTCCCCCACTCATGCTGAAATGTAGCTTTAATGTGACGGGAGCAGGAGAGCTGTGAGGGAGACACGTGCTGGAGTGAGCCTGCGGGGCGCCTCTGTAAGGGGGTGGAATTTTTCAGCTGAATGGAAATGTGCTGGAATTCACGATTCCTTCCCAGTGATCACCAGGCAATTTCTAGCAAGCTACACTGCAGAACGCAACTGGGCTTGATGGGGTTCCTGTGGAATTAGAAATCCGTGAGAGCTGCATTGACTATTGAAGCAGCATAGCTCATATCTGCCTTTAGTCACGCACAGTATTAGTTCAGCAGCTGTTGATAACATAATGATGCCCATAAATATGGTAAAGTTGGCATAAAACAGTGTGCAGTTGTCGTCGAAGTGTAGTGGTCAAAGCCAGTTACCTGTAAACCTTCTGGGGCTTGTTTGCATCCATCACCCATGTGCTGGGAGGAAGAGTGTCCCCCAAAATCCATGTACATCTAGCGCCTCAGAATGTGAACTTTAACTGAGAAGAAGCTCTTTTCCGAAGCTATTAGTTAAGATGAAGTCACACCGAACTAGGAGAGGCTGTAAGTCCAATAACGTGTGTCTTTATAAGAAGACGAGAGGAACACACAGGGAAAAAGCCATGTGACAACAAAGGCAGAAAGTGAAGGGACACGCCTGTAAGCCAAGGACCCCAGCAACAATGAGGGGCTAGAAGAGGCGAGGAGTCATCCTCCCCTAGAGCCTTCGGGGGAAGCGCAGCCCTGTAGACATCTTAACTTTGGACTTCTGGACTCTGAAAGAGTGATAGAGAAACTTTCATTGTTCTAAGCCACCCGGTGCTTGGTCATTGGTCCTGGCAGCCCAGGAAGCTGACACACCCAGCCAGAGAGGTTTGTCCTACTCTGAGGGCTGGTGGACGAGGTCCTCCTCCAAGGATCAGTGTGGTCATTGGCCTGCATAGAGCAGGATCCTGTTTAGGATAACGTCTTTTCCCTTTGCCACATTCTTCTATATTTTAACAGGTGTCATGTGGAAATATACCTGATTGTGTTGATTTTTTAAAGGTTTATAAATAGTTTACTGTCTTCCCAATGTGGGCAAACAGAAAAGGCTAGAATCACTTATGATCACCGATAAACAAATATGGGTTATTTGGGGGCTCGTGACGTTTACAGCTGAAGAAGAAAAAAACTGTGAAGTGCTGGATGGCTCCAGGGTGAAGAGGACCTGTCTGAGAGTTGGGGTGCAAGTAGCTTTCCTACTTGCAGAGAAATATTTGGGGAGATGCAGGGGCAACACGATATCCCTGGAAGGAAAATTCCATGATGAGCCAGGACCTTGGTTGGATGCTGTGTGTTCACTCAGGGCCACAGGATGAAGGGATCAGGGCATCTAGTGGATGGGGCACCTGGGCTCTCAGCAGAGCCAGACCCCTGCCTGGCCAGGAGACTTCCACCAACTTTGACATTCCAAGGTCAATGCCAGGGAGCAGGTCTCCTGGCCTCATGTCCCTGAACTCAGTGCCAAGCCTCACTCTCTGAGGGACATCTAGAAAGCATGTTCCCATGAAGGTGGCCTCGGGTGGCCACACCAAGGGCCTAGTACATAATGTCAGGGGCTTCTCATAGGAAGCCCAGCAAACCCCAAAATGTGCAAGTTCACACTTGTGATATATGCAGGGTCAGATAAGACTTTTAGCCCCCATCCCCAGTGCACTTTTTTTAAAAAGCAAAACAAAGAAACTTTTGAAACTTTAAGATCAAAGCTCTGATTTGGTGCTTGCTTTCCATTGGACACAGGAGCCTCGAGCCCAGTTCTACAGGAAGGTCGGTGGTGCAGGTGCAGCTGCAGCTGCCCAGGTCAGGGATGGGTCTGGAGGGCCTGGGGAGCAGGTGGCACCCCTGGAAGGTAAGAATCACAGTGCCCTGAGTTCTCTCTGTGTCCTGGGGTGCCAGTTCTCACGGCCTCTGCGCTAAGCCCATGGTGCTGTACCTGGGCAGGGCTGCTGTTCTCTGGCCTGTGGGTGCTGGCTGCAGGTGGGCTGGGCATAGACCTGGTGCTCGCCAGGATGGAGGCCCATCAGGAAGCATACAGGCTTGTTGAACTCATGGGGTGAAAAAAGTGACAGGTGTCAGGCTAAGCCCTGGGCAGGGTGTTGATTTTCAAAGATGTGCGCATGTCCAAGCACAAGGCAGCCCAGACCCGCCCACTCACCGAAAAATGGGTGTTTGTGGTACCTGTCTTCCCTTCCTAACAGGCCACTGGATTAATCATCCAAGGACCATGTTGTTTTGGCTGAAAGGGATTTTGCCCTGGCGTTTTGCTCTTAAATTAGGCTAACTTTTTATTCCTACCTAATCATGCTGAGCCTTGTACAGAAAGCAAGTTGCAAAGAGGCTCACATGTACACGTGACCAGGGGCCCGTCTCCCACGTGGGATCACAAAAACTCAATGCCCAATTATTCTCTGATGCTTTTAGAAATGATTTGATGGATTCAGAGCTAGAAAGTGTTTGCTCTCTCCCCTTGGGATGGCAGCCTTTCTGATATTAGCCAAAATGGGAAAAAAGAAGGATGGCGTGGCTTATGTCCCCTTGCTGCAATTTCTACTACCATCAAGGAATTTGTTACCACTATTGGAAGAATTATGAAGATGCTCAAGAAAATAAGCTGTTAAGAAGAGGCATTTAGGTATAATAAAATGGAAGGCAGTGCTTCTTCTTGCCAGAGGAATTATGCAGAGGGACATAAAATGCGATATTATAGCTGGAACGTTCTCGCTAACATTTCCTGCTCAGTGATGACATGAGGACGGACAGAAAGGAGCAGAAAAACAAGCTGAGGATGGACTCGACTACAGCCTGAAATTTTTCAAGGGACAATGGGCCTCCCTTCACCCTTGCCTGAACTCTGAGGAGGACTCTCATTGTCACTCAGGAGCAGCTGGTGAACACTGTGGAGCAGCGGCTGCATTGGCAGAATTGTTAGGAAACTCTGTGTCGCCTATGTTTGTTCTTTTCTCTATAAACCTGGAATCAGTAAGCATTCCAGGACCATCTTTCTATTGGTTTTGGGGGAGACGGGTTAAAACAATGAGCCCAAAGAACTTCCTGAACCCAGGAGGAAGAGGTTGCAGTGAGCCGGGATCACGCCACTGCACTCTAGCCTGGGCGACAGAGATTCCTTCTCAAAAACAAAAAACAAAAACAAACAAACAAACAGACAAAAAACAATGAGCCCAAATTAGCTCACTAAGTGTGCGCTTTCAATTAAAATAACCCTTGGGAATCCACGTAGGAAGTGCGAATAAGGGAGAGGGCTGGCTGGTCAGCCAGGAATGGATTTTAGCAAGCCAGGTTCTAGTTGACTTTGCTTTTTCATCTTTCAGCATTTGCTAATTTTGTCAAAAGCCTCTCTTCTTTGGATAGGATTAGACCCAGTGGCAATGACTGACCAGAGACAGCTGCCCTGGGTCATGGCCCGGGGACCCAGAGCAGGTCTGCCCAGCAGAGGTCGGAGCACCAGCCTCTACGGTAAGGCAGTTTTCACTGCACTCACTCAATTAATCAAATCAGCTCAATCCATACGTGCACTTCTTAAAATATATGAATTGATCCTACGTGTTGTAAGCAAACACAGACACATCCAGCTCCTTATTTACTTAGCCCTGATTTAAATAATGATGTGCTTTTTTGCTGACATCTTCTCACAATTCAGCTTTGTTTTTTTTCTTTTGTCCAAGAAATGTCTCTAGAGGTAAACGGATGTGAATTCATCTCACATTTTCAGCATGGATTCTTTTTATTTCTTGCTTTAAAAAAAAAGACAAAAACAATGAACCGTGCACTGTAAATAAGGAGAAATGAAATCCACTTTTTTCATGATGATAATGCTTAAACCTATTTCCCTAGACGAAGCTTTTATGCTAATACACAAGCCCCATTATGAATACATTTCTCATATTTTATGCATATGAGTAAGCTCAGTTACACAAGAAATGCAACAAACACAAACAGGAGTGAAGAAAACAAAGACAAGAAAGAGGAGCTGCAGGAGGTGCCACCCTGTGTCATCGTCACCAAATGGAGAGACGTCAGGGCACCAGCTAGGGCAGGGGCTGCCTCCACGGGGGTGGGTGGGAGCAGGCCATACCCTTCTACCTACCCCCTCAAGCCTCACACTGGGACCTTCCCACCTTCCCTCCGCTGCTCTGCAGCAGGACTGAAATGACCTCAAGTGGCATTTACCAAGGCACCTGCCTGACCTCTCATTCTGCCACTTCTGATATCCTGCTGTGGTCTCCACTGGGAAGAGCCAGCCTGGGGCAAGAGGGCGAAGGAGCTTGGTCCCTGGCACAGAACCAGAAAGGACAAGGAGCAGGAGATTCAGATGGGCAAAGGGAGCAGCATGTCCTCCAGGAGCCTGTTCATCTTTTCAGCCTAGGCCATCCTCTGAGAACCCATAAAAGTATCTTAACCAGGCCCCTGTGGCCCTGCAGGTTCTTGGAGCATCCTGGGCTTCACCGTCAGCACCTGCTGTGTGGGCTGAGCACAGGGGCTGGTGCTGCATTCTCTACCAAGGCCCTGGATGGTCCTGCAGGGCTTCTCTGAACTTTCCTTTCTATCCAGAGATCCCAGGAAGAATCCCAGCCTCACAGCTCACTAGAGATTGCTGATGCCTTTGAAAGAATGAAGGGTCCCCTATACCCCCGAGAAACCAGGGAGCCTTTGGTGCCAGCACTTTGCTAAAACTGCTTTGCTGTGGCCCTCCAAGGAAGGCTGAATGGCAGTGGGACCCCGCCAGCATCTGGCCACATCTGGAAATGAAGTGAGTATGGAGGAGATGAAGCCAGAGAGATGACAATGTGTGTTTGGAAAGTACATGTTATCCGAGTATCTGTGACACCACCCTACCTGCCTTGATCCTGTCTTCCCAACTCCACGGGTGTTTAGGATAAACTCAGAGGGCTTTTCTCTTCTGTTTCCGACCAAGGACAATGCATCTTTGAAAATGGGTTTGGAGTTCTGAAGTCCTGTTTTGAAATCCAGGGAAATTCCCTCTCTTCAACTCAGCAGCCCCTGTCATGTGACTGGTCATTCTGCCACAACTCGGCGCGGCTTTGTGTTGCGTATTTAATAATTGCTGAGCATGGGGCTTCTCAGTGTCAATCACCTGAGGAAGAAAACAGCTGCTGGGGAATTAGTGTGGCTCAGGGAACAGATCCGTAATTAGACTTAACACTCTCCATCAGCTCGGAAACCTAGTAAATCCCACAGGACTCACCACAAAGGACTGTGGAGTCCACGGTGAGTGAGCCCACTGTGACTGCAGCTGACGTGCCCTGGGGAAGAGGAGGCAAGGCGTGCAAGGGGCCTAAAGGGCACAGCTTCCTCCACAGGCGTCTGGAGCCTGGCTCCACTCGGGATGCTGTGTCGGCCTATGAGGTTGCAGGGCTGAATGCACAGACTGTCCTAGAGGGCTGCCAGCTTATCCGGGGAGGCAAAGAGATAGGCTGGTAGTTGCTATGCAAGGCTGCTAGGATGCAGGTCAGCAGGGCAAGCAGAGGCCACAAGCCATATTCCAAGTGCTTAGAAGGTAAAAGTCAGGCTAAAAAATTGCTAATATAATACGTTCATCTTCTGACCCTGGCAAATACACTTCACAGGACACCATTGAAAACCATGTGAATCTATTATTTGGATAGTACTGAAAGTTGGCAAAATATCAAAGATGATAAAATTAATCATCATTGCATGTGTCTGAATTCTGTGCTGATTGCCTGGTGAAATCTGAGTAATAAAATGAAGACACAAATTCCATAAAACAAAATCTATCAAACCATTTTGTTTGCTTTCATTTCAGCAAAATGTCTAATTATGATGTAATTAAGGAGCATTTTAGAGCTTGCATTTTTCTTTAGAACTTGTATATTTGACAGTAATGTTACATAGAATTAAAAATAAAATTCACTGGCATTCAAAAAAACTTGAACATTTATCAAAAATTGAAATAAATATAAAATTTCAAAAAGTATAATTATTTTATACATTGCAAAACTTTTTTCTAAAATAGTCAAATATCTGTTAACATCAGAACACAAAATAGAAATTATAATTAAGAAATATGAAACTATTACAAATAAATTATTAAAATAAATCTGAATTTTACATTCATCATTTTGAATTTTTAGGTCAATTATATCAGATAACTTTATATACAATAAAACATATCACAAGTTCATTACTCAGCATCCATCCAGTTGACCAGATAAAGAACTGATATCGTGCTTCATTCAGACCCCTTCTCCAACTATACAGATTTAAATTTAAGAGCTTTAGGGAAGATTTAGTATGGAAGAACATTGCTCAGTCACACCGTCTCAAACAGCGGCAAGTTTTGTGCAAATTCACGGGCATCTGCAGGGGGAGGTCTGTGACACAGCTGGAGAGGGGTATTGTGGTTGGCAAGAGGTGCCTGCAGTCCTGTGCTCCCGAGGAATTCTTGGCAAGCTCCCCACATGGTCTAGCCTCTTCCCTGAGTCCTCTTCCATGGCTGCGATCCTCTGTGCCTGGAGGAGCCAGGAGCAGGGGTGTCCTGGGTGTGGGGGCCTTGGACTCCTTTGCTGTGTCCTGCAGACAGTCCCCCTGTGAGAAGAGCCCAGGGCAGGCGACAGGGCTTAGGATACGGGAGAGAGAACCCACCAGTCTGAAGGGATGAAGCAGAGAGGAAGCCAGAAGAGGGCGGGGAGCAGGGGGGCAGGAGAGAGGAGTGCTCTGAGAGAGGGCCAGGCGAGGGGCCCTGCCAGCAGGAGCGTCCCCAGAGCTGCAGCCCAGCGTGGGGTGTGGGGCGTTGGGAAACGAGGCCAGCCAGGGTCGCAGGGCCACCTGCTCCTAGGAACTCAAATGTCCCCAAGAAGGTTTGGGGCCCTCATCACAGGAGAGAGTGGAGTGTTGAAGGCCTCTGGGTACATCAGCTGCAGGACGGTGCAGAAGCCTGTGGGCGGCTCCTTACAGGTTGGATGTCCTGGCACATCCTCTGGTCTCCATTAGGTCCTGTCTGCTTCCTCCCTCCTCTGTCCCCTTCATGTCCGTTGTCCTCACCTCACCCCTCTCACCCTTCATGTCCTCTTCTTGTCCTTTTAAATTATCAGGAGCAAGAGACAAGGATTCGTCACTGCTCACACTCCCCTCAGCAGCCTCACCCTGGCTCTGCCTCTGCCAGAGTGGGGTTCCCCAGCCGAGACACGTGCCCTGCACCTCCAAGGGCAGCCTCACTCCTGAGCAAGCTTGACCTCTGCTTGGCGGCTCAGCCCAAGTATGTGTCTCAGCTTTGGGGCCCTCAGTCTCCACAGCAAACCCCAAGTTCTCAAACCCACTGACCTCCTCCTCTCATAGACCACCCCCCCCAACTACACTCACAGGGAAGTTATTGGGGGCTCAGCCCTCAGCCCACTGTCAGCAGAGGGGATGGACACCCTGTCCCCCTTTCAACTCAGGATGCCATCAGGGCCAGCAGCGTCTGCTCACACATGGGGATCCTCAAAGGGCTTCAGTGCTGGAAAATCACAACTGAGAGATGAAGGGAGGCTACACTGATGTGCTGAGGGAAGCAGCCAGGGGTGGCTGGGCAGGGTGCAGGTGGCTGGAAGAGGCACCCGAACTTCTTCCCCAACGCTGTGATGCCCAGGGCCCCTGCCCTCACCCCATGAGGAGAGCTCCTATGAGGCAGAGTGGGGCGCACTTCGCAATTCATGGGGTGTGTCTGCAGACTGGTACATGATAGGCTTAAGTTTTAAAATCATTCCATTTTCATTTTACTTTTGGTTGGATAATCCCAGTTTTTGAAAGCTGCTTTTAGCCATTCCAAGAATTTAGTTGAAGTGGATGGATTCCCCTCCCAGCCTGTCTAGAGAGCCCCCATGCAGGTAGAGTAACCTAGGAACTATCACATTCCTCTCGTCGGCATTCCCTCTGTGCACCCAGGTCCCCTCCACTATGAAGGGGACCCAGCTCTGTCCTGCCAAGGGGGCCTGTGATGATTGCGTTAACTGCACAAATTGCTTGTAAAGCATGTGTGTTTGAACAACATGAAATCTGGGCACCTTAAGAACAGGATAACAGCGATTTTCAGGGAACAAGGGAGATAACCTTAAAGTCTGGCTGCCTGTGGGCCAGGCAGGACAGAGCCATATTTCTCTTATTACTGAAAATGGGTAAAAGAAATATTGCTGAATTCTTTCCCCAATAAGGAATATTAATAATTAACAGCCCTGGGAAAAGAATGCATTCCCGGGGGGGGCCTCTAAAATGGCCGCTCTGGGACTGTCTGCCTTATGCAGTTACAGATAAGGGATGAAACATGCCCTGGCCTCCTGCAGTGCCCCCAGGCTTGCTAGGATTAGGAAATTCCAGCCTGGCGAATTCTAGTCAGACCCGTCGTCTGCTCTTGAACCCAGTTAAGATGTTTATCAATGACAATGCGTGCACAGCGGGACATGGAAGTTCATTAGTAATTCTAGTTTCACTCTGACCTTGTGATCTTGCCCTGACCTTCTGCCTTGTGATCTTTTGTCACCCTTGGAGCATGTGATCTCTGTGACCCACACCCTATTCGTACACTCCCTCCCCTTTGAAAATCACTAATAAAAACTTGCTGGTTTTGTGGCTCAGGGGGCATCACGGAACCTGCCAACATGTGATGTCTACCCCGGACACCCAGCTTTAAAATTTTTCTCTTTTGTACTCTTTCCCTTTATTTCTCAGACTGGCCAACACTTAGGGAAAATAGAAAAGAACCTACGTTGAATTATCAGGGGTGGTTCC
Source organism: Homo sapiens (assembly GCF_000001405.40). Lineage (NCBI taxonomy): Eukaryota > Metazoa > Chordata > Mammalia > Primates > Hominidae > Homo > Homo sapiens. The sequence continues at coordinate 130,768,229 of NC_000010.11, read as the reverse complement.
CCCAGTACCCAAGCCCATGACCTTCCAAGGGGGAGGCTGGGCTGGAGACTAGATGCAGCTGAGTAAGAGACGTGAGCAGCCTCTCCTGCCCTGGCACTGTGATCCAGGGGTAGAGCTGGGGCCAGAGAGCAAGTGCCTGGCATGGGTACATCTGGCTTGAGCAGGCTTCTGAGGTGGACATAGGCATGGCTGGGAAAGGCAGAGTTGATGCCTTCATGCCCAGCTCCTCCCAGTCAAGGTGGCCTCAGCACATCCCCCAGAGTGCCCAGGAAAAAGTCCATGTAATCATGGAGCGCAGCTTCCCTGTCCCACGACTCTGGGACCCCAATACTTAGTGTGTCCTGACCCTCAACAGCAGCCCATGCACCTTTGTTTTAATGCAGAATCTGGGGCTGGCCCAGCTCCCAGGCAAGGTGTACACACAGCAGTGTCTGGCCATGCTCTCCAATACTGCTGAAGAGTCCCCCCCACCCTCACGGCCTCAGCAGGCAGAACCCAGCGGGGCAGAGCCACATTTGGCTCTGCATGGAAACCTCTGCAGAGCCTGGGGCTGGGGTCACTGGTGCTCAGAGAGGGGCCAACCACCTGGAGAGCAAAGCAGGACCCACAACACGGCATGTGCTTCTCAAACAGCATGGAAGACACCACAGGAACACAGGTGATAAGAACCGTTGAGCAGGCGGGATCCCAGGCTGCAGCCCAAAGGTGCTGCTCTGCTGGTAACAGCGCAGAGGAGGGAGGGCCCGAGATGGCTCACTCAGCGGGAGTTTCAAGGCTGAGGAGAGGGAGGGGGGACAGAGGGGACCCTGAAGGGGAGCATCACTCACTCATGATCAAGCACGAGATGCCCTCCAAGTCCTCAGCATGGAGGCCAGCCGGGCTCCTTCTGAGCATGGCAGGAGCCTTGTCCTTGCCTGGAGGAATGGGCAGCCCCTCTCCGTGCCCCTCGTGCCTACTTGTCTCCTCGTTTCCAGGGTGGTGTCTGTGTTCAGGCTGTTGGGGCCAGGGCAACTTCTGACCCACGTCTTTGCAGGGCCCAGTGTCTCCACTCTTGGCTAGTTCAAGAGAGGGCTTCTCCCCAGGCGGGATGATCTGTTTCCCTGGGACCTGCAGAGTTGAGTTGAGAAGTGGGGCCCAGGCAAGTCTTGCCTGGTGGGGAGGCAGTGAGGAATGAGGCCACACTGCTTTCAGAAACCAGGGAGGTTGCTCTGGGAGCTCAGGCTCTGAAACCAAAACTCCTGGCTCCAAACTCTGGTGCTGCCATCCTGTGGGATTTGGGTAAGCTGCTTAGCATCATCTGTCTCAATCTGTTCTTGGTGCTGTAACAAAATACCTTAGACTGTGAGGATGCATCCATAATAGAGATTTATTTCTCCCAGTGCTGGAGGCTGGGAGTTGCAGTGCCTGGTGAGAGCTGCTGTCTACTTCCAGGATGTCCCCTCCAGAGGGGACAAATTCTGTGTCCTCAGGAAGGGCAGAGGAGTAAGAGGACCAGCCAGTTCCCTCCAGCCCTTTGGTAAGCACCATTCCCATCCCTGAGGGTGCAGTCTCCATGGCCTAATCACCTCCTAAAGACCCCCTCTTAATACTGTTGCACTGGGGATTCAGTTTTAGCAAGAACTTTCGAGAAAAAACAGACATTCAAACCACAGCACCATCCTCCCAGGTAAGGACAGAAACTGTGACTTCAAACCTCAGGCCCCTCCAAATCAGGGGCCGAGCTCCTGTCACCCCCAGCTCTGCAGCTTCCCAACTCTGCCCTCTGCCTGTCTCATCATCTGTCCCTGCCCAGTGCCTGCCTCATGCCTGGAGGACCCCACTTGCCCCCGAAATCTCCTAGCCTCAGCCTCAGCAGCCCCTCCCCACTGCAGTCCTGAAAATATCAGCAGGGCCGGCACAGCCTCACTGATCACTCTCCACAGGTCCCTTCACACCAACACCCACTCCTCACCTCCTGTGATGTCCTCGGGCTGTGCCTTGGAACCCCTCAGGGACCCCTTCCTGTAGGTCTGCCCTGCCAGCCCTCAGCCGACCAGGGCACCTCACTGGAAGCCCAAGCCTGTCCTCACTCTGTTGAGTCAACACCACTGATGACTGCCCAGTCACCTCTGACTCAAGCTTCAGATCCTCTCACCCAGGAAAGGTGACATGGGGACACAGTGAGTGACACCGTCTGAGTCTGCATGCCAAGGAGAGCCCCCCCCCCCACCCAGAAACTAGCCCGGCCACACCTTGAGTCCCAGCCCCAGAACTGTGAGAAAAGGGTCTGCTGGGTAAGCCCCCAGTCCGTGGTATTTTGCGGTGGCAGCCTGGGTTGCCTAAGACAAAAGGGAGCTTTATGTTATCTTTCTTTCCCTCATAAATAGGATATATAGAAAGATGATTCAAATTTTCCTCTATTATCTTTTATAATTATTTTTAACTTTGTTATTCAGAAAAGGGTCTTTCTTTTCTTTCAGGTGCAATGCCATGGAAATTCTTAAAGTTGCTGTCAGGTTTGAAAAAAAGCTCTGGGATCTTTGTTTCCTAAGATTTGGGGGAATTTTAAGCTTGCTTTTTCTCACTGTGAATATAAAATCCTTCTTGACTGAATGGATCATGCTAGCCAATCTGTGGCCAGTATCAAGGGCTTTGTGGTCGTGGCCCCATAAGGTTTATCTTAACTTTGTTAGGCTCCATATTTCCTTTCAAATTAGGAAGAAATGATAAGACCAATTGCAGATGTGATTGGCAAGGCCATTCCAGGCTGAGGGTCAAGGAAGAGGAATGGAGGGTCCTTCTGGGAAGGGAATCCAGGCAGGACAGTGTAGCAGGCTAAGCAATGGCCCCCAGAGATATTAGATTCTAATCCTGAGAAACCATGTTAACTTATATGGCAGAAGATATGATTAAAATAAGGATCTTGAGATGGAGAGATTATCCTGGATTATCCAAGAGGGTCCTAAATCATGTGTATGTATCCTTATAAGAGGAAGACAGAGAAACATTTGACACAGACAGAAGAGGGTGGCCCATGCAACCACGGAGGCAGAGACTGGAGTGATGTAGCCACAAGCCAAGGAATGCCAGCAGCTACCAGGAGCTGGAAGAGGCAGGAGACAGATTCTCACCTGGAGCCTTTAGAATGAGCATGGCCCTGCACACCTTAATTTAAGCCCATTGATACTGATCTTGGACTTTTGTCCTCCAGAACAGTAAGAATGTCAATATGTGTTGATTGAAACCACTCAGTCTGTGGTCATCGGTTGCAGCAGCCACTGAAAACTCAGACAGACAGTGAGTGGACTGGTGGGCAGCTCACACACGGGGCCAGGTGGGAGATGGGGATGGACATGAGCTACCAGCAAGTGGCCGTGGGGGGCCAAGCATGGCTCTAGGTTGAGGGACCAACGCCTGTGAATGGGTCTGTAACACACGGCGGGCAACGCAGTGGTGCTCCAAGCATTGGCATCTGACTCCTGCCAGGGTTGGGCCCTGCTGTCCCAGGAACCTGTGATAGTGAAACTACACACTAAAGCAACTGAGACACATAGTTCAGCCCATGGAACTCACACAAAGATGTCCCCAGCTTACAGAATCCCCAGCAGGCCCACTGCCTGGTCCCTGACCAGAGGGTGGGCCAGAGAGTAAAAGGACAGCACTTGTCAGTTTTGGTCATAAAATACAATGTCTGATTCTGCAAAATCTGCACAAGTATTTCACCATGTGGATATGTTGCCGGGACCTTTGTAGAGTCTTTGGAGGGCTCCAAATTTCAGCCTCGGGTCAGTAAGAACATAGCATCAGGTCAATCAGAACACAGCCGTCTGCACCTGAGGTGGAGCCCAGCACCTGGTACTGTCTGAAACCTAGTACTGAAGGAATGAATAAAAGAAGGAATGGACTGATGTATGAATTTTGCATAGAGGAAAGTGAGTCCACTTTATAACACACTGTATGCTGCCACAGAGGCACCATCGTCTAGCCCGGCCATGGATCCGCAAGGCAAGGGCCACGGAAGAGTAGCCCCCATGCTGAGATCCCCCGGACCCAGCTGTCATTCACTGCTAGTCACACCTGGGAGAGTAAGCAGCCCAGCCTGCATAAACCACCAAACTCATCTATGCACTGCACGTGAACCTGCCCTGGGTACGTTTGACCGAGAATTGACAAGACTTCCCAAACACAAGATGATTTTATTTTACCTAAAGTTGCACATCGTCTTCAAAAATTGATTAATACAGTTACACTTGGACTTGCTTTGATTGTGCCATTAATTTAGAAGGGTCAAGAACCCCAGGCTCTTCTCCCTGATTTTTTATTCCTCCCCCCAATGTAAGGGTTTTAGAGGGAAAGCATTACGGTTTAATGAGGTAAGTCCATTTCCTCTTATCTTTTTATGCACCTCATTTATTAAGTCTGGAATAAGTATTTAATGAGGGCCCACCAGGGATGGCCACACAGAGATGCTGATGGCCTCTGGCTTCCTCCTCCTGCTGGCAAGAGCATTCTCCTGGGAACTGGACACGGGGCTGGGCCTGGGGTGAGTCGGTCCTCCAGTGGGGGGAGGCTTGGGCACAGAGAAGAAGAGGCTTTCCCCAAAAGAAAGACCCAGGAGTGTGCCTAGAACCTTCTATTAGAACCCAACCATCAAGACCAACTTCAGGGATTCCTGGCAAGCTCAGATCTGGGGCCATGAATGACACACAGTGTGTCTGACTTTCGTGAGCAGAATTTATTCCAAGCCTGATGGAAAACCACAGAGGCAGTGACTGGTTCCTTTCATCACCTCCCAAGACGATGGGGCAAAATGCAGCTGACATTGAGAACAGGATGAGGCAGGGGCCAGGGTGCTTCCATTTCCAATATGTAGGAATGTGAGTGCGCAATGCATATACAGGTTCACACATGTGTACACATGTGTTTATGCATATGTACATATATGTATATATTCATGTGTGCACACATGTTCATACATACACACACGTGCTTAGCACCCTGCATTATTTCGTGGAATTTTTGTTTTCTGTTGCCATTTCTCACAAGGTCTACAGCACTGATTCTTGAGAGTTGCATCCCAGGAAATGGAGAACATGCACCATTCAGGTTTATTTTTTTGAGACTGAGTCTTGCTCTGTCGCCCAGGCTGGAGGGCAGTGGTGCCATCTCGGCTCACTGCAAGCTCTGCCTCCCAGGTTCACGCCATTCTCCTGCCTCAGCCTCCCCAGTAGCTGGGACTACAGGCACCCGTCACCATGCCCAGCTGATTTTTTGTATTTTTAATGGAGAGAGGGTTTCACCGTGTTAGCCAGGGTGGTCTCGATCTCCTGACCTTGTGATCCGCCCACCTCGGCCTCCCAAAGTGCTGGGATTACAGGCATGAGCCACCGCACCCGGCCCCATTTAGGTTTTTAATTAACACTCTTGTAGGATGTACCCAGAGCTGGGTGCTGCAATGAGATGGGATGTGCGTTGAAATGCAAATATTCATGCCCCAAGAGCCCCAGGGAAGCAGGACCCAGCCCAGCCATCCTCACATGAATTCAGGGCGTTTCCTGCTGGCTCATGCTTTTCCTCTGGGGACGGGCCCAATGTCTGAGCTTCCCGGGCTGCAGTAACTCCATGGTGTCTGTGGTCACCCCACTGGACCCCAGTTGCAACCAGCCTTTTATGAAGACTCACTCTCCCATTTGAACCATCTCCAGGGAGCTCAGGGCCCTGGCCTAACATGCATGTGACCTTGAACCATTCAGCCCATTTCGTGGTCTCTGGGTCCTGCGGGTGCAGGGCAGAGGCAGAAGGAGGGGATAGGAGACCCCCTCCCAGTGGTAGCCGTAGGGGACTCTGATTCATGTCCCCAGGGTTTAATTAGACTGCTGCTTCAGCCTTGCGTGTTATCCAGGTGTACTCAGTAAGGGCTCCTCCGTCCACTTGAAAACAGATCATACACCCACCCTGGATCCTGTGTCTCCGGGAGGGTCCCCAGTAGGCGGCATCCACGGTCAAGCCTGAATGGGGGCCAGAGCAAGAGGCAGCAGGGAGTGAAGCTCAGCGGCTGCAAGTCCTCATTCATCTGCACTGCTTGTCAGGAGCAGAGGAGAGTAGCCTCCAGACCCTGATAGATGACACCAAGGTCAAGGTCAAGCCGCCATGAAGAAAGTGTTAATGGCACCGGAGACAGAGCCAACCCTACATCCCTGGGTGATGTGGGTGACGCAGCTATAAATCAGTCTGCTGGGTCTCGGCGTCTTCGAGGAGGGAGCATGCCCCTCCCGGGTGCGTCCCCTGCAGCTGTGTCCTCTGCACGCCTACAGGGAAGCCCTAGCTGGGCTGTGAGCTTCTCTACACAGTCTCTGGGGTCAGTGGGAAGGGACTTGCCCATCTGCCATCAATAAGATGAGACCCATGAACCCCTAGAGGATGCATCAGCTTCAGGCATCCAATTTCTCCTCACAAACCAACTAGGCCAGCAGGGACCCCAGAAAGAGAGGGGACTGAGGTGGACCAGGCTCCAGCAAGGCCCATGAGGATGAGCTCACCATGGGGACAGAAAAGCGTGGGGTCCAGACACAAGTGAACCCTGCTGCATTCTGCAGGACGAGGCTGACCTGAAAGCTCCTCTTGCCTGCAGGGACAAGAATGACTCCTTATTCTCACTTCTGCCACCTCCCAGGATGCTGCCTTTCTCAACACCTACCCTGGAGGAATCTGCAGGCTTCACCCTGCCAGCGTTCTGATGAACACATATTTACATGAGTACTATTTCTCCTAAGCACCCCAGACAGGGGCAGCCCTGCAGCCTTGGGAGGCAGGAACCAGCTCCACCCAGACAGGGCCAGAGGAGAGCAGGCTAGTGAGAGAATGAGAGGGACCCCTGCTCTGTCCCGGGGGCCTCAGGCTCCCACAGGACTCAGGGGCCCTAGCATGAGCCCTGCTGACCTCAGCCTAGCATAGCCCCTCCCAATCCACTGAAATGTGTAGGTGAACGGCAGACACAGTGCTGGGGCACAACTGCACTGGGCAAGCAGAGGTCACTCCCCAGGGGTGCCAGACTGCAGGCACAGTTGTCGGGGGCCAAGACCCTGCATCAGGGGCTCCTTGTCACTGCCTAGAGGGGCCTTTGCACTCCCAGACCAAGGGCCCTGGGTACCTTCCACCTGCACACACCTCGCCTGGCCCTGAACCCATGTCTGAACTCTTTCTCCCCGCTCTTGGCCACAACTCCCAGATGGGTCACTTTCCCGTCATTCCCAGAGGCCCCACCCTCCCAGGATCATCCTCAGCCCTGCAGAGGAGGCACTTCCATTTTCACACCTTTGTTCTCAGCAACAAAAGCCAAAGATTTTCACAGCTGTGCATCCCAAATCCGGAACCCCTATCAACTGTACATCCTGAATTCCCATCCCCTAACAACTGTGCATCCTGAATCTCAAACCCCTAACAACTGTGCATCCAGAATCGCCAATCCCTATCAACTGTGCATCCTGAATCCTGAACCCCTAACATCTGTGCATCCTGAAATCCCATCCCCTATCAACTGTGTATCCCAAATTCCCATCCCCTATCAACTGTGCATCCTGAATCCCAAACCCCTAACATCTGTGCATCCCAAATCCCCAATCCCTAACAACTGTGCATCTGAAATCCCCAATCCCTATCAACTGTGCATCCCAAATTCCCATCCCCTATCAACTGTGCATCCCAAGTTCCCATCCCCTATCAACTGTGCATCCCGAATTCTCATCCCCTATCAACTGTGCATCCCGAGTTCCCATCCCCTATCAACTGTGCATCCCGAATTCTCATCCCCTATCAACTGTGCATCCCGAGTTCCCATCCCCTATCAACTGTGCATCCCGAATTCTCATCCCCTATCAACTGTGCATCCCGAGTTCCCATCCCCTATCAACTGTGCATCCCGAATTCTCATCCCCTATCAACTGTGCATCCCGAGTTCCCATCCCCTATCAACTGTGCATCCCGAATTCTCATCCCCTATCAACTCTGCATCCTGAATCCTAAATCCCTAACAACTGTGCATCCTGAATCCTGAACCCCTAACATCTGTGCATCCTGAAATCCCATCCCCTATCAACTGTGTATCCCAAATTCCCATCCCCTATCAACTGTGCATCCTGAATCCCAAACCCCTAACATCTGTGCATCCCAAATCCCCAATCCCTAACAACTGTGCATCTGAAATCCCCAATCCCTATCAACTGTGCATCCCAAATTCCCATCCCCTATCAACTGTGCATCCCAAGTTCCCATCCCCTATCAACTGTGCATCCCGAATTCTCATCCCCTATCAACTGTGCATCCCGAGTTCCCATCCCCTATCAACTGTGCATCCCGAGTTCCCATCCCCTATCAACTGTGCATCCCGAATTCTCATCCCCTATCAACTGTGCATCCCAAGTTCCCATCCCCTATCAACTGTGCATCCCGAATTCTCATCCCCTATCAACTGTGCATCCCGAGTTCCCATCCCCTATCAACTGTGCATCCCGAATTCTCATCCCCTATCAACTGTGCATCCCGAGTTCCCATCCCCTATCAACTGTGCATCCCGAATTCTCATCCCCTATCAACTGTGCATCCCGAGTTCCCATCCCCTATCAACTGTGCATCCCGAATTCTCATCCCCTATCAACTGTGCATCCCGAGTTCCCATCCCCTATCAACTGTGCATCCCGAATTCTCATCCCCTATCAACTCTGCATCCTGAATCCTAAATCCCTAACAACTGTGCATCCTGAATCCTGAACCCCTAACATCTGTGCATCCTGAAATCCCATCCCCTATCAACTGTGTATCCCAAATTCCCATCCCCTATCAACTGTGCATCCTGAATCCCAAACCCCTAACATCTGTGCATCCCAAATCCCCAATCCCTAACAACTGTGCATCTGAAATCCCCAATCCCTATCAACTGTGCATCCCAAATTCCCATCCCCTATCAACTGTGCATCCCAAGTTCCCATCCCCTATCAACTGTGCATCCCGAATTCTCATCCCCTATCAACTGTGCATCCCGAGTTCCCATCCCCTATCAACTGTGCATCCCGAGTTCCCATCCCCTATCAACTGTGCATCCCGAATTCTCATCCCCTATCAACTGTGCATCCCGAGTTCCCATCCCCTATCAACTGTGCATCCCGAATTCTCATCCCCTATCAACTCTGCATCCTGAATCCTAAATCCCTAACAACTGTGCATCCTGAATCCCCAACCCCTAACCTCTGTGCATCCTGAAATTCCATCCCCTATCAATTGTGCCCCAAATTCCCATCCCCTAACAACTGTGCACCCTGAATCCCGAACCCTGAAGCAAAACCCTTCCCTGTCACTCACCTGGATGACCTAAGGAAGCCGCAGCATCATTCCAGAAGCCATGCTCCTGTCTCCTGGCTGAGGCTTGCTCCCAGCTCCTGGCCTGGCAGGAGTGCTGCGCTGCCTAGTACCCTAGACCCTGCATCCCAGCTCACTGCCCCTCAGCTTCACCAGCCACCTCTGGCAGAGTCCAGCATGTTCTCCCTCCTGCACCTCCCAGATCAAGTATACACTGCTCTCTCCAGTTCTATGGAGGCCTCCCTGCTCCGTGATCTGTCACCTGCCCTCACCAGATGAGCCTGCCGAGGCCAAGCTGGGACCGTAGCTCAGGCAGATGTGCCTCTGTGCACAGCCTTCTGCAGAATGGACAGGGAAGGTGGTGACTTCTTGTTGTAAAGCATGCTGTTTGTTCCCTGTTCCCTGTTCTCCTATGTCTCTGTGACATAAGAGATGGGACCCAGGTCTGGGTGACCTGGAGTAGCAAGGGAGGTAAGTTTGCACTTCGTGCTTAGCCATCCTCGGAAGCCCTGCAGGGATAGCCAGGGCATTGGGGTAGTGGGGAATCCTGCTCCTCTTGGCTGGGCTGATCAGGGCGTCTGCTGTTACAGCCATCTGGGCTGAGGCCCTGCTCTGTGCTGCTTATCACCTTGGAAACACACGTTCCACATTTCCATGTACCGTTTCCAGTCAGTTTACAGAAGAGGCCTGAGGTGAGTCCCACCTGAGCGGTGTGAACAGTTTAAGCATCCTCTCTGAGCCATACTTTCCTCATCTGTAAAATGGGAATATGCACCGTGTCCGCTAGGAGGTTGCTACTGAGACTTCGTGCTTGAGGCCACGCAGGCACACAGGGCGCACGTTACGTGTGTGTCATGCAACATAAAACCTGTCTGCCTGCAGCAGCCTGCCCAGAGGTGTGGCTACCCACGGGGGAGGGAAAGCCCAAGATGCCGGGCCCTGAGGACATGCCTCCAGCAGTGTTTCTTGACAGGGCCAGTGCGGTCACAGAGTGACGCCCCTCAAGGATATCCATGTCCTGATCCAAAGAACCTGTAAAGACATTACCTTACCTGGCAAAGGGAATTCAAGTTGCAGATGGAGTAAGTTTGCTCATTAGCTGACCTTAAGCTGAGAAGATCATCAGGATGATCCAGTAGGGCCCAGTGTAATCACAGGGGCCCTGAAACTGGGAAGAAGGAGGCAGAAAAGGAAAACCAGAGATGTGGCATTAGGAGGACTCTGCCTGCCTTTGCCAGCTGTGATGATGGAGGGCATGGGCCAAGGACAGCAGGCAGCTCCAGGGGTTGGAAGAGATGAGGAAACAACTTCTCCAGAGCATCCAGAGGGAACCCTGCTGACACCTCCATGGGAGCCCAGCGAGGCCCATTTTGGACTCTGAGCTCCAGACCTGAGAGCTGACTGATGAATCTGTGTGTTCTGAGGCCACCAAGCCTGTGGCGTGGGAATGAGTGACAGCGGGGCAGGAGCTGGCGTGCCCTTGCTCTCCTCACCTCTCCCATAAGGCAGGGGCTCTGTGTTAACAGCTCATCTTCCTGCATCTGTGGCGTCAGTCTAGATCTTAATCCAGCCTTTTTCAAGCTTGAAAGGGTGTATAACTTTGTTAAGACAGCTAGCCCCTTTCTAAATTACAGCTGCTTTGTATAAATTATAGCTGCTTTTTATGTCCATAAATCTGTCCAAAGGCCTTATTTCTAGGCAGATTAATATCTTTTTTCCAGACTTTAAGACATCTATTGGTGGCATTACTGACTGTTCACTTGCTTTCTTATTCTTTCTTTTTTCTGTTCTCTCTCCCTTCCTTCCTTCCTTCCTTCCTTCCTTCCTTCCTTCCTTCCTTCCTTCCTTCCTCTTTCCCTCCCTCCCTCTCTCTCTTCCTTCCTTCCTCTTTCCTTTCCTGCAGGAAGTCCAGGCCAACACTGTTCCTGGTGACTGCCTTGGCACAACACAAACACAGCTGTCCCCGAATGCTAACAACAGTGACTTGTGGGACAGCTGTGTGCAAGGTCACTGGCCAGAGAAGACCTGTGGCCATGGCCGACTTTGCCCTGAATGGAGAGTCAACAGGGAAGGTGCAGGCGGAGAACCAGGGGCCAGGACGCATGCAGGTGCCTGGTCCTCACTTGCCTTGTTTGAAGTGAACGGGGCTTCTGTAATGTTAAAATGCAACTTTCACCCATCTCCATTTGTTGCAAAAATAGTGCCATGAACCTGTCACCCACGTGAAATGGAGGCAGAGTGATGACAACGCCAGGCATTTGAGACATTTTCTTGCTTTTTTGTAGTCTTTGTGATTTCTACATAGATAATTATGCCATCTGCAAATGGGAACAATTTTATTTCTTGCTTTCCAATCTGCAGGCCTTTATTTTCTTTTCTTGACCATTGTGCTGGCTGAAACACCCCACCTTAGATTGAATAGGAGTTGTCAGAGGGGACGGATGCAGTCAGTCTTTTATCATTAAGTACGATTTCGGCTGTGGATAGATGTTCTTTATCAAGTTGAGAAAGTTCTCCACTATTCCTATCTTTCTGAAAATCTTGTTATTAATGGGTGTGCATTTTGTCAAATGCTTTCTCTACAAGAGTTCATATAATCATGTGATTGTTCTTCTTCAGTCTGTTGATATGGTATATTGTGTTGATTGATTTCTAATATTGAGATAGCCCTGCATACCTGGAATAAACCCCACTTGCTCATAGTGTATAATTATTTTTAATTTATTACTGAACTTTATTTGTTGATATTTTGTTAAGAATATTTCCATTTATATTCATGAGATTGTGATCGACAGTTTCATTGTTTTGTGTTAAATAGTCCTATAATTATTCTGGAAATTGAATTCATAATATTAAAATTTCACATAAAAAGTCTTGAGGCCTAGATGGTTTCACTGCAGAATTCTGTGATATCACATGGTTTTAGCATCAGGCTGATACTGGCTTCATAAATCAGTTGAGAAGGTTTCCCTCTCCTAGTTTCTGGAGGATATTGCATAGACTTTGGGTTACCTGCGCTATAACCATCTACTAGAATTTTGCAGTGAAACGTCTAGGCCTCAGTTATGAATTCAATTTCCAGAATCGCTATAGGGCTATTCAAATTATCCATTACATATTGGGTGAGTTGGGTAGTTTGTACTTTTCAAAGAATTCCTTTATTTGATAGAATGGGACAGATTTAAGTCTTTAGAATGGCGGCTTGTGATATTCTATTATTTTCCTTTTGTATCTGCAAGATCACAGTGCATTTCCTATTTCTTTCCTTGTATTGGTGATTTGTGTCTTCTCTCTTTTAATTGCCTTAGTCTTGTTGGAGGTATGTCCATTGTATTGAGCTTTATAGAGAATCAAGTTTTTTGTCCATTGGCGTTCTGTATGGTATGTGTTTGTTTTCAATTTCATTGACTTCTGAACTTCATTATTATTATTTTTTCCTTCTGCTTGCTTTGGGTTTATTTTGTTACTTTTTCCTTTTTTGAGAGGGGAGCTTAGATGATTGATTTGGGAGATTACCTTCTTTCTAATGTGAGTATTTTGTGCTATGCATTTCCCTCCCAGTGTTGCTTTACCTGCTACCTACACATTTTGATATGCTGTATTTTAATTCTTATTTAGTTTGATATACTTTTAAAAATTTTCCCTAAAACTTTCCCTTTAACCTGTGGGTTATTTAGAAGTTTGTGGCTTAGCTTCTAAGTGTTTGGAGAGATCCTTCCTTTCATTCTGTTATTGGCTGTAGTTGATTCTATTGTGGTAGAAAAAGACAATGTGCATGGCTCCAATTCTTTCGAATTTTCTCAAGATGGTTGTGGGCCAGCATATGGCCTATCTTGGTCTTGGTTCCCTGGGCACTTGTAAAGATTGTTTACCTGCTGTCGTTGGGTGGAATGGTCTATAAACATTGATTAGATCCTGTTGGTTGATGATATTGTTGAGTTTTCTATCCTTACTGATTTTCTATCACTTGTGGGGAGCACGGTGCGGCAGTCTCCAACTGTTAAGTATGGATGTATCTATTTCTCTTTCAGTTCTATCAGTTTTGCTTCAGATATTTTGAATTTCTATTCTTTGGTATATACACATTTAGCAATGTTTTCTTGCTGGATTGACCCTCTTATTATACAATGTTCTTCTCTGTCTCTAGTAATTTTCTTTAATAAAACATCTATTTTATCTGATATAAATATAACCATTACTGCTTCCTTTTGTTTAATGCTTTCATGGTATATTTTTTTCCATCCTTTTACTTCCAACTTGTATATACCATTTTATATCAAGTGAGCTTCTTGTGGATAGTTTATATTTGGATCATGTTTTCTTTTTTTAAAAAATTCACTGTGATACTCTTTGTCTTTTAATTAGTATATTTAAACCATTTGGATTTAATATAACTATTGATATTTTATGGCACAAATCTGCTCTTTTTTGTGTGTTTACTGTTCTATTTTTAAAATTTCTCTGTTGTCTTTATTCTGTCAGTTTTAAAACGTGTTTCAAGTTCCAGTTTAGTATTTTTACAATGTTTTTGATTGTATCTCTTTGTATAGGACTTTCAGGGATTGCTCTATATATTAGTAGATAATGTGTGTGTATTTATATACACACGCACATACACACATATATCTTAAGTATATATTTATCTGGTGATACATGTGTGTGTGTGTCTGTGTATATTTTATATACATATTACATATAATATATACAGATGTTCCTCAGCTTACTATGGGGTTATGTCCCGATAAACCAATTGTAAGTTGAAAATATTTTAAGTTAAAAATGCATTTAATATCCTAATAAACCCATCGCAAAGTTGACAAATCATGAGTTGAACCACCGTAAGTCCAGATGCTCCTCAATTTACAATGGAATTACATCCCGATAAACCCATTATAAAGCCAACAAATTGTGAGCCCATCCATTGTAAGCCAGGGACCATCTGTATATGTATTTTAAATATATATATATAAAATTTAAGCTATATTACCATAAGATTGTGACAATTATAAGATATAGAAAGATAGATGAAGGGACAATCATAGTCTACTCTTGTCAGTGTTTTACCTAGTCAAGCAGTGAAGTGCACAAATCTTCCTTCCCTTTATTTCTTTTTTCTCCTCCATTTATAATGTGATCACCTGAAATAGTTCCTCTACATGCCTTGTGAAACACATCATACAGTGCTATTGTTTTTCTTTAAGAATCAAGCATAATTCAGAAAACTTAAAAGGAAAAGGGTAATCTATTATATTTGTCCATTTGTTTGTTCTATTTGTCTTGCACCCTGACGTTCCAAGATTCTTATTTTTTAATCATTTTGTTTCTGTTTAGAGAACTTCCTGTAGTCTTTCTTTTAGTGTGGAATTATTGGTGACAAACTGTCGTAGCATTTCTTCAACTGAGAATGTCTAGACTTCTACTTTATTCCTGAAGTATATCTCTTCGGATATAGAATTCTGGATTGACAGTTCTTTCTTTTCAGCACTTGAAAAATATTGTGCCACTTCCTTCAGCCTTCACAGTTTCTGATGAGAAATCCACTGTTCTTGCAATTGTGTTTCTCTCTCCCTTTGGGTAGTACATTGTTTCTCTCTGGTTATTTTTAAGATTTGTTTTCTTTATCTTTCATTCCCTGAAGTTATATATATATATATATGGAGAGAGAGAGAGAGAATGAATGAATGAATTCTGGATATATCTCTCTAGGGAGAGAGAGGGAGAGAGAGAGAGTTTCTGTGTATTTCTTTATATATGTACAGTTTCTGTGTGTTTCTGTGTATTTGTATATATAAATACACACACACACACACACACACACACACACACACACAAACATACACACCCTATTGGTTCTGTTTCTCTGGAACCAATCTTGTTCCAGAGAACCAGGGAGAGAATTCTGGATATCTCTCTCTCTCTCCCTCTTTCTCTCTATATATACATCTATATATAGATATATGTAAATATCCAGATCTATAAGTATATCTGTATAGATATATATCTAGAGAGAGAGAGGGAGAGAGAGAGAGGAGAGAGAGATTATAAGGAATTAGCTCGTGTGGTTACAGAGGCTAGCAAGTTCCAAGACCCACAGGGTGACTGAGCAGGCTGGAGACCCAGGAGAGTGGGTGGTGTAGTTAAAGTTTATCCGTCGGCAGGCTTGAGAGCCAGGAAGAGCTCATGCTTCATTTCCAGTCTGCAGGCAGAAAAGTCCCCATTGTCTTAGCTCAAAGGCGGTCATGATGGCAGATGGAGCTCCCCTTTACTTACGGTAAGGCTTGCCTTTCATTCTCCTCAGGCCATCAGCTGACTGGATGAGGCCACTCACGCTGGGGACGGCATTGACTTCACTCCGTTCACCATTTCAGACATTCCTCTCACCCAGGACCCTCATAGACACACCTAGAGTCACGTCTGACCAAATGTGGGGGCACTCTGCTGTCCAGCCTAGTTGACCCCTAAAATTAACCACCATGACGTCTCCCATGTAGGAATGCATCTATCAAAACTGAGACATTAAAACTCACACAACACGACCAAACTAAAGACATATTGGGATTTCCCCATTTCCATAATGTCCTTTTGCTGCCCTGGGATCCAGCTCAGGACCCCACGTTTCATGAAGCCATCAAACCTTCTGAAACCCCAGCCTGTGCCAGAGCCTCAGGCACCACTTTGATTTATAACTTTGACAGTGTTGAAGTGTACTCCTGTGGTATTTGTAGAATGTCCTTTCACTTGGCCTGTCTGACTTTCTTCTAATAATTAAACTGGAGATACTTGTTTTGGGGGAGGCTACCAGGGAGGTGAAGTGCTCGCCTCCTCACAACCCATCAGGGGCGCCGACATCCACATAACCAAGTGCAGATGAGTAAACCTCGAACACGGGGTTAAGGTGGTGTCTGCCAGGTCCCTCCCCGATAGAGTTACTGTTTTTTCCTTTTTCCTCTATTCTTTGGGAAGTGAGTCACTAAGTCCAGCCCACCCTGAAGAGGGGAGAGGATTCAGCTCCACTTCCTGAAGCCGGGAGCGTCTACATACATGGTTAGGAATTCTTCTGAAAGGAAGGCATGTTGCTTCTCTTCTCTTTATTGATTTATTCAATCATTTGTTCAATCATCCTCTTTCCAGAGGGAGCAGATGGAGACTCCCCTGTAGGCATGGACACATGTATGCTCCTTGTATACTCTGGGTTATAACCCAAAGTCCAGGTTCTCCACTTCCCAGGGGGTCTGCACCGACTTGGTGGTGCAGGTCCCATGCCTGCTGGCAGGAGTCCAGATTTCCTCTCCATACCTGTCCTTCTCTGATGCCACTCTTCACTTTCTAAGGCCTCTTTACCTTCCCTTTATTTCCTCTGCCGGCAGAACAGTTGGCTTTCCTTTGGAGGATTCCTGGAAGTTTCTGCTGTGGAGATGACAAAAGGAAACAGCCTGCATGCTGGGCCAGGCCCTGCGAGGCTTCGTGCCGATTCCTGTTGGCAGCCCCAGGATGCATGTGTTTCAGGTCACTGGCTCCGCGCAGCACCCATACTGACCATAGGGTCAGTGCAGCGCCATAAGCCCAGGAGCGCTATGTGATTAACACTGGCCCCGTGCCATGGGGGTTCAGCCTGCCCCAGGCCTGCCCTCTCAGCTTCCACCACGTGGGAACCAACAGAACGTCTGCCTTGTGTGCCAGGCACCGGGATGTGCTGCTTGGCAAATGTAATGCACCTGACCCTTTGCTTTACGTAAGCAAAGGAAAGAGCAAGTCCTCTCCTTCACTCCTTCCCTGATGCTGCAGCCTCCACGTAATGAGGGTGCGGGATGGGATGTGGATGTCCCGTCAGTCTTGATCAATGGAGTTCTGCTTGCTCTCACTGTCACCTAAGCATAATGATGCTGGAGACACAGAGGAGGCTCATCTCCAGGGCTTTGAGTGGATCTGTCAGGGACCAATAAACCCAAGAAAAAAATAGCAGAAGAGGAAGAAGGAAAGACCTGTAGATTCAGTCTTCAGTAAGAGTCCCCTCATCACATTTGCTACTCCAGTGCCTGACTCAGAAAGGGCTTTTATTTGCTGAGAGGAAACGAAAATGGTCCAAGATGTACCAGGGGCAAGTGGCCAGGCTGAAGACGAAGCCCTAACCTGCCAAAGCTGCCCATTGTGATGGGAAGAAGCAAGGTCCATTGTTACTGGTGACAGCTGGGAAGGGTTGGCTATGGAGAGGGACCAGGGGCAAAGCTACTGGCCCACCAGCAATGAGGCTCATCTAAGCAGGGGCCTCTGGACCTGGAGGGAAGCACTGAGAGGACAGGACAGCAGCAGAGACCAGGGTGGAACACAGGCAGGAACAAGGGAACAGCCAGGACAATGCTAGTCATCCTCATTCCAGAGGGAGCCAGTGGAAGCACCCCTGTCAGTGCCTCCTGGCAGAAATGGCAGCTGCTGCTGCCCCATTTAATGTCCAGAAGAGCCCAGGACTCCGCCATGGGGCAGGGCAGGCAGGGAGCCACAGCAGGAAAGCTCCAGGACTTCTGTTGATCCGTATATGAGATACAGAGGTATTGTTAGGGCAGAGATAGAGAGGTGCTCATATTTGTGATGGAGTGGAGGGCAGGTGACAGTCTAAAGGAAGGGGCAGGCAGAGGGGTCAGCTGCACAGGACTAGGACATACCTGCAGCACAGGTGCAGACTGCAGCACCAGGGGCGGGGACCACAGCACAGGTGGGGATCTCAGAACAGGTGGGGAACTCAGGACAGGCGGGGATCTCAGGACAGGTGGAGAGCTCAGAACAGCTGGGGGCTTCAGGGCAGGTGGGGAGCTCAGGGCAGGTGGAGAGCTCAGAGCAGGTGGGGACCTCAGGACAGGTGGGGATCTCAGAACAGGTGGAGAGCTCAGAACAGGTGGGGGCTTCAGGGCAGGTGGGGAGCTCAGAACAAGTGGGGGCCTCAGGGCAGGTGGGGAGCTCAGAGCAGGTGGGGACCTCAGGCCAGGTGGGGATCTCAGGACAAGTGGGGAGCTCAGCGCAGGTGGGGAGCTTAGGGTACGTGGAGAGCTCAGAAAAAGTGGGGACCTCAGGACAGGTGGGGAGCTCAGCTTGTTGGGGAGCTCAGGGCAGGTGGAGAGCTCAGGATAGGTGAAGTCAGGACAGGTTGGGGACCACAGCACAGGTGGGGATTTTAGGACAGGTGGGGACCTTAGCACAGGTGAACCACTTATTCAGACCTGCCTCCAACAAACCCTGGCCTCCTCCCTTGCCTTTTCTTCCCACAGGCCCCATTTCCAGCACTGTTCCCAGCAGCCTGGAGGAGCTGCTGTCAAATGAGAAACTGCCCAAGGCAGCCCTTGCCCAATCCTTGCCACAGGGTAGAGGGAGACTTCTGCCTCTCTGATTTCGTTAATAGGGGAGGGTCTGGTCAAAGTTTTCATGGTTCATATGTGGGACAGTGTGTTTTAAAAGCAATAAATACCTGGACCTGCAGGCAGCATGTCGCCTTTTAATAGCCAAACTAGAAGGATATCAACTATTTCAGAAACCTATGTATCAGTGGTCTATGCAGGACTGTTTGGAGAATTTCTTAGTGAGAAGAGATCAGTTTGTCCTTAACCCTGCCTTTGAAGCTGACCAATGAGAAATCCCTCTTGGGTAGTTTATCTGGGCTATGGGCTTTATTAGCAAATATTTAAAACAGCTCCAGAGAATTATTATACAAGATCAAAGTAGATGATTAAAAAGCTGATTTGCTCCTGAGTAGAAGAAAATTATGCATGTGTTTGTGTGTATCTATCTATGTATCTATCTATATATATATAAACTGTTTTCAAATATGAGCTTCGGCAAGCCCATAAGTTACACGTTTTTATTTTGAAACTTCAAATACATCGGATGTTATTTATTTGCATTTAATGTTTAGATGAAGAGGAAAAATTTCTCCCCACAAGCAAATTAAGGCCAGGACCACAATCTTGCAAAGGCCAGATTCTATCACTCTAGTTAATTGGGTCTGTTGTCAAGGTCACCCTGTCAATACCTCAAGGGCAGCAGAGGGCACAGAGGCTGCTGGGAATGGATGGGCACGAGGCCTGCTCCCGGGGCTGGCTCAGGCCCATGGGGAGCTCTCAGTCGCCGCCCCAGCCATCTTTCTCAAGGCAAGTGATCTGGGGTGGCGGTGCCCTCCACAGTGTCCTGGGTAAGTAAATGACTGTGTTGTGCTTGATTTACAGCCTGCCCCGTTCTCCTGTTTATAGCTCTGGAGTTATTTTTAACCTCACAGAACATCTAAAATGTCCTCCCCAAGCTCTGTGGCCTGTGGACAGCTAGATAAACTCAGAGGGCGCTGCGGGCCGCAAGATCCTTGGGGGAGGCTGCCGGGGTTCGGGCCTGCAGCCCAGATGCAGGAGCGGGACAGCCCTGACCTGTCAGCTCCCTTCTCTTTCTTGGGTCTGTGCTATGCACTTGGGGCTGGGCTTGCAAAAGCCTCTTCAACTTGAAAATGTAAATTGGGAAATGTGTTCACAAAGCCGCACTCCTTGTGTGCTCAAATAGTCTTCTGTTCAGCCCTGAGAGAATTTTCTCACCTAAAGTGAGAAGCACGAGAGAACTGGAAAGAAATAGAAAATCAAGATACCTCTTCCCTGGGGAAATCGAAAACAAGATGATGTGGGTGAATATCGGTGGAAACTGTAGTGATTCTGGGGCCCTTCTGCTGCACCCAAGCGCTGGCGTTCAGAGAAGGCAGACCTCGGTGTGTTTGCCGGGGATCATCAACAGGGCTCCGCGCGCCTCCCTGCTTCCTGGGTTCGAGATGGTTGAGGCTGTCCTATTAATGAAGATTCATGTCGAAGTTGGGTAGAGTTGAGTCAAAATGTGTCTGGTGTCTGCAACATGATAAGGAGGGAAATGAACATTATGCCAGCCTTGTTGTGCTAGACTCGGGGGTGTCTTGAGCCTTCCCCATTCTTTCCAGTGTAATGTTATTCATCCACTGCAGCCGAGTTGCTCGCTCGGTGGCAACCCAGAGCAGATGAGAGCACCACCCGGCCATGTCTGTTAGGTCCCTGGTGGTCGCCATCAGGCCAGGCTGTGGCACTGTGTATTGCCAAAGAAAAACAAATTCAGACTTAGGTAAAAAGAGACTTTTATTCAGAAGGATGATTGCCGCAAGAGGAGGACCCCTACTGCAACAGGGAAAGGTGTCCTGCAACAAGGAGAAGCTCAGACCACGAGATCTGCAAGAGTCCCAAAAGTCAAGCAGAAAGGGATTCTCTCTTTCTTACAGCGGGGAGTAAACAAGGCTAGGAAGAAACAGGAAGGGGCGGTGTGCGGTGTGACGAAACGATTCATCAGGGAACGTTCTCCAGAGTAGCTGTTTGTGAGAAGTTGTTCCACACTCCCATTCTCCAGAGTTGGCCAAAGCTTAGAGCTGGGGAAAGGCGAGAAGCCTGTGTCAGAGAGGAAATGACGTTTTGTCTACCCTTTTAAGCTTAGCGTCTGGGGCCTGCAAATTAAACTGGCAGAGGACAGGTTCACTGGAGGGAAAGTTTATTTACACATGCAAAGCTCATCGATGCAGGAGTGCTCAGTGATGACTAACTCAAAGCAGTGGCTAGAATCTGGGGTGCAGGTACCCAATTCAGCAGGGAGAAGGGATAAGAGAGAGAAAGACTTTATGAGAAGAACAAATAGGTTTCTTTAGTTACGACAAATGGGTTTTTGGCAGAACAAATGCATGTAATCGTGCTCGTTTATGCAGCTGTGAGTGATCACTCTGTCTTCCCCATGGGCATGAAACTGTCCTGGAGAGAGGATTTTTGGTAGATTTACTCTTGCTGTCTCTCCTGGGAGCAGAACTGCCCCAAAGAGGAAATGTATGGCTGCTTTATTTCCCAGAAGTTACTGCTTTTAGTCAGATAAAGGGAGCTCCAATGAGGCTCCTTCCTGCATCCGTTGAATCTCAAATATCTTCAGCTTAAAATAATTATTTTAATACCAACTCTGGGCTTCCAAGTGCATCCCCACACCTGACTAAAGGTTGGCTAAGTCACATTAGTGGGCGTTTTGTCCAGAGTGGTCAGTGGAGACAAGTATTATACAGTTTAGCTCGTCATTCATGCAGCAAAGCATGGGGAAGGGGAGGGTCTGGATGTGGCCTGTCCTAGGTAAACAGAGGCAGCTGTGAGCCTCATCTAAGTCACGCGGATTTTGTAATGAGCCCCTTCCCAGAGCACCGGGGTTGGGGGCGGGTAACTTCCCAGAGCACCAGGGTTGGGGGAATTTAACTTCCCAGAGCACCAGGGTTGGGGGAATTTAACTTCCCAGAGCACCTGAGTGGAGGGAGGGAATTTAACTTCCCAGAGCACCGAGGGGTAGTGGGGGGCATTACCTGCTGCTGTTCCCCAGGATCACAAGAGACTGGGCAGTGATCCGGTGGGTTCCAAGGCAAGGCCAGGCTGTGGGAGTCTTTTATCACTGGCATTGCTTTTAGATGCTCTCCAGAGAATGCCCTCCTTACTGCCTGTGCCTGGGGTGGGCCTGTCCACCACACACCCTGGAGGCCACTGCAAAGCCCGGGTATTATAGCAGTGGGGAGGGAGCCCACTCAGGAATTGTGCCAGCAGAGTGGATGATGAGAATTGAGAATTTTAAGAAAACAGAAGAAAACAATCCAGGGCTTACTCCTCCTGAGTATATTTGCAACTCTGATTTCAAACATGTCTTTGGACAGCTCAGCTCAGCGGGCCTTCTGCATGGCTGGGAGTCTCCCTGAGGTCTGCGTTTCCCAGGCTTCAGGTGCTTGACCGGACCGCATTGGGATTAGCCAGACTGGCTCGTGCCCTGTATTGAAGGCACCCACATGCACCAGTGGGTCCACATTCCTGGGCTACTCTGCTGGACACAGGACATCTCAGTGGCCTTGGAGGAAGCAGAGAACTGCTCTGACTCAGTGCTTTTTGTCAGAGACATGTAACTTGGCTGCAGGCACACACCTGCAGGGCTGTCATTCATATCCGAAAATCTTCCCAGCTCGTCAGAGAGCTTCCCAAAGGGCTGTCCTGGAATATCTTAGCATAGACCTTCCATAGGGAATGCAGAAGTGTGTCAAGGAAGAGCTCAGATTTCAGAACTTCCTTGCCTAGGGACGACAGGTGTTGGCTGTGAATACTTACTAGCCCTGCCCACTGCACACAGGAGACACCCAGGAGACATTAGCAGGTGCAGCAGGCAAAGGGGCTGGAAGGCTTAGGACAGCCCTCATGCCCACCCACTCCCTGGCACCCAGATTTGCATATGGGGAGACTCACCTGCTTCTCTTTCACATGTAAGTGCCTCTCAGGCTGGCTTTCCAGGTTACTGCAGCTACCATTTTCTCCCCAAGCCGTACTGCTGGTGATATCTTTGGGATGGACTCCAAGAGGAAGGGGACAATCTCAGGTAGAACGGGGGCTCCAGGGAGGCAATGCATGGAGCATCAGGTGGCCACCTGGGTTGGGCAGGAGTCGGTGGGGGAGAAGGAGGGTCAGGAGGGTAAGAAGCGGTCAGAAAAGAGAGGAAGCTGTCCAGCCCAGCCCAGGTACATCAGGGCAGAGGAGCTGAAGAAAAGATGAAGAAGGACAGAGACCCCAGCCAGGACTTCCCTCTTTACTGGAAGTGTCTGTCGTAGGCTTTGCAGGCTGCCGGTGTTCTCAGAACGTTTCCAGCATCTTCTGCACTGCTGCCAAAAGTCTGCTGTGCTGCCTCACGCCGTCAGGGGCTCTGTCCCCAGCAGGCTGCTGACTCCTCTAATGAGGGCCTTTTACGCTTATCGGTAATTGGTAATTGTTGGTTTAAGATCCCAAATAATTACTGATACAATGTCTTAAGAAAAAGAGAAGCAATAAAGTCATCTGGTTCAAGCGCGTCACCTTGGGATCCACAGAGCACAGGGAGCTGGAACTGCATTTTCCATACTAGAAGATTCCGCCGTGAGCTTCTGGTCACTGGGCTTGGACTCCAAATGCATTGCTCCCGAGGGTGGACACAGCCGTTGTAAGTGCTGGCCTATAATTCCATCAAGTTACCTGCAGATCAGGATTGCAAATTCCAGGCATTCACTCCCCCATCTGGCCCAGCAGGTGGCTTAAATGACCTGTAACTTCACGAAGTCTGGTCCTTGGTTACGAGCTTTAGACTAGCTATCAGGGAAGAAGAAAAAAGACATACCAAGAGATTGGATCAGGGGAACAAAATACAAACAAGTTTTGTCTCCACTGAACTCTGCAGAGTGGATTTGAAAGGGTTTCTATTGTGCTCTCAGTAGAGTCCCAGCAGGGACAGGGATTTTGCTTCTTGTCTGCAAGCTGTTGATGGGCGGGGCCAGAGGGGCCACACTGGGCAATCTAGGGACCCCTTGAAGCTCTGGGCTTTCACACCTACACCATCTCAGGGCCTCAGCCTGTGGGACTCTGGCTTTGGGTTTTTTTTCCATAGGAAGGGCGAGGAAAGAATGTGCTTTTCCAGAGCTTGAGTGGTCATGAGAAGAAACAAGAAAGCAGCCATTGGAGGAAAGCCAGGGAGACGTGGGAAGGAAAGCCTCCTCATCTGCAGGGAGGGCAGAGGGCAGGAGGTGCTGGGATGCAACCAGGGACATGTGGGAAGGAAAGCCTCCTTGTCTGCAGGGACGGCAGGGGGTGCTGGGCTGAAACCCAGACAGAAGCCCAAAGGTGCAGCCAGCCCCACCGGATGGCCAAGCAGGCCGAGCTCAGGTGAGACATGCAGGTCACAGCAGAGGCAAGGGTGGCCCTGCGGCCCCGGCAGCCCAGCCTCCACCCCCAGCCTCCACCCAGCCCATAGCAGCATCAGCAACAGGGAGGCACAGGGGCTTTTGCCACAGACTCTGCCAGAGGAGGGCATCTGGGCAGGGAAAGATGATGAGGTGGAGATGCCAGGTGGGCAGCCAGGTGGGGAAGGACGGCAGCCAACTGAGCAAGAAGCCATCCAGGGAGTCGCGCAGGGGAGGGCAGGGGTGTCTGCAGTGCAGGACCCAGCCGCCTCTGCTCATCTCTGCTCAGGGTTGGGAAAGCAAAGCCTGGGGAGGCTTTTTGGCTGTTGGTGTCTGGGGAAGCTGGGGTGATTGCTGCCACAGGGGCTGTCCTGAGGTCCTCAGCGTGGTCATTGTGGGGTTCTTCGGGTGTCCTGCTGGGCTTCCTTCTGAGCTTTTCTGGGCACTCAGACTTTCTAGCCCCGCGTCTCCGCAGCCTCAGCAGGTCCCCTTATCACCCTCATTCCCTTATAATCATGGAAGGGTATGGGGAGGCCTCCCAAAAGGCATCCCATTTTAGCAGACCTGGTTATGTACTTCTTCTTCTCAGAGCTCTCGCAGAGCATTCTGCCAGCCTCCAGTTTCTCTAAATTGTCCACTTTCCTGTCCCCTCCAGCTCTCCCCGCTGCCCTGGCCATTTCCAATTTCAGTCGTTACGAGAGTCTGAGAGGGCCCGGCTATGGTCATGGGCCGGAACACAGCTGCGTTTCTGCAAGTCTGTTTCTAAAATCCCCTGAACTGGACTCATTTTGCTGCAATTTTGGATTTGGGTCCCATTTGCTCTGATGGTTTGGCTTCTGGGATGGTCAGAAGCAATCATTTCGCCCATTTCTTTCACTCTCTCTAATTTTCTTCTGATTCCCGATATCTTCTCTGATTTGTACTCAGGGCTGCTCTGCTCTTGGACTGCAGTGCCTGATGGGGGAAGGGGGCGGGCAGGTGGGGAAGGAGGCGGGCAGGTGGGGAAGGAGGCGGGCAGGTGAGGAAGGAGGCGGGCAGGTGAGGAAGGAGGCGGGCAGGTGGGGAAGGAGGCGGGCAGGTGGGGAAGGCCTGCAGGGCTGGAGTTTAGTGCTCTAAGGTCTCAGCTCCTCGGAAACCCATGGGTCTGGGAATTCTTTCTTTTATTGTACCATGAAGTTCTGCAAGGACCCAGGGCTGAAAATAGACACAGTAGTTTTTCCTTGAAAGAGGAGGCTGAGTCTTCAACGGCAATTCTGGGTGGATGCACCCTGTGGGCTCAGTGTCAGGCCCAGAGGAGGCAGAGGCTGGGGATGCAGGATGGGGATGAAGACGTAAGACGTGGCAGGGGAAGTTTAAAGACCACAGGATCTGCAATCTCCCTCGCTCGGCCCATGAGTCCTTCAAGCAAGTTCCTTCAGAGCCAGGACACCTCACCTGGGCAGAGCTCTCACCTTGTTGAAAATGAAAAACAGCCACTGCAATTCTCATCATTCCTGTGACAATTCTTCCGTTTGTTGGAGACGTGCACCGACGTGGACTGCTGTGAACACACATGCGAGGCACTGCAGCCCTGTGCGGTGGAGCAAGGGGAGACGCAGGCCCAACCCTGTAACAGTGTCCAGGGCTCTCACATCTGCGCTGCTGAGACCGGCCTGGTGGGCTGGGACCCACAAGCCCCCTGCCCCTGCTGAACATGGGGCGGGGCCTAACTGTGAGTTTTGAGTGGCATCTCTTAGACACAGACTGACAGAGCAGGTTGTCCCTCCTGCCCTGTGGCCAGCACAGGGAGAAAAGGTGGCCTAGAGCCAGCGTCATCCAGGCAGCAGTGGCCACAGGACCTGGGAGAATCCCATAGCCCTGTGACTGTGGTTGGGGAGGCTGCCTCTAGCTGTTGCCTGCTGCTGCTCCAAACTCCCTCTCTCAGGTAAACCCACGCCCAGAATCAGGAAGGAGATGATGAAAAGGCCGGATTCAGAACCAGCACCAGAGCAGGGCCTGCCCCAGGTCACCAGTGCCGTCTGATGTCACAAAGTGCGTCTACAGCCCCTTGGGTGCCTGGGCTGGGGTCCGGCCATCCTTCCAACTGCTCCAAGTGGAAGGAGACCCCCCAGGAAGTCCCACAAGAGCAGGAGGCCTATCCTAGGTTTCCATGAAACATCTCCACAGCCCTTCCTGAAGCTCTGCTTGCTGCCTCGTGTCTGCTGCACTTTGAGAACCAATGGAAGCTCTCTACGTGTTATCGTGGGTCTGAAGTTCTCGGCCTGATGGTGAAAACATCAAAGCCCAACACAAAACTCTTTTCCTCTGGGTGCATGTGCATGTTTTCTGGAAGAATATCCACAGTATTAACCGAATTTTAAAGACGTCTGTGGTCCCCACACCACCCCCCAAATTAAAAATCTTTGATACTTTTACACACACACCCTCACCCATGTGCTCTCTGTCTTACACACACACACACACACACACACACACACATTTGCTTTGTCAGCAATGACTCCTTTCAGCTAAAGGCAGCCCATGGTACTGGCGCCCCGTGCAGTGAAATCTCCCTGCTCTCGTTGGCCCTCTACCAAACTGCGTTTGAAATGTCCGAGCACCTTCTTCCAGACTCCATCTGCCCGCCAAGCTTCTCTAGGCATTTTATTTGTTTTTCTTGTTGTTTGCTTGGCTAAGAAACCATGCTGGAAATACTAATTCAACCTCTAATGAACCCAAAAGCTTTGGCCACATTTGCCTCTTCCTGTGAGTATGTCTAGCGATTTAGGAAAGTTTTCCAAAAATTATTGGAGGAGCTACTCTGTGTTCTGCTGGAAGAATTCAGCATAGATAGGAACACCCACACGGCCCTCTTTCTCTCTAGCTACTCAGTCCCAGTGCAGAAGACACCCGGCTGCATCTACACCACAGACGGCTGGGTCCAAGGCCTTGAAACAGCAGAGCACGAGGGGCTGCTGTGTGCTTCGTGCCCGGCGTCTGCTGCTGTCTGGAGGACACGTCACCAGCTTCAGTTGTGGAGGGCCTTCTGCCATTTCACCAGGCTTCAGGCCTCTGAAGTGTCCAGCTCCACACTCCCGTCCCTGTCTCCAGTCCAGGAGGCCATGCTTGGTCCCCGCTGTCTATTGGTTTTATTGGTCTTGGAGACAACATTGTTCTGGAGAGGGAGCTGTCTTGGGAGGCAGCCGGGATCGCCAGCTCTCCCCGCCTCCCTGTCTCCCTCATTCCTGGTCCTTGGCTCTGGCTGGCCTTCAGTCACTCAGTGGCTTATGGGTGGATATTTGCCAGTTTGCTTGTATCCAAGCAGTTTTACAAATTCATTAGACAGAAAAAAGAGGCTGCCACGTATTGTAGCAGCTGAATTTAAAAGGCTTTGAAAGGATTGTACTTCAGGAAAGAAGTGTCCCCTCCCACCATCTGTCAGATTTGGAAGAACTTTATTAGGTTGCTGACCCTGCCCCATGCGGCTGACCTGTGGCTGCTCACAACCTGGAGTGTGGCTCTTTCCCCCCTGTCTCTCTCAGCTTCTCACTCACCTGTCCACCTGGTGCACTCAGGTGAGAATCAGGATGCAGATGGTTACAGAGCTATTCATAAAATGAGATTGCATGATTTAGCCAGGAGCATCTGCTGTTGGTGCATCTAACTTCTGCGAGGAGCAACTGGACACTGGCTCATAAACTGCCAGCATTGACAACCATCAGGAACTATGGCCCCAGATGTGATCTGGCGCTTTCCCCACTCAGGGACCGCAGCAAATAATCACGTGGTGTCCCGGGTCGGCACCTGGAGGGGTGGTGGCCGCTCTTTCTGAATGTGGCTCCCATACACATGTGGGAGGGAGCACGAGGGAGGCCATTCCCTGCTGGGCTCCACAGGGCCTTCCGGGCATTCTTTCATGCAGATACTTTAGGTGTTAATAAAAGATGACCCCAACTGTTCTTGTCGGGTTCATGCAAACCTTTCCACATTGTGAAACCCGTGCTCAGTCTCCAGGCTTCCTTATCCATTCTCTGCCACACTCATCTCCAGCCCCGCGCCACTCCTTCCTTCCCTTATCCCTCTCTGCTCTCGGCCTCCAGGGTACCCCTCTCTCCTGGGCCTTCTCCTGAAGCTCTGCTTCTCTTTCTCACAATCCAGACTGTCCCTGGGTGGTGGCCACTCAGCCCCTGTCCTGGAACCTCGTCCGTTCTCCACCTCGGTTCATGCCTTAGGTGATTTCACACGGTGCTATAGCTCGGGATACCATTGTGTGCTAACAACTCCCTGTCCAGAATGCCAGCTCTGCCCCCTCAGTCTCCAGACCGTGTGTGTCCAAGGCCCCTCAGCATCATATACCCAGGAGCAGCTGGAAGTGAAGATGCCCAAACAGGTGCTTGGCTGGTCCTGTCCTCACAGCCCTCTTGGTGTGTTCTCTATCCAATCACTGAGGTCAAAAGACTTGGGCTCTTGTCCTTGTGTCACATTTCCAATCCATTAGCAAATCATCATGGCTCTGTTTTCAAAGTCTATCAGAATCCGACCACTTCCTGCTGTCTGCCATGAAGACCCGAGTTGAAGCTACCTTGATGTCTTGCCTGGCCTATTGCGCAAGGGTCCACCAAGAGACGGGTTTGGTTTTCTTTGACTGAGTTCACTGCTATGATCTCAGGCCCTAGACCAGCATGGCAGGGAGTAGGTGCTCAATAGATATTTATTGAATACATGTAGTTTTTAAACTGGCCTTTTTTCTCCAATCTACTCCCCATAGAAGCATTAGAGTCGTCATTTAAAAATTATATTAGGTTTGTCTTCTGCCTAAAATTTTCCAGTACCTTACCCCCACTCAGGCTGAGGCACAGCATCCTGCACACTGTGAGTGCCTTCACACTGCCCACCTGCCTGGCCCTGGCCCAGCCCTGCTGACCCCCTGCCCTCTTCTTCTCCTACTTTCCCACCGATGCTGCCCAGCCACAGTGGCCTCCTTGCTCTTATGCACACCAAGCAGAGCCTGCCTCAGGGCCTTTGCACACATGCTTTCCCCTGCCCAGACATCCACAGGGCTCAGCCTGTTTTATTGAGCTTTCTGTTCCAATGTGACTTTATCAGAGTAGCCTTCTGTCTTAGGTCATTCTTGCATTGCTATAAAGAAATACCTGAGACTGGGTAATTTATAAGGACAAGAGGTTTAATTGGCTCA
Organism: Homo sapiens; assembly: GCF_000001405.40. Classification (NCBI taxonomy): domain Eukaryota; kingdom Metazoa; phylum Chordata; class Mammalia; order Primates; family Hominidae; genus Homo; species Homo sapiens. The sequence continues at coordinate 130,738,977 of NC_000010.11, read as the reverse complement.
TGGTTCTGCAGGCTGTACAGGAAGCACAGTGCCAACATCTGCTTCTGGGGAGGTCTCAAGAAGCTTCCAAGCATGGCAGAAGGTGAAGAGAAGGCAGGTGTCTCACCTGACAGAGCAGAAGCAATGGGCAGGGAAGGTGCCACACACTTTTAAATGACGAGATCTCCTGACAACTCATTCACTGTGATGAAGACAGCACCAAGCCACAAGGGATCCTCCCCCATGACCCAAACACCTCTCACGAGGCCCCGCCTCCAAAGTTGGGGATTACATTTCAACAGCACGTTTAGAGAAGACCCACATTCAGACCACAGCACCATCCTTCACCCTCCGTGATGTTTATTTTCCATTTGCCCCTCCATATACCCTTCTCGGAAGGCACAGACCCCATAACCAAAGCTCTCGTGCCTCTGGCTTCTGGTTGGGCTCAATGGAAGGCAGCAGCATGAGACAAGGAGGGAGGAGGGAGAAGAGGGGGTCAGGGCCTTACCCCTTGGCCCCTTGCTACCTCTCTTTGACTCTGGCAATAAATGCATCTCTCTACCTATGACTGCAGCCCCAGTAGGCAGCCCCTTTTTCCATACTCACAGCTCTTACCAGTTCTGGGAACACTGCTCTTTTCTTTTGCCTCCTCAGGTTTAAAGACGTTCATGGCTCGATGCTGTTTCCACTCCTGACGGCTCCACCATTGCTTCTGGGCTCCTTTAACTCTTCATGCAGCTCTATAAATGATCCTCCTGCTAGCTCTCTGTAGTTAAACTCTGTGAGGTTGCCCTCTGTGTCCTGCTGGGGTCTTGATTGATACAGCATCCTACTTAAAACAGCTCTTCCTTCCATGTCTGCCTGCCTTTGCATTATTTTTCATTGAAACTTCTGTTAGCCGGGCATAGTGGCATGTGCCTGTGGTCTCAGCTACTCAGGAAGCTGAGGCGGGAGGATCGCTTGAGCCCAGGAAGTCAAGCCTGTAGTGAGCCAAGATCCTGCCACTAAGATCCAGCCTGGGCAACAGAGCGAGATCCTGTCTATGAAATAAGTTAATTAATTAGTAAACTTTGGTGGTACCTATTACACATCGACTGCTTTAACAATGTATTTTCCCTGTCGTTTGGGAAGAAGAGGCAACATGCTTGGTCGCTGTCTGTGGTCCTGAAATGTCTTTCCCTATGAGGTTGGGAATGTGTCTTTTGGAGGCTGATCTCTGTCCCCCCATGTGATGCTGTGCTTGCACAAAGCATCATGATTCTGCTTCCATGTCCTATCCATTAGGTTTTAAACCTAGGCTAGGTCTGCACAGCTTGAAAACTGGGGCCTTCTCCTTGGCAGTGGCACCTCCCGAGGGTATAACAGACCCTCAAGTTTCTTGAGACCATCGTCCTCGAAGGGAATGCACATCCACAGCCCCCCATGTCCTCTTCCTCTCATAACTGCTCACTGCAACCAAGAACCATGAATCGAAGGCCTAAGTTGCATAACAGATTTGACTCCTCCAAGGAGGCCCTCCCTCTCCACTAGAAACCCTCATTGCACAAGCAGAGCTGAAACACAGAGGCAGCTCCAAGCACTGGGGAAGAGCTCTCATCTCCCCCAGCCTCATCAGCATGAGAGCGGTGCTGCTAATTAAATCAATTGTCCAGATGGCTTGGCAAATTGCTCAAGCCTCCCTTAGAAAGAAATCTCATGCCATTTAGTTGGAGCAATAATTTTTTATGAATAAAATAATTAGAAAAATATATGTAAATGGAATATAATAATCCATTAGCAAAAATTATACCCTTGTCTTTTTTCCCTTTAACTGTGAAATACTGAGAGGCAGGATGCCACTCAGAGACCTCCTGAGTCATCGTAAGAAAGCCGTGGAGAAACGCTTTGGGGACATCAGGATTTACACTGGTTATTTAAGTCATGGGATGTTCCATTTCCCACCAGCCAAGGAGGATACAAGGTTCAGGGTTCAAATCTGAAAAAATATCAGGCATCAAGTCACCATGTGGTCCTGGTTAAGCCAGCAGAGATCCCTCTAAGCTTCAGACTCCTCACCTCTGAAATTTGTTAGGGAATTAAAAGGGTTGCAGAATTTTGGACAGTGGCCTGTGTTTCCAGGATAATAGACATTTGCTGCACAGCGTTATTTGAGAATGCATTGGCATGTGCTGTGATTAGGAAATAAGCTAAGCCCTAATGTGCTGGGTTGTGCCATGAGAGATTAAAGGCCATGGGAGGGCTGATTGGCCAAGAAGAACAAGGGGCTGTGGGTGGACAGAAGCTGTTGCAGGGCAATGACCAGGGAGTGTGTCCTCAGACACCCCAGGAGACTTGTGTGTCCTAAACTTCCCAGGAACACGTGGCATGGCAGCAACTCCATGCACAGGAGGAAGACTGGGAGGGCTGCCTTCACACATGGGCTCAGGAGAAAGGTCTAGAAGGATGTGCAAGCATGTGGCAGGGCTAGGACAAACTCCCCAGGACTGCTCAATGGATGGGGTGGGGCTGGGTGGGGAAAAATGCACTATTTTAGTAGCAAATCCCAGAACCATGCTAGGCTTCCTTCTTCAATGCAGGGGTGTTTCCCCATGGCGGGGGCTGCATGTTCTGTAATAGCCCTCCCAGCCTGGACTGACATTGCATCTTCCCAGGGCCCCAGCTGGATTCCGACCTCTGTCTTTCTTTCCTGCATGAGCCTCCTCTCCTCCAGCGATCCTGTCTTCCTTCCTGCCAGCCTTTGCCCTCCTTTGGTCGCTCCTAAAGCCCATCATCCTTTGGTCACTCCTAAAGCCCATCATCCTTTGGTCGCTCCTAAAGCCCATCATCCTTTGGTCGCTCCTAAAGCCCATCATCCTTTGGTCGCTCCTAAAGCCCATCATCCTTTGGTCACTCCTAAAGCCCATCATTACTGATCGCCACAGCCCCTCCATACACTCAGGTTCCAGCATCTCCTCTCTGGCCAAAGCCTCTAGCTCCCACCTTCCATCACCCCAATCCCAACACGCCTCCACCCGACCAGCCTTCAGGCTACTGATTTCATCACGACGTCCTCAGTTGTCACCCCCCATGTCCATGCTTTCTCCCTCCCTCAAACTAAACTTAACTCCCTGGTTAATTTTCACAATCACTCCTGTGCATGCTCCCAGATCCTCTGTCCCTCCCTTTCTTTGTTGTACTATATTTGGCTAAATTTCAACCCAGGTTAGATCCAGCTCTCTGCCAGGTTCATTGTCGACTGCCTATGTGACTGAATGTGACTGATGGAACACAGCCTTCCCAACTGGCTCTGCAAATCCAAGTTTGCTGCCATCAAGGCCATTCTGACGCTGCCCAGAAATCTTCAATATTTTATGTTTGGTATATTATTCTCCCACCCTCTAATGCCTCCTTCAAAACTCCTCCTACCTCCTGAAACTTGCAACAGCCCCTTTGCCATGGTACACCTGCTCTCCTTGCCATGGTACACCTGCTGACCTTGCTTCCTGTTTCACCAAGAAAATAGAAAGAATCAGAACACAATTTTCTGTGCCTCCCACCTCTGCCTGCCCATCTGGATCTGTGTCCATGTACTTTACTTCTCTCCAGCGTCACATCCCAACCCCTCCCCTGGTGCCTGTGGGCCCAGCCTCTCTCCTGCTCAAGGACATTGCTATAGCAATTCTCCCCTCTCTCCCCAGCATCATCAAACCTCTCACCGCTGGATCCCTCCAATCTGCACATAAACATGCTGTGGCTTCTCCCCTTGAAAACTAAGAGTAAAACATCTCTCCATCCCTCTTTTTTCTGCAGCTACTGCTCCACCTTCTCCCTCCTTCCTTTAACAGCACAACTCCAAAATTAAAAAAAAAAAAAGAAAAAAGAAAAAAAGCTGCGTTGCCTGTAGTTTATTTTGAATCTAATCCAAGAAGGTTTTGGTTCTTGGCATTGGCTGATGTTATGTTCATCCTGATGGGGGAGAAGAAAATGAAAATCATAACAAGAGGTGAACCCCGGTCTCAGGAAGTGGTACCCACCCACCCAGATGCTTCAACCCCAATCCAAGTGGCTGCCTTTGATCCCCTCCTTACCACCAGCTCCACATCTGAGCCCTCAGCTGCTCACATGGGCTCTACTCGCTCCACAGTAATTCCTGAGTCTTTCTTCACTGGACCTCACCATCCAAGACCAAACTGCCCTGCTGTCTGGTCTCTTGACCTGCCCTCTCATGGCCCCTCTCTACATGACAACTTGAGTGATTTGATGGAGAGTACAATCTGAGCATAAATGTCTGGTTTAAACACCTCGTGCCTTCCCGCCATGCTGGAATGAGCCACATTCCCCTTCATGCCTATGGGGTCTCATAACATGGCCTCCGTCCGCCTGCTTCTGCAACTTCATCCCAAACATGCCACCAGCAGACAGGATGCTCTAGCCACTGTCAGCCTTCCCTCCTTCCCTGAAACAAGTCTAACCTGTTTCCACCCCAGCTGCTTGGCATCTGTGAGTTTCCCCATTTAGAATGCTCTCCACCAAAGCGCCCTATGCCTTTTCCCTCCTTGCCGTCCAGGCTTGCCTCAACTGTCCCCAATTCATAAGGCCTCACTGTCACCACCATGGGTACCACTGCCCATCACTGTCCATCACGTTCTTCTCTTCCTTTTCCATATAGAGCTTTGTTTTGGGGGTTGTTGTTGTTGTTTGAGACAGGGTCTCACTCTGTCACCCAGGCTGGAGTGCAGTGGTGCAACCTCCGCCTCCTGGGTTCAAGTGATTCTCCTGCCTCAGCCTCCCGAGTAGCTGGAATTATAGGCATGCGTCACCACACCCAGCTAATTTTTGTATTTTCAGTAGAGACGGGTTTTCACCATGTTGGCCAGGCTGGTCTAGAACTCCTGACCTCAGGTGATCCACTCACCTCAGCCTCCCAAATTGTTGGGATTACAGGCATGAGCCACCGTGCCCAGCCTCTTTTCCATAGAGCTTTGATTGTCATCAGAAATGTCTTATGTGTTTTTCCCATCTTCATGAGAACACCACTTCCACGAAAGCAGCTTCCTTGCTATTGTGTTGGACACGGCATCCCCAGCACCTAGAACAGTGCCCAAGACAGTGGGTACTCAATGGGGACATGGGGGAATAAGTGGAAAGCGATAGCGCCTATCTTGGGCACTTCTTTGAAGCATCATTTTGTTGTTGTTGTTCTTTATAAATTTTATTGATATAACAGGTATGTAGCATATAATCTACAAATATTAATAAAATGCGAAACACATGTATTGTAAATTCTGTATAGCTAAATATATCTCAGGGAATTTTTTTTCTAACATCTTGTATCTGTAGGTGACCTATGATTGCAAGTATCAATGAGTGTAGTTCTGACATGACTATGGGTTGATAATTTTATTTATGTTAACAAGTAACATGAAAAGGAAACAGCAAATATTTCTGTCAGAATTTCAAATGTTCATAAGTGACAAGTGAATTCTTTGCTCACTTAAATTACAGCTTTGAATACTGGAAGAAAATATCCCCATGTATTTGTGTGTACATATGTGTATGTGCTGTTCACATGGTGATGTCAGGTTTTAAGAGCATCAAGAGAGACAAACCCTGACCCGTGGAGCTTTTCAAACTTCTCCTTGAATATTTGCTTATATCCCATTAGTCAAAGCAAATCACATGGCCAATCTCAAAGTCAGAGTGAGTGGGCACTAAAAATTACAGGTTGAGGGAACCAATATGGATACAGGAAAGAAATAATTCTTGGTCATGTATATATTCAATCCATCATGATGCCTTCAGCCATATGTCATAGAAAGCTCACATAACAATGGTAAACTATAAAGATATGTAATGTATTTCACATGGAGTTTGTAGGTAGGAGGTTCTAGAGCATCTTCTTCAGCTCCACAATCTTCCATTGCAAGGTTGGTGTCTCTAATTCCCTTGACTTTATCCTCTTGATCATTTTTGCAAGGCTCACCTCTTAACTCTCACAACAACACTACAAGGTCACACCTTACTATTCCAACTTTAAAAGTGAGAAAACTGAACCCCAGAAAGATGTGTGGTTTGTCCATAGCCACAGAGCGAGGCAGCACCAAAGCCAGTGTGGGAGCCCTAGTTTTCCTGACACCAAAACCGAGCTGGTTTTTGTAGATTTTACTTGAGAACAAGAAACATGGCATCAAGTAGTCAAGCATAACTTTGATTTTCTCTTTCTCCCTGAAGCACGGAAAATAGAGGACAGTTAAACGGTTCAGCCACCAAAAAATGGAATGAAATAAAACATACCATGGGAAAATCATTTCAATTTTTCTCCGCATGGTTTCAAGCAGAGCACTCGTTCTTATACTCTCATGCCGATCAAAACAAAGCAACTATATTTTCATATAGAAAGTGGCACTTTCTCTTTTTAAAATTTGTGTGTGAAAGTGCCTTTTAAACTTCCTTTTTAATGCTGTTTGACATTATGAGAGGGGAAAGTGGTAAATTGGTGTCACACTCTTCATCATGACTTGGAAAAATAGTTGTGTTAAGCACTAAGCCACATCCTCGGGTACTGTGTAATTATTTCCCCAGGAATATGCATGTTGGCAGTTGTAAAAGTTGTACTGTACTTTATCATGCTAATCAAATAATGCCTTGCAGAGAGCAATGGCAGCTCAATATTTTAATCCAGCTGGTAGAGCATTGTATACTTTATTTCATCGAAAGCCATTGTCAAATAGCATGATAATATTCAGGGGGCCCCGGAGCATGCAGGAGATCGATGCTCTCCTGTCCATCCTTCTTAGTATTTCACATATCTGCAGCATCCTTGACATGGAAGCAAATCTGCCCATCACCCCATTGGGCCTGGCAGGTTAAGGCTCGATGGGAGCTCCCTCACACATTTCCCTGTGCCTCTCAATTGTATTTTCAGTGGTGCTTTAAGAACTTTGACTATGAGCCGGACACAGTCCTGTAATCCCAGCACTTTGGGAGGCTGAGGTGGGTGGATCATTTGAGGTCAAGAGTTCGAAACCAGCCTGGCCAACATGGTAAAACCTCATCTCTACTGAAAATACAAAAATTAGCCAGGCATGGTGGCATGCACCTGTAATCCCAGCTACCTGGGAGACTGAGGCAGGAGAATCGCTTGAATCCAGGAGGCGGAGGTTGCAGTGAGCTGAGATTGCTCCACTGCACTCAAGCCTGGGTGACAAAGCAAGACTCCATCTCAAAAAAAAAAAACTTTCACCATCACTTGAAAATAAGTTCCCACCTCCTAGCCTCCCCAGATTTGATGTTCCAAGGCCAGGAAGACCCAAGAATGGCTTACTCAACTGATTTCACCCAGGAGCCCATCAGACACATGAGTTCAGTCTCACACTCTGAGAGTGTGTCTGCCAGGCCTGCTCACAACAAGTGTATAAATCCAGGTACACGGTGTGGTGACACGGGCAACCTCCTGGGAAGTGTTGACAGGCTCTTCCATCTTAAATGGATGGCCACTCTCTTTCCGGTCATCACCCTCACCTGTCCTTCCCTTTATGAGTTTCTTTCCTTCCCCACAGGGATGCATTAGGTTAAGTGCAGCAAGGATGACAGTCAGTAGTTTCAAAAAGACAAATCAACACAAATTCCTTTGTAACCAATTTTTCTTTTTCCTATCAGAGAAAGCCAAGATAAACCGGTCATACAGAAAGAGCATTGCACTAACGGGTGTATATATGATTGCAAGAGTTTAAGGATATTTTCTAGTTAGAACTATAAAGGAAATTGCCCTCATAGCTTTCCATTTTTTCTTGACATGTTTCTATAAGAAGACAAAATTTTCTCTTAAGGCACAGACGACCTTGATTGCTTGGAGCTTGCAATTTCTGTTCCTAATTACTAAATTAATTACCTCTGGATGTAGCAATGTGTTTTCTAAATAGATAAATGCTGTTGTTTTAAATATGGTTATGGTGTGAGTACATTTTAGCATGTACAGTATTTGCCCTTCCTTCATTCTTTTAGAATTAACTGGGTTTTGAATTAGGCATGCTGTTTACTAAAAGTACCACTTTCTTTCATTTATTCAACAGTGTTTATTTTCCTTTTTTTTTTGAGACAGAGTCTCACTCAGTCACTGAGGCTGAATGCAGTGGCGCAATCTCCACTCACTGCAATCTCCGCTCACTGCAATCTCCGCTCACTGCAATCTCCGCTCACTGCAATCTCTGCTCACTGCAATCTCCTCCGCTCACTGCAATCTCTGCTCACTGCAATCTCTGCTCACTGCAATCTCCTCCGCTCACTGCAATCTCTGCTCACTGCAATCTCCTCTGCTCACTGCAATCTCTGCTCACTGCAATCTCTGCTCACTGCAATCTCCACTCATTGCAATCTCCTCTGCTCACTGCAATCTCCGCTCACTGCAATCTCTGCTCACTGCAATCTCCTCTGCTCACTGCAACCTCTGCTCACTGCAACCTCTGCTCGCTGCAATCTCTGCTCGCTGCGATCTCTGCTCACTGCAATCTCCGCCTCCTGGGTTCAAGCGCTTCTCGTGTCTCAGCCTCCTGAGTAGCTGAAATTACAGGCATGCACCACCACACACAACTCATTTTTGTACTTTTAGTATTTTGCCATGTTGGCCAGGCTGGTCTCAAACTCCTGACCTCAAGGGATCCACCCACCTTGGCCTCCCAAAGTGCTGGGATTACAGCCATAAGCCACTCTTCCTGGCCTATTTTTGTTTTCTGTAGCCAAAATTTGATATTGTTTGGATTCATTCTTTTCTAACATAACATGAATGCACCCCATCTCATTGCAGCTGTTATAGAGTTGGGTAAGGCATTGCCCTTTGTTCTCAGCTCCAGTCTTGCACTGCAGAAAAGCCACCAGCTCTGTCCACTGCAGTTTCTTCTAACAGATGGCACCCTGCAGCTGGCTCCCCACTTTGGTCCCTGAGCACAGCCTTCAGGACTGTGCCTATGGTGGGGCCTCAGTCCCAGGAGCCAGGTCTCATGGTGCATCTTGGAGGCATGGGACCAGGGGAAGGGTTGGTGAGCTGCTCCTCCTTGAATCCTTGTAGAGAGTCAGAGCCACCAGCTGGGCTAATGTCTGCAGCTCCCCAGAGATGCTCAGAGGCAGGTTGGTGGTGAAGGTAACTTAGGCCAATGTCCCCCACTTTGCACCACTCCTGTGCAAGGACATTTCAACAGTGTGCTGTCCTCAAGAGAAATATGCTGGGCACCTAGCAAGGTGGTAAGATAAAGAGGCAGTCTGGGCGTGGTGGCTCATGCCTGTAATGTCAACACTTTGGGAGGCTGAGGAGGGAGGATCACCTGAGGTCAGGGGTTCAAAACCAGCCTAGCCAACACGGTGAAACCCCGTCTGTTCTAAAAACACAAAAATTAGCTGGGTGTGATGGTGCACACCTGTAGTCCCAGCTGCTTGGGAGGCTGAAGGAGGAGAATCACTTGAACCCAGGAGATGGAGGTTGAAGTGAGCCGAGATTGCACCACTGCACTCCAGCCTGGGCAACAAAGTGAGACTCTGTAAAAAAAAAAAAAAAAAAGCAACATCAGCTGTATCTCTAGCCCTGAGTGAAGTTTCCGTGGGACTCTGGTAGGTCATCTGCTCTCTCTGGGATGACCCAGGAGGGCTCTGCATGTCTGTCAGTCCACACGTGGGAGGACCCTGGGAGGCCAAAGCTGCAAGCCAGGGACACGGGAAGATCTCTAGGGGAAGGAGTGGGCAGCACAGGCTCTTCTGAATAGATGGCCAACGATGGGTGCTGGCGAGGGAGGAAGGCACCCACACCAGGCCTCCTTTCTTGGGGAGCTGGGATGTCTCTTCTCCTGCAGTGCGTGCATAGGCCAATGGTCCTGAGGGCAGTGTGATGCATCCCCACCTGAAGCCAGGCCAGCTCCTCCACCACGAACACTTATGGGAGGGCATCGGCCTCCCTGCACCTCTTCCCCGTCTGCCCGGAGGCCCCAGCGGCCACTCCACACTGTGCCAATCCACACAAACCTCTCCAGAGCCCCTGGCGGGCTGCACCCAGCAGGACTTTGGTGCAGGGAGGCTGCGCTGAGAGCGGCAATCAGCCTGGTTCCAGGGTAGGGGGCAGGATTGGGGGCTGTGTCCTCCCTCTGCTGCTTTTCTGATTTCATGAACTTTTCGAGAGGAGCTATAGTCAAGCAGTTGACCTTCTCTGCCTGAATGCAGCTGAACTGGATGGGAGGGTATCTGTGAGACGCGCTTGCACTGCAGCTGAGGAGCCCGTGAACGTGGGCACCCTGCCCAGGCCACCCGCCCGAGGCCACAACCCCCGCGCGCTGACCCGACACTGCGTGCCCACTGGCCTCCAACAGAAGCCCAAAGCAGCTCTTAGTGTGCAAGTTACTATCACATAAAATCTCTTTCATTTGTAGAAATGGGCCCTGTTGCCCCAGCCTGTCTTTCTGGTTCTGTGAACGACTCAGGCACCCCAGTTAGCACAGATGCGTTTTTTCCTCTTTTCCCTACTGTGTGACCTCAGATAACCCTTAGGGTTCATAGAATTACCGTAGCCCTTATCATCAGTGTCACACGTGAGCGTCCTCCTCTGCACAGTGGGAGTGACATGTATTTCCCAGAACCCGTGTGGGAGCCGACACTGCCATCCTTGTGAAGTGCCTGCCAAACGCTGCTTGGTGTGAGGCAGACACTTAACCCAGGACAGGATGCTGAGCAGCCACAGGGAGCCCATCTCCTCTCTCCTGCCTGATTAAAAGCCCTGGGCGGGAATTATTTCTGTGACTGTCCCACCTGCCAGAGCTTCACAGAGCTCAGCGAGGCAGTGCTTGAGCCCTCTGAGTTGGACCAGTCAACCCAGAGCTGGCCCACCCTCCTGGGGGAGCCTGTTCTTCCCCCAAAGCTTCCCTCCAGGAGCACCCCCGGGAACTGAAATACTAACCTCCACCCTCAGAAAAGCACAGCTGCCAATAGCTGAACAGTGCCTTCAAAGAGGCTGCCCGAGCCACGAGCCCACCGTCATCCACTCTGCTTTGTTCACTTGGGGCCACGGCCTCTTCTCTATCCCTGGGCCTGGGCCTGGTCACTGAGGCATCAGCTCACTCTGTGGGGAGGGCCATGCCCCATTGCGGGGGCTCTGAGAGTTTTGCCACCAACTGCACTTACACACTCGGAGGATCTTGATTAAGTATCTACTGGATGCCAGACCTGAGCTACTGCCATGAGGTGGGCCCTGCATGGGATATTCAGGATCTCCCCCTCTAGAGGCTCGAAGCCTCATAACTGCTGAACTGTAGGGGAAGGATGGCTGGAGGGGAAGGACAGAAGCGTCGCATTCCTTGGCCTAACTCTAGGCCACGTGTGCCGGGGCTACACTGGCATTCATGCCAGGCCCTGCTCCCCAGGCCGTGTGAACTCTGCTGGCACAAGCCATCCCTCATATGCCTCTGGGACCCCTGAGCCCTCAGCGCGCGCCTTCATTGCACCTGCTCTGGGCCAACACAGCAGGCAGCAGACAACTCCACCTGTACCAGGAGCGACGCAGGCAACAAGCCGCCCTGAGGGACCCTCTGTAGGCTCAGAGATCAGCAGGGCAGGTGCTCGTGAGGGAGAACTGGCCACTAAATCTGCAGGCACCTTTGCTAACTTTGTTTGCCATGTCATCCTCAGGAATCCCTGAAAGGAGGCGGAATTACTTGCGTTTTACAGTTGAGAACATGGGTCTCAGCAGAACAAATCTCCTTATTCCACAGCCACATGGTACCGAGGGATGGCACTGGGATCTGAGCTTTAGCTGGCAAGCCCTGTCCCTGCGGTGCCCATCCTGATGGCCAGGCCCCAGCCGCCCCACGGAGGCGCCCGTGGAGTCTGCCCCTTGGTGCTCAGAGCACGCCCTCAGACTCATCAAGTTAAACCTCCTCGTTATGGTGCTTTTATAACTGGGCATTACTGCAGATGAAAAATTTTGAAAAGATAAAATAATTTTGACTCGATTTTGCTCTTGTCATTATGGAGAGCAATGAATCACTGAAACAATCGCGGGTGCCAGCCGTTTTCATTTCATGCATTGTTTCAGAGGGAAACGTTCACTCTGCACCATTCTGCAGCGTCCTGTCTGCTCTCAGGAGCACACCCTTTCCTGGCTGGCGTGGTGTAACGTGGCCGTGGTGGCACGCAAGAAACCCTCACCAGGAGGGGGCTTCAGAATGATGCCATCTTCTGTGCTAAACAGTTACTGAAAATAACAGGATCTGGAAAAGACACTTCTGTTAAATTCCCCAAATGGACTTGCCTGTGGGTCCTTTAGAAAACAGCCTGATGAGACCGTGAATTGGAGCTTAACTCTCCCACCTGCCTCAGGAGCTGAAATAAAAATGAGGAATGACTGCAATGCTGCTCCACTCAACTCCATTTTAATTGAAAATTATGTCTAAGATCGCTGCCTATCTGGACTTCACCTGTCTCCCTCTTTTCAGAGTGCATGGATTTATGCACCTGCTCATATTAAGAGCCTCACTATTTCCCATAAATATGCACGGGTTCCTGTTTGTTTGTACAATAAATATTACAAAGATCATAAGGAAATTAAAATGGAGCTTGAAGATGGCTGTCCTCCGATGATAAACTACATATGAATCATGTCCCCAAGAACTATTATCCCCAAACATCGGGGACCCTATATGAATATGTTTACTCCTTGGTTCTAAATTGCAGAAGAGAGAACCTCCTAATGGATTTATAGTTTATCAGTGAGTTTCAGGGAAGCGAGAGATGGATGGGTTCTCTCCAATAGTGTATTCATTTACAAACAATCAACCACTGTTCAATTTTGCAGTCTATTTGTTTTGGCAAACGGGAGCACTAGTTATAATTCACTTGGTTTTTAAAGATAAACATATTATCTACACAAACATAGGAACGACATTCCTGTAGATCAAGTTAATCAAGAGGTATTTATAGAGATGTTTTAAGGTAAAAATATCAGTTTTCCTTCTTAAGCATTCCATTTCTTTCTTGGGGACAGGGACATTTGTCTAAAGGTATAGATTTAAATAAAATTAGGTTTGCATTATAAATTAAATGGCTGTAAAGCGAAGCATGACTTGAGGATTGCTTTCGAATTGGGCAATGAAATAGCCAGTCCTCTTGGAATGCACCTGCACCTCTGCCGTGAGCAGCTCTGCCCTGACAGCGTAGCTGGTGTTGGAGGCTGAGAGCTGCAACAGCCTCACCTGACCCGGGTGGGGTGTGGAATGCCAGCCCCACACCAGCAGGCACACTGCTATGCTACTGCTGTGTCCCAGGGCCTGAGAGCATCCTGGTCCACAGTAGATGCTCAGTACATATTTGCTGAATCATCAAAGATGCAATGAAAACATTCCCACAAGGGACAATATTGGTTGAATCGCATGGGATAATAAATGGGGAGCATGACAGGCACCCCAAGGCCCTTAGGGTCAGCATCCAGCCCGGGCTCCAAACTGGTTCCACTGAGTCCTTTCTCAATAGACTGAAGCCAGTCCAGGTGTCAATCTCAAGGCTTTCTGAGGATCATCCTGGACTCAGGCGGAGACCGCACAGCAGCCCCTCCCAGGGCAGAATGCTCAGGAAGCTTGGCTGAGTATGGGAGTCAACTGCAGCTGCCAGAGCCTGAACCTGCCGGTGGACTGGTGACACCAAGACACTGCTCATGTGGGAATATCTGCTTTCCCTTCATCTATGTGACCTATCCAACAGGCTGCAGGCCCTATGCCCCCCAAAATGTGGAGGTGTCCACTTGGTATGCCTCAGACCAAGAGCTGGAAAGGATACTCTTGGGTGGCCCCATGGGCTAGAATTAAGACAGGTCAAGAGGGAGAAAAGGCCACTGGGTGGGATTAGGTTATAGCTGCGCTTTCAGCAGCCATCTCTAGTGGAAAGGCAGTCAGGCTCACTGTTCTGGGCGAGATGAGAGGACACACGTGCTGGAGGGGGTGGGATAAGGTGGGGGAGGAGCTCAGGGTTGTGGAGCATGTGGGTAGATCTGCAGAACCTGCCAGGCCTTTTGCGTGTTAGGGGCCCTCAGCCAATCTTGCTGAGAGTGTACTGGACTCAGGGGAGACCAATCCCACAGGTACACTATAGCCACCCAGTGCATCTTCTCCCAACAGGAGACAGATATTCCAACCTGCGTGAAAAAGATCCAGTTCAGGATGGAACAGGCCCCCTGTCCCAAATGTAGCTCCTTTGAATTTCCTCTGACCATGTCCCTCAGACTGTGTAACCTCCACTGTGCTAAATAGGAAAGATTGGGATTGCTGTGTAGTGGAAGGGACTCCACTTTACACATCTGCATGAGTCTAGCAGGAAGCAGATCTCTGGCAGATCAACATTTTAAAAAGGAATAGATGGGAGGACAAGGCGGGCTGACTGCTTGAGCCCAGGAGTTTGAGACCAGCCTGGCCAACATGGCAAAACTCCATCTCTACTAAAAATACAAAAATTAGCTGGGCAGGGTGGCGCATGCCTGTAATCCCAACTGCTAGGGAGGTTGAGGCACAAGAATCACTTGAGCCTGGGAGGCAGAGGCTGCAGTGAGCAGAGATCATGCCACTGCACTCCAGCCTGGAAGACAGAGTGAAACCGTTTAACAGCAACAAAAAGAAAAACTGTAGGAGGACATTTATCTGGGGGCCAGCTGGCAATTCCACCAAATGCCCATGGCTATTCTCACAGCACAGCTATGGGCAGCTTCTCTCCAGCCATGGCTTGGAGAGAAGAATGGTCTTGGGCACTGCCCACCATGCCACAGCTTCCTCCATATTGCATAAGGCTTGCCTCAGCAGGTGAGATGCTCATGCAGGTGGAAGAGCTAGGTGCAGCCAGCCTGAAGCACCTGCATTAGACACAACCCACCTGAAGCAGAGGGTCCACAGAGATGAGAGGTACTGCTGCTCTGGGCCCACCACTGCCTGCACCTTTCCCCGGTAAAGACCAAGAGGCACTCAACTGCCCAGCAATACCAGGACTGGAGCTCTGGCTTCCCTGTAGGAGACGAATGAGTAGCCAAGCCCAGGCCCACCCCTCCCTGGAAAAGCCTGCCTGGATGGCCTTCCACAAGGACCACCAGGGAGCGAGGACTGCTCCAGCCTGCAGGGAACCCTTCTGGTCCCTGCTCAGCCTCTGCTGCTGACCCTGGTTGATGCTCCCAGAGCCTGGGGGCTGCTCCATGTGCAATGAGATGGAAACCTCATGTCCTTGCTGCAAGAAAGATATGACTCAAGGTCATCTCACTGAATCCTCCTCCAGGTCCTGATAACTAGAAACCTACTAATTTCATTGTTTTTATATAACAAGAATCTGCAGTTCCAAGGGATTAATTAACTCCAGAATCACAGTTGCTAATTAATGGAGCCAGTTTTAAAGCTCTTACCCCAAATCCTACCACCTCCATGAAGAAATAAGACCTTTGCCTTATTAACCAGGAAAGCTTTGGGGTACAAATGGTCTGTGAATGAGTGATCTGGGGACAGGGATCACTTTTCAGAACTACAGGAGTTTATAGGAAACAAGATCTGTGACTGCCTTCCTGCCACACACACACACACACACACACACACACACACACAGTAAACCAAAAATAAAATTCTAAGTCCCCCAACTGACTGAATGGACTCCTCCTCTTGGCCAAAGGGATTCCAAAGCAACCTAAAAAATCCTAGTTCAGGCCATGATGGGAAGTGGGGGTTGGACTGCCTCGTTATACCTTCCTTCCTCTGGAATTCAGGCACAACTGACCAGCACTAATGTGAAAGCAGAGATCTTAAGACTGACAAAGCAGACTCTTGATAGCAATAAGGTACCACATTCTAACCTGACTCGAGCATAAAACCACATGACAGATAGCAGGCCCTGAAAGAAATCAAAGTATCTTACCTCAGGATATATTTTTTGACCTATTCTGAAATGGCCCTGCAAAGCTATCTCTTGTGGGAGAAATTTACATTCTGTGGAGAATCGCCTTCACTTCCAGGTCATTTTCCGATCCTGAAAAAAATTAACTGAGAGCCTAGCACCTTTTAAAAGTCTCAACAGGAAACATTTGCCACCTATTGCTTCTAAGGGCAGCCACCCAGGAGACTTTATCTAGATAATAAGAACATTGGTCTCTAAAATTCCTTATCTTAACCCAGACACTCCTTTCTACTGATTCCAGTTCTTTAGATAATAATTTAACTATTTCAGCCAATTGCCAATCAGAAAATCTTTGAATCCACCAGTGTTTTGGAAGCACCTGCCTCACCACCACTTTGAGATGTCCCACCTTTCCAGATGAAACCAATGAATACTTCACATGTATTGATTGATGTCTTATGTCTCCCTAAAAGGTATAAAACTAAGCTGCCACCCAATCACCTTGGGCAAATGTTCTCAGACCTCCTGAGGCTGTGTCATGGGTCACAGTCCTCACATTTGGCTCAGAAAAAAAATCTCTTCAAATATTTTACAGAGTTTGGCTTCTTTCACCAGCAACACACATGAACACACATGCACACGCAGACACACACACATTAGTGATGTTCACAATGGCTTCTCTGAACCCTAGCGTCTCAAGGTCAAAGAGCATCCCACCAATGACCACCTTTTCTGCACAGTCCTTTCAAAATAATGGACGGAACACGGCCGTGATTTGAAACGGCCTCCTCTTCGGCACTCTGTGGCAGCTCGTCATCCGCACGGTGCAATCATTTTGGCAGCTTCTCTAAAAGAAGGTTGCCCTTTTTGGAGTGTAGTTTGCAAAGTAAAACTGCTGAGGCATATTCGTGGGCTGAGACTCTTTAGGCCCCTTTGTCAGGAAGGACTGAACTGGGCTGCAATCGGCTCTTTATTCTGGTGTCGCCGCTGGGTGCCTCCCTCCATCCTTGCCTTCAGGCATCTGCGGCCATCTGTTCTTCCTTCACTAATTAGGACGTAGGAACTGTCTTCCCTCCGTTGCCAGGTAGGTACACAGAAATATGGCAAGTTGTGGCTCTGAGCAGAGCCTGTCCCAAGCCCAGGCCTGGCCACAAAACATCAGCGTCAAGACCAGAGGGGACAGGAAAACATAGAAATCAACACCTCTAGTTTTTATGAAAAACTTTATAAAGAAAGTTTAATTTAAAAATCCCTCTATGCTAAAGAGTAAATTATCTGTGAATTTTGCAAAAAAAAAACTGTAACCCAAACATCTAGGTAAATGGAATGGCTTCTGCGCACACACACACACACACACACACACACACAAAGCACACACATGTGCACACATGCACAAATGCACATGCACACACACCAAACACTCACAGGTGCACACACACATCTCCATGCCTATGAGACTAGGAGCCACCCACGAGCCAGACTCCCTCAAAACTCCACCCAATAATGGGAACAGGGACACCAGTGAATTTGATCAGGCCCTGGTGGCAAACATCCCCCTCAGGAAAGGCAGATGCTCTCATATGTTACTGAATTCTCTGGGTATCCTGGTTCCTAATCTATAAGTCAAGGTGACTAGTGGCAAGCCCTCAGAAAAAAAAAAGGGGATTTGGGTCCCAGACGAACAGCTCTGGGACATCCCAGCTGCCCACTTTTAATCTCTTCTAAGTGAGGAGAAAAAGCAGGCTTGGAGTAGAGGACATTAGTACAAGCCCTGGCTGTGGCTGGGCACCACCACTCATAATAGGAAAGTAGCAGCCAGCATGGTGGCTCACACCTGTAATCCCAGAACTTTGGGAGGCCGAGGGGCATGGATCGCCTGAGATCAGGAGTTCAAGGCCAGCCTGGCCAATATGGTCAAATCCTGTGTCTACTAAAATACAAAAGATTAGCTGGGCGTGGTGGCGCATGCCCGTAATCCCAGCTACTCGGGAGGCTGAGGCACGAGAATCACTTGAACCCAGGAGGTGGAGGTTGCAGTGAGCCTAGATTGTGCCGCGGCACTCCAGCCTGCACAGCAGAGTGAGACCCCGTCTCAAATACATACATACATACATACATACATACATACATACATGAAATAAAAAGATTAAAAATTTTTTAAATGAAAGTAGAAGTGATCATTTAAAATTCCTAATATAAATATTAGTTGCCTTAAAAAATAAGCCTACCTCAGCCTTTCTACCTGGTGGTGGTGTGTGGGGTGTCTGTTTGTGGGGTGTCTGTGTGTAGGGGGTGCAGGGGTATCTGCGTGGGGGCTGTTGGTGTGGGGGTGTCTTTGTGTGGTTATTGGTTTTTCCCGGCAGCCAGAACATGAATGTAGCTGGATTGTGTGGCTGGAACCACTGGGCTTCAAGAGAATATCATTTAAAAGTGATTTTTTTTCAAAGAGTATGATCGATGAAGAAAAAGGAAGAAAGCAAGAACCACCATGGGGAAGTTGGTTGCCCCAGAGAATAAAGTTTCCCAGTGTCTATTTAAAGTCTCATATTTGCTTCAGATAGTATTGAGTTGGGAAAAAACCCCAGGCCTTTCATGTGAAGCACGATTGTTGTAGTCAGCAGGTTGGTGAGCTCCGGCTCAGCAGGTGCGAGATAGCACTGAGCAATGGATCTCACTGATGCTCAGGAAACAGCAGGTAGAAATATCCCCCCATTTATACCTTGTGCTTATTGATTGTTTGCATGTTAAATAGGGATTTTCTTTCTACACATTAGGGAGATGTCCATGGCCCAGGCAGCTCTCTTCCTGAGGTTCAGTCTCCCAGAGCACTTCCTGGGAAGGCGCTGGAAACTCGCTTTCAATTCCAGAGCAAGGCATGCCCTGTGTGGATAGGGCTTACAACACTAGCCGAGCATAAAGTGATAAAGTAATAAAAAAGTGAAATTTGTTAAAATCAAAAATAGAAGAGGACTCTATTTGGTTGTACTTACTGATCAATTTCTACTGCAAATGTGAACAAACACAGAGGAAATGAATCCATATTTATGATGATCTTCAAGGGAAAAGACGAATGCCTCCCTTTGCACTGAGAACCAAGATGGGTGTTGTGCTGGCCAAAACTGAGCTCCACAGAAGTCGCTGCTGTGACCAAGTGACCCTCAGCAGGACTATTATTAACCACCCATGGTGGGCTCTTGCTGAAGAGGATGATAAGAGCTTTTACGTGTCGGCATGCCAGGTACTCCACAAGCCATTCTCTCTCTAACCCTCACAAAACCTCCATTTGGAAGTTACAGGAATGGTTACAGTTTATGGAGGAAACACAGAGCCAGCGTTGCTGTAACTGACCAGAAGGCTGCCTGCTGTTACCTGCTCCCACTGGAGTTTGCATACATGCACATGGAACCTGGAGGCTTGTCTTAGTCCATTTTCTGCTGCTATAACAGAATACAGCAGACTGGGTCATTAATATAGAACAGAAGTTTATCTGTTAATATAGAACAGAAGTTCTGGAGGCTGGGAAGGCCTCGAACAAGGTGACAACATCTGGGAGGGTCCCATCATGGCAGAAGGCAGAAGGGTGGAAGTGAGCATTTGAGACAGAGAGGAAATTAGGCCACACTCATCCTTTTATCAGGAGCCCACTCCTAGGATGACTAACCCATGAGCTCATGACCCCTTCGAGGCCACTCCTGGGATAACTAACCCATGAGCTCATGACCCCTTCAAGCCCACTCCTAGGATGACTAACCCATGAGCTCATTACCCCTTCGAGCCCACTCCTAGGATGACTAACCTATGAGCTCATGACTCCTTTGAGCCCACTCCTAGGATGACTAACCTATGAGCTCATTACCCCTTCAAGCCCACTCCTAGGATGACTAACCCATGAGCTCATTACCCCTTCAAGCCCACTCCTAGGATGACTAACCCATGAGCTCATGACCCCTTCAAGCCCACTCCTAGGATGACTAACCTATGAGCTCATTACCCCTTCGAGCCCACTCCTGGGATAACTAACCCATGAGCTCGTGACCCCTTCGAGGCCACTCCTAGGATGACTAACCCATGAGCTCATGACCCCTTCAAGCCCACTCCTAGGATGACTAACCTATGAGCTCATTACCCCTTCGAGCCCACTCCTGGGATAACTAACCCATGAGCTCGTGACCCCTTCGAGGCCACTCCTAGGATGACTAACCTATGAGCTCATGACCTTTTCAAGGCCTCACCTCCCAATACCGTTACAGTGGCAATTAAATTTCAATGTGAGTTTTGGTAGGGACCTTCCAAACACAGTGAAGCTCTTTCTCATCACAATGCCATTGCCTCTTCCTCCGTCCCAGCATGCTGATGAGGGAGTGAGTTTTTATACCTAATTTCACAGAGTTGTTTTCATTCAATTTGAAATTCATGCTTTGGGGTAGTTAAAATCTAGATATGTTATTGGAGCTGGAATTGCATTTCAAAGGAAGAGAGCTAGGAATGAATCACTGTCTATTTCAGCACAATCGTTAGCCTTATGTTCAAGTAGTGAAACATTCACTGGCCTCAAGTCAGCTTTGCCCCCGCAGACGCTCACTCCCGTGCTGGGTCTTTCTCACTGGCTTCATTTCCTTAAAACCACATGTCCTAACTTCCTCTGGCCCCCTCCAGCCATCAGCACCCAAAGGTCATCTTGCCAGCACATCCCAATGGAAATGCCTTGTAGACATTTTTATATTTAGTCTTGCCTTGGCTTATCTTTATCAGATTATTTTGTTGTAAGGATGATGTACGTGATCTACAAAAAATAAAAAATAAAATTTTCTTAACTCCCCTAGAAAACGTGTCTCCCCATCCTCATCTACTCCCCCCACTCCCTTCTCTTCTTCCTTCTCCCTTCCCCTCCCTCCACCACGGCTCTTACCACAGTAACTGCTCCCCTCAACTCCCCAAGGATCTGTTCTTCCCTTGCTCTCATTTCACTTCCTAGAACATGTTTCCTTTAGGTAGAAAAGCAGAAAGAACACACTTTAAAGTGTTCATCAAAACTTCAGACCCTTAAAAGGGTCCATCAAACTTCGGATCCCATTTGTCTATGCTTCCCCTAAATTCCAGGGTGTTTTCTATGGACATATTATAGGCATGGAATATCATGCTGGTTGCTATAGAATTTTATGCATGCACTGGCTTTAAAAAAAATGTTAAGGTATAAATTACACAGCATAACATTCACCCATTTTATGTGTACACCACAATGATTCTTAATAAATGCATCAAGCTGTGGAAACATCACCACATTGCAGTTCGGGAGCATCTCTGTCACCCCAGTGAGAGCCTCATGGGCATTTATAGTTCATCCTGTTCCCATCCCCAGCCCCAGGGAACTCCTAACTACTTCTGGCTCTGTAGATCTGCCTGTTCTGAACACTTCCTATAAATGGACTCATGTGATACGTGGTCCTGTATGTCTGGCTTCCTCTGCAGGGCGTAATGCTTCCGAGGTTCATCCACGCTGCAGCGTGTCGGCGTTCTGCTCCTTGGAATGCACATCCTGACTTCTCACCTGGTTCCCTGGTAGATGAGGACCTCCACCCAGCAGACATCATGCATGAATTCAGATTCAAAAAGAGTGGACAGCCGTCCTTCTTCCTTGCTAAGCCATGGCTCAGACAGTTCATTTATTTTCAAAGTTTTATATCTGTGTCTTTGCCATCTTCAGTGTAATGTGTTCCCATCTCTGGCTATTTCAGCCCTTTGCACACACAAACTTGGATTTTTAGAGAACACCTAATTGCTCCTCATGCTTGTTTCAAGTTGATAGTAATAGCTGTGCTTCCCGCTGAGGCCACAGGGCTCAGTAATGAGCTCCCTCCCTCCGTGCTGTGCCTGGAGGATCAACTGCAGTTTTAAGTAGGGGCTGGCTCTGTGGCATCAAATGCTGTTACATAAAGCAGAACTAGGGAAATGGACGACAAGGCCAAAGAGGGGATATACACATCTGTGTGTTGAGGTACATGTATATGAGTGCACGCACGCATATGCCCGTGTGTTTTTTACGAGAAGAGAGCCAGGATTCAGTGTGGAATAAGACATGCAATTCCTGAAAATAAATCTTTTTCAGCTATAGCAATGGTCCCTTGGATGGTGATGATGCAAAAGTGCGATCCATCATCAGCCTGGCCAATTTCTAGAAAGGCAGCTGTCCCCAGGGCAAGGAGGGCCAGGCACAGCCATGGGGCTCCGGAGCCCCATCTTGACCCCAAGGGAGCAAGGGGATACACAAACCCTTAGGGGAGGCTGAAGGGGAGGCTTCTTTCTGTCTGGGGCTTCCTGACCATCATCAGTCAGGGATGCTTTGGCGTCCAGAGTGGGCAAGGGAATCACGAGCTTTTAGCTTGCTGCCCTCCTGTGTCACAGGTCCTAGGACGGCTCCCAGCAGCAGCTGCTACAGGAGGACATGCCTTCTGGTCTAGGAGGTTGGGAAGGTTCCAGAGCAGCATGCATAGGCTGCAGATCCTGCAGGGCAGGGGACAGCACCCCTGGCTCCTGGACCGTCGGGGCCTTTCCTCAACCTGTAGGGGCTCCATGAACCTTAGCTCTGGTTCAGCAAGCAGGGGCTTTAGTAGGAAAGGCAGCCATGAGCCCGAGGGCTTGGGGGTGGGCAGAGAAAATGACAGAGACCATGAGGGTCTGGGTGGCATCCAGGAACCCCGCCCAATGGGATATGTCCAGAGGCAGCCAAGGCTGGTCCAGAAGACCTGGTGATGGGGCAGGTTCTATCCCTGCCACCTGCATGACTTTGCTGCCCACAGGAACACTTCGTGAAAGATGGTGTCCAGCTGCTGGCAGGCCCTTTGGGGACAGGGAACAGCAATCCTTACTTGTACATCAGCATCAAGCCCACACAGAAAGCACCAAGTCCACATTGGGGACACACCACTGTCCTTTCCTGAGTGCCCAGTGACCTGGAGTGTCTAAGAACAAGCCCACAGGTTGGCCACTGTGCACTCACATGGCTGGCCCCTCCCCAAGTGCCCAGCTCTCAGAATGTGCTTGCTGGCACAGAGGATTTTAAGAAGGGGAAACACTTCTGTTACAAACTGTGCTGGTAGATGCATGTCAATGTGCATTTGTCAAAACCCCCAGAACTGCAGAGCAAAGAGGGAACCCTGGTGTCAGCTGTGGTCTTCAGTGACTCATAGCATATCAGTGCAGGTTCCTCAATTGTCCCAAATGTCCACATGAATGCAAGATGTCAAAACAGGGAAAGCAGTGTGTGCAATGGGGTGGGTAAAGGGAACGCTATGTACTATCTCAATTTCCTGTCAACCTAAAACCGCACTAAAGGCCGGGTGCGGTGGCTCACGCCTGTAATCCTTGCACTTTGGAAGGCCAAGGCGGGTGGATTACTTGAGATCAGGAGTTCGAGAGCAGACAGGCCAACATGGTGAAACTCCATCTCTACTAAAAATACAAAAATTAGCCAGGCATGGTGGCGTGCCTGCAATCCCAGCTACTCGGGAGGCCAAGGGACGAGAATTGCTTGAACCTGGGAGGTGAAAGTTGCAGTGAGCCGAGATTGCACCATTACAGTCCAGCCTGGGAGACAGAGTGAAACTCCACTTCAAATAAATAAATAAATAAACTGCACTAAAAAAGGTAAAGTCTTACTTATTTAAAAATGGTAATTTTGTAAAGTGCCTGCTGAATCACTGAGCAGTGCCCACCCCGCCAACAGGTGAATGTGGCTCCTGTCCCCAGAGTGAGGGAGATCTGGTTTCCAGCCTGCCCTCGGGGTCGAGAGAGAAACTCTTGGGGAGCTGCCCAGGTTTTCTAGGTCCCTCTGCTGGGTCGTCAGGCATTTGGGAACTATTGTTTCTTTCTGTTTCCTTGCGGCCCTGGGTGAGTGGATTGTGTGGGAGGTTAACACAGAAACGCGTGCAGGGCCAGCCTCCCCATTGTGGGCAGATCAGCAGGCTGCTTCCGAGACGAAGCTGATTGCAGAGCTCCTTTCCTAATTGGTCTGACCCGGGTGGCAAGTCAGGTGCTCTCTGGGAAGAAATAGTGTCTTAGGGTGCACTAATTCTCCTTCCCAGAGATTAAGACGCACACTCCCAGCGCTTTTCGCATTAACATGCAGCTACAAATGCATCAGTTATCTCATCAGCATCCTCCCTGCAAGGCCTTTCTCTCCCTGCTGCCTTGTGGATGGCGTGTGTGACTCACCTCGCGAAACAGCAGAGGATGAGGACTCTAGTGAAGAGCAGGCAGAGCTGGGCTGGGGAAACCTGTACACCCATCCCCAGAGGCCTTCCTCAGCGTGTCTTCACGCAGTAATTGAGACAAACTGTAATCAGAAAAGTGAACATTCCGGCACCTGGGCGTCCTGGTAGTGGGTAAAGGTGGAGAATCTGGCTCAGTCCTCAGTGTCCCCCAAGTGCTTTCTCTCCTTATCACCACATGACGGATGGTAAAACTGACACTCAGAGGGTGTCAGTCTCCTGCCCAAGGTTTCAGGGCAGATGAGGCAGAGATGGGCCTTGACCTACCCAGACTGACTTCAAAGCCATTGCTCCATCCTCCCTGCCTTTCCAGATCACTCCTTGCTGTGGTGCCCTGGACCCAGGGCTGCCCGTGTGCTCACTCGAGGGAAAGGGCTGCAGGGAGTGGCCCTCACCTGCCCTCCCTGGACAGGGTGGCTCCGGGTGGACAAAAAGGAAAGGGGGGTGGTTCCCACCTCTGTCTCCAGCCAGACCACACAGCTGCCCCCTCCTGCTTCCCCGAGTGCCTGGCAGCTGCTCAGGCTGCCCTGAGGTGCCGTACCAGGCTGGGCTGGGTGGTACCCAATTGTTCCAGGAGTGGAATGACGGGGAGCATGGGCTCTGAGTCGGTCAGCTCCAGCTCAGGTCTCATGCCTCCCTCTTGCTGATTGGGGATAGTGACATTTCATTGACCACGTGCCCGTGGGAAAGTTACATCACCTTTCTGTGCCTCAATATCCCCACCCCTTGAAGACTCTGTCCCATTCCTTGGCTCAGGCTCATTCGTTGTGGCTAAAGAAACCCCAAAAGAGGCCCCCGAGGTGGCAGAAGGTGCCTCAGTGATTCTCGGGTCCTCTGGGCATGCGAGGCACTGTGTGCCCTGAGCACAGTCCCCGTCTGGTGTCCTGCTTGACCATCTCTGCTTTAGTAGCCTGTCCCATGGGTTGGCCGGGAGTCAGTACGCTAATGCAGATTCATCCATGATGAGAGGGGGTCCCCCTTCTGCCAGGCTAGGGGGTCCTCCTTCTGCCAGGCTGGGCGGTCCCAGGTCAGGAAAAGGGAGCAGAGGCAGTGACTCCCACTTGCCATTTGGGTACCCCCACCCCTGCAGAAGCCCACCCTGCTCTTCCCCACTGGGCCTACCTTCCCAGCCACACTACCATTTTCCCCCTCCCCTCCTTACACAAACGGCTTGCCATAGAGGAAGCCCTGTGCAGGAAGACAGAATCAATGCTTGCGACAAGCCAGCACCATCCGGTGGAGGAAGCAGACCTTGTATCTGCTCGGACCGCCTTCTCTTCACTCTCCCCCTTGTCCTTCTGTCCACACAGGTTCAGTAGAGAGGAATCCGTCACATTTGATCGCAGTGGGCTTCCTGTATAATTGTCTCCCCAATCAGTCAGTGAAGGTGGGACTGGCAGGTTGGCCTGCCTGGATGCTTCGTAAATAAGTGACCAGTAACACATATGAAAAGAAGGAAGGGAACCAGAGCCAGACAGAAGTTAAAGCAGAAAAGCAGGTTTCATTCAGGAACTACCGCAGTGGGGGCAGTGAGACCTGGGTGTGCAACTGGGCTGCATTCTAAACATAGCAAGAACAAGTGGGGTTTACAGCCAAGGAGCTAGGGCAGAAGGGGCAGTGCCTGGAAAATCTCTGAGAGGAGGCCTCAGGGGTAGGAGAATTCTTGCCAACCTGGCCAAACAGGATTCTTGCCAAAGGCGGGCCAGGATGAGCAGACACTGAGAGTGGGGGAAGGACTCTTATCAAAGGTGGGCCAGGATGAGCAGACACTGAGAGTGGGGGATAAGGATTTGATCAGGTATGAAGGGTGGAAGCTTCTCTCTAAATGGACTTAGCGGGGTTCTTGCTGGAATGAGACAAATCAGGCCCAGCAAGGATGGGGACCAAGGCCACAGCCTAGTCAAAAGAGAAGCCTGACTAAAGTCTGATCAAGGAGAGTATCCTTTCAGTGGGAAGAAAGGAAGGAAAGAAAAAGGCAGAGGAAGAAAGGAGAGAAGAATAAAAGGAAAAAGAAGAAGAGGGAAGAAAAGCACTGTGGATAGGATTAGTGAATTGACGGGTTCGCTGGTTGATGGATTCATTCATTGATGGATTAATTAATTAATGGTTTAGTTAATTGACATAAAGCAATCAGTACAGTGCGTGCCACTTGGAAGGAACACATGGTTGGATGAATGGATAAAAAAAGAATGAGTGAATTAATGAAATGAACAATAAACTAATAAGAACATGTCATGTCTGCCTTACAAGCAGCAGATTCAGAAATAAAATAAAAGGCGACAAAAATTAAATATCTTGTCTATTAATTTATAAATTAGTCAAATCTGACTTTTTAAAGAAGTACCATCACTTTGACACCAATTATATTTACACGGGGTCATAAGCACTTAAAGATGGTCATTGCAAAAAATTTTTCCCTGATTCTGATTCAGAAAGATTTTCAGCCTCTCTCAAATGTGGATGACATGCATCATCCAGAAAAGCATCAGGTGCAGATATGCTGCATCCCAGCTGTGTCCGACGCCAGGTCCTTGTTCCATGTAAGTTTCCATGAGGAAATCGACTCTTTTTTTTTTTTAATCTACATGTTTATTTGAGGAAGACAGAAGGGAAGGGAAGCCAGCGCCTCCTTTCCTTGTTCTGATAATGCACTTAGGAGGCAGCGTGCAAGCAGCAGGGAGCCCTCCCCTTTCTTTACAGAAGAGGGCTAGAAATGGCCACTCCATGCATGGAAGGATGCCCCGTGTCGTTAGTCAGAGGGAGGCATGTGAGGTACCACTCCCTGCAAGAAGGGTAGGTGTGTGGAGAAAGTGGCATGCTCATACCCAACTGCAGGTGCAACCACTTTGGAAAACAGCTTGGAGTTTCTTATAAAAATCAAGCAAACAACTACCATTCAACCCAGCAATTCCGCCCTAAGGTATTTACACAGAGAGATGAAAACATATGTGCACACACAGGCTTGTGCAGGAATATTAATAGCAGATTTCTTTACAATAGCCTCAATCTGGAAACCGAGAAAACACTCATCGAGGAGCGGGAGACACCAACTAGGGTGTATTTTACAACAACTCATCTATGGAATGAAGAAAACAACCACAACATGCGCACAGCAACACAGGCTGCACTCACAAACACTCCGCTGCACGCGCACAGCAACACACAGTGCTCTCACAAACACTCCACTGGGTGAAAGAGACAGGAAAACACAAACACTCAGATGCACAGAATGCATCTATTCCGCTGATTCTACAGCAGGCAAGACCAGGCAGCAGGGACAGGAAGAAAGCCGCAGTCGCCCAGGACAGGGGGTGAAGGTGAGAGTCCAGAGCACTGGCTGCAAAGGAGAAGCAAGTAATGCTCTGGAGTAAACACTTGTCAAAATTCATCAAATTGTCGCTTATCATGAGTGTGTTTCATTGTATGGAAGTTACGCTGCACTAAGGTGATTTTGAAAGCAGGCTGTCTAGAGCGCAGCGGTGGCTTTGGGAACTCCCTCCAGGCCCTACCACCCTACATCCAGCAACCTTACATCCGTTCAGGGACACGCCCTCCCTGCAGAGCACCGCTGCCCCACCTGCCCTGCCCTCTGCAGGAGCCATGCATCCCAGCCTGTGGCTGTCCAGCCCCAGAAGCCTATTGTCAACTGGTCCAGCATCTGGCTGCCTGGCCAACTGGGGCTGGAGCTCGGAGCCTGCCCGGCGCTGGCTTCGCAGAGAACACTGCTGTTTCTCCCCCTTCCCCTCCGAGCAACGCATGCTCCCAACAGAAATTTGTGCTCACCCCGTGAGCTATTTTCGTTTGCTGTTTTGGTGTGTTTGTGTGTGTGTTCATCTGGATAGATAAGCCAAATGTGAATCGGCTTTGCACGTAAAAGAAGTGCAAACCCTTGCCCAGCAGTGGAGGAGGTCGTTTTTCTGGTTCCCTGTCCAGACCCTCACAGCCCCTCTATGGGCTGACCTCCATCCTCACCAACCCCCAAACACACTTCAAAGTGCTTCTCTAACGGGGCTACAGATGGCCTCCTCTGAGAGCTGCCCTGGACACCAGCACCATCTCCCCTGCAGTGGCGCCCACACTCCACTTGCCCAGAAGACCAGCGCAGCCACGTTTCAGCCAAAAGCCAATAAAAAACAGAGCGGGCTCTTCTGCCAGTGTGTTTTCAAGGTCATGAAAATCCCACTGTTTTGACCAGGATTTCTTTGTGATTTCAACTCTGACTCGAGGGATTTGAAACATGGGTTTTCAGACTCTGGAGGTGCTCGGGAGACACACGTGTTCCCTCCGCTCCACTGTCCTCTCCCTCCCGGGTACCACTTGCTGTGCTGAGGCTTGAGATCCTGCCCAGGTGCAGCACAGCCTCCCTCCTACTCTGAAGGCTCCTCGGCCCCATCCCTGCCTGTGGCAAACTCGCCTGGCCACCAACGACCACTCTCGGCCATGTAGCCCCATGCTGGCCGTGCTGCCTCTCACGGTCAGCAAAAGAATGGTCCCACCAAGCCTCAGTGAATCCATGCAAATGTGAGCAATCCAGGTAGTTTTAAATCATGGGCTGGCACACCTTTCCTGGAAAGGTGATTATGGTCTCTGCCACACATCAAAGCCATCCTTAGCTTGCAGGCCATACAAAACAGGGCTAGATTTGGCCCATGGAACCCCCACCCTCAACCCCACCTGGGGAGGGGAACGTGAGTCCTAGTGCAGGAAGGACTTCCTCTGCAGACCCCAAGCCCAGGCAAGCAACTTGTCTGATTTCTCTTTCACCCACAGATAACCGAGGTGCCACAGATGCTAATTAGCCAGCCCAGATTTCAGAACCGGCAAGTGGGGGCACCTCCCACCATGAGGCAGCTGATCCACTTAGGGTGACCTGTCCATGAGCACAGCCACGGGCTGTGGGGCTCTCAGAGCCAGGAACAGAGGAGGTTTTGACCCTGGTCTCCTCTGATCCTTACCATAGCCCAGAGCCCAGGAGGGCAAGTCACTCCCCAAGGCCTGTCTGCCTCCTGGACAGTGAATGTCACTGCTGTGCCACCCTGTTTTCCTATAGGGCAGAGAGTGGGAGGCAACAAACAGCATGGCCAGCCTCCTTCACTGTCCTTCCTCACTCAGAACAGACCTGCCCTGGCTGCTGTCACCGTCCTGCTTAAAACAACCAGTGTGGAAATAGTGCATGCACCAGTCATTTCAGACCCAAGGAAAAGGATAACTTCTGGGTGACCCCATGGAACCCAAGGTCAGCTGCCCTGCTGTACTGGCATGCATGGGAAGGCTGCAGGTGCTGCAGGCAGCGGCTCCAGGCCCAGAGAGTCCAGGTGTGTGGCTCCTGCCTTAGCACAGACCTGGCAAGCAGAGTCCACAGGTATTTGGGATTACTCTAATTTAGGCAACTTGTATATTTGCTGCTTGGAGAATAAACTGTCAGTTGATTCTAAATGCTTAACATTTGGAAAGTCAAACCTTTCCTAGGGGTTTGATGTGAAAGTTAGGCACTTTTCTCTGGAGACAACAGAAGTGTCCAGGCCTGTGCCTGCTGCTGTCAGGTGGCCAGGGATGGCAGGCTTCGGTAAGCATCAAGGAATCTGCACAGTGGAGGCTTCCACTGAGGTGCAGCAAAACATCTCCCCAGTGGGAGGCTGGAGTCCAAATCCAATTTAGTGGCGAAATACAGCAAATATCAACAGGAACAAAGAGTGAGATCCCAGGCCCAGAACAATCTGAGATGGGGCCGGGCAGTGCCCTGACAGGTGGGCCAGGGTCAGACAGCGGGGTCCATCTTTTGACATCATCTACGTCTCCTTCACATCAGAAGAAATGGCCTTTGAATGTGAAACTGTCTGAAAACAGTTGGGTGACTCCACAGCAGTCCCTGTAAAGCAGCTACAATTCTTCATTCTGAAATAGGTACATTTTTCAACTCAGCTGTATTTTCAGCTGAACCACAGAATGCTCTCAAGGCCAGACAGGAAAATCTTCCTCAGGGGAATTATTTAGGTTTCCACAATAATACTGAGCCATTTTTGATCAGCCTTTAGCCACGGCAACTTTCCCTGGCTCTCAGTGGGGAGCCACAGATGGGCCTCGGGAAACTGACAAGAACAGCAGCCACCACCTACGGTGCACCTTGTGCGTCTCTTCAGCCACATCAGCTGATTCTCACCACCATTGCCAGGCCCAGCGCATGCGGACTGGAGCAGAGCCAGGCCCACTGCATGGGCAGAGGAGCAGAGCCAGGCCCAACACACGCGGACAGGAACAGAGCCAGGCCCAACGCACGCGGACGGGAGCAGAGCCAGGCCCAGTGCACGCGGGCGGGAGCAGAGCCAGGCCCAATGCACGTGGGCGGGAGCAGAGCCAGGCCCACTGCATGGGCACGGGAGCAGAATCCCTCCCTGGCCTCAAGGAGCTTGCAGTCTTCGATCCACCAGGAAGGGCCACATCTGAGGGGAGGAAGCGGGAATGGGCACGACAAGGAGATGCTCCCTGGGCGGCAGCATCAGTGAAACTCCCCACACGGCACAGGAAGTGCAGCACCCATGAAGAGAAACTGCCTTCATTGGATTCAAACTCATCCCCCCATAGTGGGCCAAAAGGAGCTTTGGGAAAATCACCCCTGCTGGCATTATTCCAAAAGCCAGACAGAATTCTGGAAAATTCTTCCAAAACCAGCAGTGGTCACAAGGTTCCCACAGAGCCCCCCCCACCCCTCCCATAAGAAAGCACAGCTCAGGACAGTGCCTCAGGTGCCTACCACCAGCACCCCAGCTTGGACAGCCTTGCTCTTCGGTCACTTGGACTCAATCCTGTTCCAATCTCAGGAGCTGCAGAGGTGTAGACAGGGATGCCCAGGGCTGCTGTCCAGTCACTGCAGGAACAGAGAGCTCAGGGGGCAGCGCCCACATCCTGCCATCAAGCAATCCCCTTCTAAGAACTGCCCCTGGGGCCAGAGAGACCGGAGAGAAGAGAGCATGCTTGGTCTGAGTATTCCTAACTCCCTGGCAATTGAAAGCTCTCCCAGCACTGACACTTTCCATGTGGGGACTTAAAGTGACTGCAGCCTGTTGGGGGAGCCACCGAGCAGCTTCATGTCTGTGATTCCCCAGATATGTGATCTTGGTCAACTTATTTAACCTTGCTGTGCCTCAGTTTCCTAGTTTGTAAAGTGGGCCAATCATACATTGGCAGAAACTCCTTGGATGGTGCCACCCTTTCCATTGGGTGGGACATTCACTGAGAAGGGACGTCCCTGTGGGAACTACATTTCCCAGCCGCCCTTGCAGTTCAGTGCACTCATGTGACTGAGCTCTAGCCAACGAAAGACCTGAGAGAAAGCCATGTGTTCCAGCTGTGGCCTGACCCATGCATAGCTTTTCTGGGGCTCTCCTCCATGCAATTTCCCCTTTTCAGACTGTCTGGAAAGGAAAGGATTTTCATGGCAACCTTGGAAACCGTGTGTGTTGAAGAAGGCATATCTCCATCAGCCTGGGCCCCTGAGTGATTGAATGGTGAGCGTGCCCAGCCACCAGCTCATCTGCCCACTGCTCTTAGCCAGAAATCAACTCCTACTGCCCTTGAGCCATTTCCTGCTTTGGAGTCTATCTGTTTCTCTAGTTAGCCTACAGTACATGACAGATAATACTCCATGGCATTTCCGGGAAGAATAAATAAATTTATGCAAATAAGATAGAACAGATCCTACAACACAACAGCTGGCTGCTGCTATTATTATTCCCTCGTCTGCGCCCCAGCCCAGCCCTACAGTCCCTGCTCCCATGTCCCTCATCTGCACCCCAGCCCAGCCCTACAGTCCCTGCTCCCATGTTTATAGTCATTGTTTATGAGCTTGTCTAAAGCTTAGGTCCACGGGAGAGAATTAGACCAGCCCCTCTGTGGGCAGAGAGGGTCAGAATACATGGGAGCATTCGCGGCAGAGGAGAAAAGCTTTCCCAGAGGAAGTCCGTGGAGTAATCTTTAGAAATGAGAGAAGAGACAGGGTATCTTACTCCATTTTCTGTTCCAATAAGTGAATACCTGAGACTGGGTTATTTATAAAGAAAAGATACGTATTTCTTATAGTTTGGGAGGCTGGAAAGTCCAGTGTCCCGGGGCCTTACCTGGTGCAGCCCTTCTTGCTGGTGAGGACTCTCTACAGAGTCCAGAGGCTGTGCAGGATATTGCATGGTGAGGGTCTCCTAAGACACGGCCAAACTGGCTTCTATAATAGACCCGCCAGCATGATAACTAACCCACTTCCTCCATAACCTATCAGTCCATGAATGGACTAATTCACTCATAAAGGTACAGTTTTCCCAAACGTTCCTCCTCTCAACACAGCTACACTTGAGAAATGAACCATTGGGGGATATAGCCAAATCATAGCATTCCACCCCAGACCCCCAAACTCATATCCTTCTCACACATAAAATACATTCATTCCAAGCTAATAGCCCCAGAGTCTTAACTTGTTCCAGCAGCAACTCAAAAGTCCAAAGTTCCAAGTCTTATCTAAATCAGATATGTGTGAGATTCAAGGCATGATTTGCCTTGAGGCAAATTTGTTTCAGCTGTGAGCCTGTGAAATCAAACATGTTATCGACTTCCAAAATACAGTTACAGCCAACCATAAGAAAGGCATTCCCATTCCAATTCCACATGACATCTTACAACTCTAGAAGGATCTTTCAGTCCTTGTACTGCCTCCTGGACATACTGGGGTGGAGGTTGGGCCCCCAAGACCTTGAACAGCCATACCCCCATTGCTTTCCTGGACTCAGCCCACACTTTGTCTCTTCCAGGCTGACACTGTACACTACTAGCTCTACTGTTCTGGGGTCTAGGTGGTGACTCCACTCACACAGCCCCGCTAGACATTGCCCTGGGGGACTCCCTGCAGCAGCTCCAGTTGTGCCCACATTTCCACTTGGCATTTTGCCCTGGCGGGGGCTCTGTTCTAACTCCACCCCTGCAGCTAGCCTCTGCCTGGGCCCCAAGCTGTCCAAGGCAACACCTGAAATCTGGGTAGAGGAAGCCGCGTCTTCACAGCTCTTGCACTCTGCTTGTCTGCAGAATTAGCGCCACACGCTCAACACCGAGGTTTATGCTTTGTACCTTCCAGATCCATGGATTGAGCCAGACCTGGAGTCACTTAAGCCACAGCTATGGTGGCCTGGGAATGCCACACCAGAATGTGGGGAACGGAGACCCTGGGTGGCTGTGGGCAGTGACCCTGTGCAGGGCACCCCAGGCCTGTCCCTGGAAACCATGCCCCCTCCTAGAGTAGGACAAAGGGGGAAAGACCCCACAGGCATTTCAGATGGCTCCAGGCTATCCTCCTGTGTCAGTCCTCATGGCAGGCTCTTGGCCATGCATTTAGTCTCCTCTCTTGGGCATGCTTGTCCACTCTTTCCATGGCCAGGGTGAGAGTGTTCCAAATCCTTTTGCTTTACTTCCTTTTTAATCACAAATTCTGTCTTTAAATCATCTCTTTCCTCTCTTATTTTACGGCAGGCAGTTAAAAGTCTTGAGACTTACTGCCGTTTCGTGGTACATTCTGGGCTTACTCGAAACTGTTGCCTCTTTCTTCTTCCCGTGGCTCCTCTGCACTGCGTTGCTGTGTGGCAGCCTGAATGCCCTGCTGCTCAGCTGCTGCTTCTGTCTGCTCCCCTCCTTCATTGCTCCTCAGTTCTGCATTCCGTAGCCTCCCAGGATAGGGATGCAATTCAGTCAGTCTTTGCTGTTTTGTAACAAGGATGGCATTTGCTCCGGTTTTCAATACCTTGCTCCTCCTTTCCCTCTGAGACCTCCTCAGAATGGCATTTATTGTTCAGATTTTTATCAGCAATATGGTCATGGTCACATAAGTAATCTCAAAGCAGTTCCAGACTTTCTATAGTCTTCTCTTCCTCTGAGCCGTCACTAGAGTCCCCTTAGTGTCCCATTTGTAGAAAGACAGGCTTTTCCAAGCCCCCTCCTTCAAATTCTTCCAGCCTCTACCCATTACTCAGTACTAAAGCCGCTTCTGCATGTCAGGTGTCTGTGGAGCAGCACCTTACTTCTTGGTACCAGGTTTCTCTCTTAGTCTGTTTCTATTGCTATAAATGAATATCCGAGACTCAGTAATTTATAAAGAAAAAAATGTATTTGTTACATTGCTAGAGGCTGGAGAGTCCAAGATCCAGGGGCCGCATCTGGTGAGGGTCCTTCCTGCTGGCGGGGACTCTGTAGTGCCCTGGGGTGATACAGGGCATCACAGGACGAGGGGGCTCATGAGAAATGCTCAAACTGAGTTTAATAACCCATCCTCATGAAAACTAACCCACCGCCTCCATAACCCATCAACCCATGAATGGATCAATTCCCTTATGAGGGCAGAGCCCTCCTGGCCCACGCACCTCCCCAATGCCTCACCTCTCAACACTGCTGTAATGGGGACATGAACTTCTGGGGGTCACATTCAAAGCATGGAACAGGGTGGGAAGTTTCTGACTTGAGAATACACTTGCTCTGGTGGGGGAAAGAGTGGTCAGAACAAAACAGGAAGATGGTTCCCTGGGGGGCCCAGAAAGTTGCCTGGGCGTGCTGGGCTTCCAGATGTGATGAAAGATGCTCCCCTCACGTCCAAGCCCAACTCCAAGGCAGAAGTGCCTTAGGGGCCAGGATGTTTTCCATGGCTAGGATGCCATGGTTAGGGTGGCCTGGGAACGCTGCAGCAGAATGTGGAGAGCAGAGTCCACAGGTGGGCAGTGGAGACATTTCCCCCACGTTTCAATTTCCTGAATTGCACGGGACTCATGGGAAGTGGCATGACCCTTCTCCAAATCACTGCACTTCCCATCAGCCTGGCAGGACAGGGAGCACGAGGCTGCTGGGTTGGTGTGGGCGGTGGACGATCCACATTTCTGTGGCAACTGTGTGTGTGGAAGGCCTGTGCTCTACT
The DNA here is from genome assembly GCF_000001405.40 of Homo sapiens. Lineage (NCBI taxonomy): Eukaryota > Metazoa > Chordata > Mammalia > Primates > Hominidae > Homo > Homo sapiens. Next base: position 130,703,928 of record NC_000010.11, on the reverse strand, counting down.
AACACGCTGCTGGGCACCCTGCCTTGGGGGGCAGCCCCCAACTATGTCTGGTCTATGAGATGGACGCCCCACAGGAGAAAAACGGGAAGAGATGCAAGGGAGAGAAAAGAGAGAGGGAAGAGAAAGAAGGATGAGGGAGAGACTGCGACAGAGGGAGAAGCCGTCCTTAGCTGTGGCTGACTCACAGCTGATGGCTCACGTGGCTTAGCGCCATGGATGAAACCTTCTTCCTACTGCCTCTCAGGGGCTCCGTCTTAGCCATTTAGTTACTCAGCTTCTCTGTGTCTCCACTATAAGATGGGGATAATAATAATCACAGGACTCAATGAGGTGATGGGTGCCAATTGCTCTGAGTGTCTAAAATATAGTAATTAATGACTCGATCAACTATCCCTACATCAGTAGCTTAAACACTGACAAGAAGAAAAAAAATAGAGTCTTTTGTTTTGACATAGTTTTCAGATTTCCTCAGCTACCAAGAAGCAAGCTACAACCAACCATGACCTAAATAGCAAGCAACTGGAGGCAGATAAGAAAGTTGTGAAGGTGTCAAAATTAATAAGCCAGTTGATGCAGGTGGATGAGGGGGGACCAGGCTGGGGAGAGATGGCATGACTGGGGCGTATCGCAGACTCTGACACTCCAAAGTGCTCCACGTGGCTTTTCTTTGTATTTTCTCTTTCTTGAAAAAGTAGTGTGAATTTGTTTGTACTGCTGTAAACACACACACACAAAAACTGCAACTGATATTTTACAATCTCTGTAGTGGATGACAAATAACTCCCTGGTAGGAGGCTGAAGGGAGAAGTGCTTCCTAGTCTCCAGGGACAGCATCTGAAGTCTGGCTGGGTCCACCCGATGAGGCATGGCTTAGCTCCATCTCATTCCCCTCTGAGGCCAAGCGGAGACCTCAGCTACCACAGGGGACTTAGGAACCCATGCCCTTGATCCTGCCTCGAGGCTCATGGCCACAGACACTCTATTCCACTCAGTCCTCCTCAGGGGGGGGCGGCTTGTTTCTGCCCCCTCCCCCCACCAAGTCCCACCAGCCCCTCTCCCTCTGGCCACTAAGCCATCTCAGGAGTGCTCCAGCTCGTTAGGACCAGGCTCCTCGGCTTCGGTAAGCACACCTATCAGCATGGTTTGGTCAGGAAAACAGAATTACTCCAGGTATTCCAAGCACAGAGGCTTACATGGCCATCAGGAAGGCCAGAGGAACAGATGGCTGGGAAGCCCCTACCAGAGAAAGTAAGCTGCAGGAGCTCACCTGAACCCCACGGTGAGTCCCTACTGTCCTGGCCCAGAGCCCCCAGGCTCAGCACCCCCACCACAGCAAAGTGGGCAATTCACAGAGCTCTCCAGGAAACTCTCAGGTTCCTCTGGTTTGCCATTGCCCTCTGCCAGCTGTGCACACATCTGCTTTCAGCCGTGATGAAATCATGGCTTCTTCCCTTCCACGCTCAACTAACTTGCTTGGCTCCTGCTGGCAGGCTCTAACCAGCACCGTTCAAAGTAGAGGTTCTAGGAAAGTCAGAGGATGACATAGACAGGGATGCACATGGGAACATGTGAAGGTGCCGACCACACACTCCACAGAGGCTGAGGCTTCAACTTGACGGCAGAGTCTGATTAAACTCGATGAGGAAGGGGTGGCAAGCCACAGAGAAAAGCTGGTCTCTAGGAGCCCCCTAGGCTACTGGGCCACAGAAGCTCATTTCTCCTCTTTTGGGTGAATTTGGTTACTATTTCCTCAAAACCTGATTAATATGAAAGGTTAGAGTGAAGACACCTGCAGGGGGAGGATACCCCAAACAAAAACTGGTGAGTGCTTAAAAACAGGCAGTTTCTAAGAACAACAAAACCCAACTGGAAAATATATAATGCAAAGGACACTACTTTATAATAGATGGGAAGCATTTAAAAATCAATAAATATTTCATCAGAGCTTCATCCTGCTGGAGAAATGGTTAAGGAATTATGCAGAACCACGGCGCATGCAGCAGCAAGGGGCCTGTCTTCATCCGCATCGGCAGCAGGAAGAGAGGCCTCCCAGGCCTTTGGATGAATCCCTGGGACTCTGCCAGTGGCCTCCACAGAGATGGAGATAGAGCTATGCCTGGAAATGGCTCTGCTGAGAAAGACAATTTGGAGCAGAGGTGGCCAGTCCAGCTTCTATTTCCTTTCAGCCCTGATTCTGCACAAATATTCTCTTTTTGGCCTCTCAAAAATTTATCCCCTTGGGGAAAGACAACATTCCAGAAATCCTGTATTCTCAGCCTTCTTTAGAATCTGTTGATGAGCAATGTCTATGTCAGAACAGTATCAGCACTCACAGTTTAGACCATGGTCCCAAGAGGGCACCCTGAAAGTCTACATGCACAGAAGCCTTCTCACAGCCACATGTGCTTTCCTGGGAATTCCATAAGCCCAGCTTCCAAAGCACCCTCATCCACTGCAGGACATGTATCCAGCATCCAGCAACGTGACTGGCACTGCAGAAAACATCAGGCACACAGGTGAGCTGCTCTTCCTGCCCTCAAGGAGTTTGCAGTTTGCTGGGAATTTATAAAAGCACACAGGAAGGCAGGTGAAGACCTTCTCAAACAAGACAGAACAAGATGCAGAAAGCAGTAGATTTTGTGACTGAACCAGCTGAGTGCTCTAACAGCCTCCTGGGCACAGCTCTCAGAGTGGCAGACCTGGAGGTGCACCACCCAGACTCCCCTGCAAAGAAGAGCTTGCTGCCTGGCTGCTGGTGTCAGTAGATGACCTGCAGTTGCCGGAACCCCCAGGATCTGCCTCAGTTACCGGGAGCCACCTCAAAAATGGCCATGTTCTATAAGGGCAGTCACACCAATGCATGAGGAAGGGGTATAAAGGCCAAGCCATTCTTGCCCCAAATGGGACAACTCCAATAGGGTCTATGGAGGCATCACAGAACATCCTTACAATTCTTCCTGCCCAAACTCCATGCGGCAAATGTTGATCCTGAAGAGCCCTCCCAGTGATGATTCTGCAAAGTCATTCTGTCTCGGAGTAGGTGTCTCAGGGATCCCAGCTGGTGACCATCTGCTCAGCCTCCATCCACGTTTTCTGCTTGCCTACTGCCCCCCAGCTCTGTCTGTCTTGTGGCAAAGATCTGATCTTCACTGGAGCCATTCCCAGATGCTGCCTCCTCTCTCCCCAACCCCACCTTGTCCCCTAGAGCCCTGTTTGCTGTAGCACCCAAGGCCCTGCCCTACTTCTCATTCTCTTTGGACGCTGATGACCCCTCTTTTATGTAAAATGTACCAAACCCTCTATGATCTCCCTGCTGTGGTCCTTGCTCCTTCCACCCACTGTTCAGTATCCCTGCAGTCGATTCCTTTACTCACCTGCTTTGTGAGTGACAGCCCTCTGGACTCAGTCCTGTATTGCAGGAGTGCCTTTAGGGTTTCACTGATCACATCTAAGCCAGAGACTCCCCAGTGACTCTGTGGCCCTGACTGCTCTCCTGAAGTATCTGATGCTACAACCTGGTTGGTTCATGCAGCCTTGATCCCTTCGGGCAGTAAAGAACTTGCTGTGATAAAAGAGTTTTCTCCTTCAGCAATAACACCCACCATGTGGTACGTGTGGCATCACATTAAGGCTGTCCATATTCAAACAAGCAAATCTCTGGAATTATATGCTTCAAAACATGAAAAACAAGAAAATATGTAACTTAAAAGGAATTAGGCCAAGTGTGGTTGCTCACACCTGTAATCCCAGCACTTTGGGAGCCCGAGGCAGGCAGATCACGAGGTCAGGAGATCGAGACCATCCTGGCTAACATGGTGAAACCCCGTCTGTACTAAAAATACAAAAAATTAGCCGTGTGTAGTGGCGGGTGACTGTAGTCTCAGCTAGTCAGGAGGCTGAGTCAGGAGAATGGTGTGAACCCAGGAGGTGGAGCTTGCAGTGAGCCGAGATCACGCCACTGCACTCCAGCCTGGGTGACAGAGCAAGACTCCATCTCACAAAAAAAAATAAAATAAAATAAAGAAAAAAGAAATTAGGCCAGGTGCGGTGGCTCACGCCTGTAATCCCAGCACTTTGGGAGCCCAAGGTAGGCGGATCACGAGGTCAGGAGATTGAGACCACCCTGGCTAACACGGTGAAACCCCGTCTCTACTAAAAATACAAAAAGTAGCTGGGTGTGGTGGTACACACCTGTAATCCCAGCTACTTGAGAGGCTGAGGCAGGAGAATCGCTTGAACCTGGGAGGCAGAGGTTGCAGTGAGCCGAGATCATTCCACTGCACTCCAGCCTGGGTGACAGAGCAAGACTCTGTCTCAAAAAAAAAGAAAAAAAAAGAAATTAATCTCTGCTGATAACGTTTCAGCCACCACGATACTTTGAAGATGAAGAGGTTCTTGGATGGAGACTCCCACTCCAGCATCAGTTAAGCTTGCAAAAACTTGGTCTGACCCTGATCTCCATGTTTGCCCTCAGAGTCGAGCTCAAGATATGCTGACTTTAAAAGCCACATATTTATAGTCTTCAAGGTACTCTAAATTCGCATGGTCCCTACTTTGACCTCTCTTTCTCTCATGCTATTTAAGATACATCCCACAAGAAGCAGCTGAGCTTCTTAACAATATGGTCAGATAGATATTTGATCTAGGGTGAGCATAAAGAATTAAATTATGCAGGTGATAAAAGCTCCCAAGGAATCATTTTGAGTGGGTGATAGGACCCTAGGCAAGTAGTCCTTATGATGGCACACCAATGCTCTCATCAAAGCCCAGGCTTCTTTTCCACTGAGCCAGGTAATCAGATCAGCATGGACAACAATATCTGCATTGTATATTCAAAGCGGGTGATGATCTGGAGAAGAAGAATAATTGAATATTTGATAATTGGCCATGATTACGTCTATTGATGTCTTCCAGGAAGTTTTATCTGACATGGTTGTTTTTAAATATGAAATTAAAAGAAAGCTCCATTTCCACCAGAAAAGGAAAGTTTGAGTTACAAGCAAGAAAATATACTTCCGTAGGAACAAAGTCATCTCTGTAAAGAAAAGTCGGGATAATTGCGCTGAGCAGTCATCATCAGAAGAAAAAGCCATTAAGTGTTATTGAAACTTAGGGTATCCCCTCTAGCAACAAGAGTCCATAGTCTGATAAATGTCAAGTACTAATCCAACACTAATGTGATTTAATTTTATAAACTGTTTGCATAAATATTAGAAAACATCTTGAGAGAAACATACTGTATTATACATCTGTGTACATGGTGGATGCATGCAAATGCTCTGGCCCAGTTCCTGAATAATTCATTTCAGTCATTATTTTTACATAGGAAAATGATCCTTGATTTGTTTGGCAGATTTTAAGCCAGAGCTTCTGTTGGTAAACTGAGCCCCTAGTGTGCAGCCAAAAGGCACAGGGCAGTGGGAGGTCCTCTGTAGAGCAGACAGCAGCCTTTATCTCATTGAATTCTCTGATTCTTTAGAAAACAAGTATGTTTGATCTGGTCCATTTTAAAAAGTCTTAGCTCTGTAATGGTACTTGCCAATCTGCTTTCAAAAGAAGCATTCCCCCTTTCTGTGCCTCTTTCATCCTGTTTATGAGTGCCCTCTTCTTGCTCTCTTTCTTTAAAAAAAATGCTTTTCATTCTTTCATTCTTGTTGTTGTCTTGAGAAAACAAATAAGAGAATGGGAAGATGAACTGGGGAAAAATCTTTGGAGGAGGCATGTCAGATGCTGAGAAGATTTAGGGCTCCCCTCCCCTCCTCACCAGCCACTTGGAGAACTAGGGGGTGAGAATATGCAAGGGAGGATAAGTCTGAAGGCTCTGACACTTGTCAGTGATGAGGTGACCACAGGGAATGAACTCCTTGAGGATACTTAGTAGAAAACCACTCTACAAACTCTTAGCTCCAGCTCCCTTCCTTCAGTGAACTCCTTAGACCAGGGTGTCTCTCATCTGATGAGCTTTAGCTCTCCTTTCCCATCATGGCTGCCCAGGTCCTGGTGACTCCCTCTCCAGTACTCTTCCCTGAGCTTCTGGAGTACAGGATTCCAGAAGGAATTCCCCAAGGCTTTGATACTGTTGGGTGAAGGAAGAAGGCAGGGACTTCTGGGGCTACATGTCCCTGAGGATGACCTCGGCCTGTATATCCCATTGAACACCACCATCATCTGGCCCACCTTCTGCTCTTCATTCTACAGTCACAAGACTGTGTTCCTCAGGCAGAGGGAGGACACCTCTGTGGGGCAGGCATGTGGTTGCCTGAGATGGCCAGATTCCCAAGGTCATGCTAGACCTCAGTCACATGTATTCTCTTTGTCCATTTCTCCTTCCCCAGACATCGGGTCTCCCTCCAGTTCCTCTGCCTGCTCCTCCTTCTCCATATCCTCCTCCTACTCCTACAGAGCAGTGTCTGGACATGGGAGTCAGTGTCCTGCCAGAGGGGAGCTGAGGAAGGAGCCATACCAGAATCCTCTTCCTCAGGTTGGGTCTCACTCTTGGATGGGTAGTGAGACCTCCTCATGTGGTGAGCAGGGTGACAGTGTCCTCAGGACCCCCGGCCCCCTCTTGTCCATTTCTTCATCTCCAGCGTCTGCCCTCAAGTACCCTCTCCTTGCCCTCTTAGACCTGTTCTCAGTAATGCACTTGGAGTGGTAAGTGCCAATAAGTCCTTCATTCAGAAAAAAAATAAGAATCCATTCCAAGTGCACAAATCATCAGCAGTGGGTACCATCCCCTGCCCCAAATGCCTTGGCCGCTTCCACATTTCCTACCACTTTCTTCACAATGGAGGCCCATGTGGTAGCTCAGCCAGCGGGCTGCTGGAACTGGAAGTGCTTTCATTGTACTTCCGGGGCATCCCAGAACAGCACCCGGAAAGAGGGGGAATGAATGCCTCAGCTCCCAGCCTTGATGTGTTCTGCGGGAACTACAGGGCCTCCATCGCACACTGCAGGACTGGACCAAAGTTTCCCTCGGTGAGACTTCGCCAGATACTGCACCCCCATTTCATTCTCCCTCCCCAGTCTCAGCTCCCAGCTCCTCTTTATTTTGGAACACCGAGTAGCCTCCCACTTCCACTGAATCCTGGTTTCAGGTTCTCTTTCTAGAGAACCCAAACCAAGACACAGGCATACAGTGGAAATTCCCCTTCTCTTCCCATGCCTAGACCCACGGGCCTCCCCAGAGGCAGCTCCTCGATGTATTACTTGTTTTAGGAGCACACCGGTCTGGTAACACAGAGCAAAGACCTGTGGCTCCAGTTTCCTCATCTGTAAGATGAGATGATAGGGTCTACATAATAAGATGGCTTCCTTATGAGGGGTGAAGTAGTTGATATTTGCAAAGTGCTTAAGGTGGTGCATGTACACAGAGAGCACGAAGGAAACTTCATTAACTAACTACCTGCATACATGCTTGCATCTGTAAACTTCTGCCCTCCAATTTCAATTTTGACTTATTGCTGGATCAAAGAATCCATTTTTACTGAATCCCTGTGCTGTCTCAGCTGCCTGAGGCTTGGATGAACAGGAGGTACAGGTAGCTACTGGAATCTTGTACCACAAGCCTGACAGGGCCTTGGTTGCTGGGAGATTAGGACACCGTTCTTTTTGGAACGCAGCCAATTCATAAGGCTTCATCTAAGCATAGGTCAGGTAAGAGGCTCTAGTGGACACCAGAAGACCAAGGGGCTGGCTGTCAAAGCCTCAGTCCTTCCAGAGTGAGTTCTCAGGGAGCATGCCCCACATCCCAAGAAACAAAAAAGCAGCTGGAAGTTTGCTTTGCCATGGGAGCACGACTCAGCCAGGCCCCTACAGAAGTGTCTAGGCTGTCTCATTCATCATACCATGTCCAGCAAGGCTAAGGTTTGGCCATTCCCAAGAAAGATGCACTCAGTACCAGAGATCATTGCTTTGCATTTAGAAAAAGTGAGGGACTTCCGCCTGAAATTTTTCCTGGAATCTAATGTCAAAGTTCATCACACTTACAGCAAGAACATAGTGATAGCAGCCAGAAAACATATCAATTTCTTGATAAAACAATTAGGGAAAACAGCTAGACAGCTGATCAGTTCATCAGTTAATCCATTCCAAGACCAAGAACCAACTAAGATTCAATAAAATATATTGATTATTTTGGGCTTGATCTATAGGACTGTGAGAATTAAGTCTGGGATTTCAGACTCATTAAATCCCTCATCTCAGGAGTTTTTAAGGCTGTTTTAAGGAACGCTTTTTCTGCATTTGGCTCCCATTGTTGGAATTTTATGTTCTTTAAGATTTGTAGAATTTTAGTAATGTATAGGAGGCTGTTAATTTCACTTCTTATATCTTTAACTTTTTTTTTTTTTTTGAGACAGAGTCTTGCTCTGTTGCCCAGGTTGGAGTGCAGTGGTGCAATCTCAGCTCGCTGCAACCTCTGCCTCCCGGGTTCAAGCGATTCTCCTGCCTCAGCCTCCTGAGTAGCTGGGATTACAGGCATGCGCCACCACACCCTGCTAATTTTTGTACTTTTTTTTTTTTTAGTAGAGACGGGGTTTCACCATGTTAGTCAGGCTGGTCTGGAACTCCTGACCTTGTGATCCACCCACCTCAGCCTCCTAAAGTGCTGGGATTACAGGCGTGAGCCACTGCGCCTGATCGTCTTTAACTTCTTTTTACCAAGATGGCTGTGTGAAGTCTCTTACTGGACTGTGTTTTTATTTCTGCCCCTTTAACGATTTCCAGAAAATCTTTAGATTTCACAAGCAAAAAGAAAAAGACTTTATCGGGAGTCATTAGACCCTGAAAAATAAATCGCTGTCTGAAATGTGAGGTATCAACAAAGCATAATTTTACTTTCAACACATTGACCTGAAATCTTTCTGTGACCAAAATAATCCCAGGTGAGATTTAAGTATTTGTGGAAACTAATTAACTCTCTCTTTCCATAGCAACTTCCCACAGATTGGGTGGCAGTTCTCAAAGAATACACCTGATCTTACCATGTAAGTCATGACAGAATTCAATTGCATAACGAGAGGAGAAGTCCGTTAGTATTTATAGGCCCCCAGAATCACCTTTATTTTTCTCTTGATGTGACTTTAGATCTTTAATCAACACTTCCTTAAAGCATGAGAGGTAGAATTTCTTGAAGATACTGATGTGTGCAGTAGTTAATATTTCAATTTAGACCCACCCACTCAATCTAACGCATGTTTGAAAAAACAGAACAGATACAAATAATTACCAGTTAATACAAAAGCATGAAAAGCAAGAATCTTGTACTCACTAGCGCTATTCAAGACCCACAGGGGAAACCAGTAATTGCTTAATTTGGAGGATTTCCCTCAGGTGCCCGTGGATCTGCTTTGGAACAATACCTATGAGCACATCTTGCAGTCCCTTTCCCCTTCTGACCTGAGCTAGGTGTCAGATGAGATGGCAGGGGTCCTGCCCTCCATAGTTCTGCAGGCCTGTGATGCCTTATGCTGGCTGCAGGCCTCTGCATCTGTCATTCTCCACCTGCACATCCAGATAGTCTACCCCTCCTACCTGCACAGAAGAAAATCCTTTAAATAGCACTGTACAAAAAAAAAAGCTGGTTTCCACATCTTTAGATAAAAGCTTTGTGTCTTCATTCACTTAGCAAATATGTAAGAAGCATGCTAGTGATGTATTGGGAGAATGGTTTCTAGGGAAAAAAAATGATGTATTTGTGGTGTTTGTCAATTTTTTGGTGTAAATATTCTTAGCATGGCCATTTTACCTACAAACAGAACATCACTGGATACAGAGTTGGGGGAAGATGCATAGAATTGATTCTCATGAGCTGGCGCAAACCTGCTCCAGCACCCCACTGAAAATACCTGTTCTTTTGCAGACCTGATGTAAGACAATGATGCTACTGAGATACATGACAACATGCACCTGCTTCTGAGGAGCTCATAATGCAGCCTGCAGCACAGAGTGTGTGGAAAACCTTTCTTCTGCAGTATGACATTATCCAAGTTTATTACAGAGGCATCCTCTCATGAATGTTATGGAAAGTATAACTAGAGATACGTAGGCGAGCATGTGTCTTAGTCTGTTTCTGCTTCTTTAAAAAAAATACCTGAGACTGGATCATTTCTAAGAAACAGAAATGTATTTTCTTGCAGTTCTGGAGGATAGAAAGTCAAAAATCAAGGCACCAGCAGGGTCAGTGTCTGGTGAGAATCTGGTCTCTGTTTTCAAGATGGTGGCTTGAATGTGTGTCCTCACAGGGTGGAAGGAATGAAAGGGTAAAGGAATGAAGAGGTGAACTTGCTCCCCAAGCCTTTTTATAAAGCGCTCATCCTCTCCATGAGGGAAGAGCTCTTATGGCCTAATCACCTCCCAAAAGCCCACCTCTTAATACCATTGTATTGAGGATTAAGTCTCAACACAAATTTTGGAGGGGACACAGACACTGAAACCACAGCAGGACAGGAAGGAAGAAGCCATGAGTGTGTGCTGCCGTACTCAGGTTCCCAGGAGGAATATGGAAATTGTTCATCTCAAGAAATGTACAGCCCGGGCACAGTGGCTCACACCTGTAATCCCAGCACTTTGGGAGGCCGAGGCAGGCAGATCATGAAGTCAGGAGTTCAAGACCAGCCTGACCAACATGGTCAGAAACCCTGTCTCTACTAAAAAAAAAAAAAAAACCACACACACAAAAATTAGCCAGGCATGGTGGTGCATGCCTGTAATCTCAGCTACTCAGGAGGCTGAGGCAGGAGAATCGCTTGAACCCGGGAGGCGGAGGTTGCAGTGAGCCGAGATCACACCACTGCACTCCAGCCTGCATGACAGAGCAAGACTCTGTCTCAGAAAAAAGAAAAGAAAAGGGAAAAGAAAAAAGAAATGTACAAGAAGTTACAAAAATGTTGTTCATAATTTGCAGATAATCACTTAATATATAAAAATAAAATGCATAAATTCTAAACTAGGACAAAAAAGTTTAGTCTACCCAATGAAATGTAACAAAAGATGGGAAAAATATGGGAAATAGAACACGTGAACGAGGATGGGAGAAATAAGGCAAAACCATATCCATATTCAATGTAGAAGGCTTGAATTTCTTTGTCATAAGTCAGACATCAGATTGAATTTAGAAAATAGCTGTAAGAAACAAATTTAGCAAAAAAGAAAAAAATGGTTATAGCAATATAGAAAATATTTTTTAAAAATATAAACTCATGAAAATCAATGCAGTAATATTAGTATAGACAAAGTATAACTCTAGGTAAAATCATAGTGAGTGACAAGGGCAGCTGCACAGTCATGGGAGAACTAGAGCGAGGTGTTACAATCACAAACAAATGCACAACATATGCGCCCTGTGTTGCTGTAGATGAGACTTGGTTGACCATGTATTTGTAGTTGCTATTTCTATCATTGATCAGAAAACAAGGGTTATCAAAAGGCCTGGAAGTGCTGATGGGTTCAACTTTGGACATGAGAAGTTTGGGGCCGCTGGGATTCTCAGGGGCACGTGACAGAGCTGATCAGAGATGAGGCATTCACCTTCAGGAACATGTTTGGAATATTATCCTTTCCCTGCAAAGATCCAAAGACTATTTTTACTAAAATACTCTGATCATCACAAGCAAAAGATTTGCACACAGAATGAAAGTACGTTACAGTGGTAATGATAGTGAGAGAGAGATTTTTCTGACAAAGGATGGGATGGATGAATAATAGAGTCAGAAAAACAAAAGAACAGGGAAAATGTCTTGAAAGTACTTAAAACCTTGCTTGACTCTTAATGAAAGTTGCTATATAGGCTACAGGTGATGGGTAAATATTCACCATGTATCTTTTGAGGCATAAAGCGTTTTGCTTCCCAAGCATCGCCTATATAAAGACTTAAATGGCTGTGCCCTCCTGTAGCTCAAGATATTGCTTCTGTCTATCACAGTGGAAACCTGTCCAACAGAATCTCTTATCTGTCAAACAGATGAAGCTGGAGCCTTTCCTGGCTGTGCTGATAATCAGCATTAGAGGGAAGGGGTGGCAGTCTCCACTGCAGAATGATTTGTGTAGATTGCCGGGTTTTAATGAGGAGTGGAAAGCATTGTGCATCTTCAACAGTGTGTGTGCTACATCACTGGCTTTCACAACCTCCCTAGAAAAGCCATTTGTTCTGTAATTATGTAACACCCATATATATGTCACAGAAAGGCAGTGAGTTTACTATTTTAAATTAAATTTTAGTAGTGCTAGGAATCTCCACAAGCCAAGGCAGAAAGGTCTACCCCGTCATGTCTTCATTCTCTGTGGGTATCTCACAGCAAAGAAACTCTTTTTTGTTTGAGACAGAGTCTCACTATGTCACCCAGGCTGGAGTGCAGTGGCATGATCTCAGCTCACTGCAACCTCTGCCTCCCTGGTTCAAGTGATTCTGATGCCTCAGCCTCCTGAGTAGCTGGAATTACAGGCATCCACCACCACAGCCCAGCTAATTTTGTGTGTGTGTGTGTGTATTTTTAGTAGAGATGGGAGTTCACTATGTTGCCCAGGCTGGTCTCAAACTCCTGGCCTCAAGTGATCCTCCCTCCTTGGCCTCCCAAAATGCTGGGATTATAGGCATGAACCACCATGCCCAGCCAAAACTCTCTTGTAATGTACAAGTTTTGTTTTGCTTTAGTTTTCCTAAAAGGTGAAAATTTTTTAAAGCAGAGAAGAGCACCATTTGATACAGCTAGATTTCAGAAGCGGGCACCCCGTTTCACACTTTTCAAGCTCCCCCACAGTCACAAGTTGAATGGCTCCTCTCCCACTCTCCAGCAAAAAGCAGGGAAGTGTTTCCTTTTTCCCTGTCATCCTGGAAGGTGGAAGTGTAGGGCACAACCCTGGGCTTGAGCATCGTGCAAAATCAGGCACAGTGAGCCATCCCTACATTATTAGTATTGTCAGGTACTTAGCCAAAATGTCCATTACTTCATCCATACCTAGTGTGTTTCCTCAAAAAAACATGCTCCCGGAAAAAGTGATTTGTTTTTATTAAGTGCTATCTGCAATAAATATCCTCCTCTTCTCCCTCAGCCTGCACATCTGACTCAAGACAGATTCTGTCCCACAGAGATGAGGGATAGGGTAGGAAATCTGTAGAACTCTGAATTTCTTGCGATCCAACTAGGAAAATTCTGCGTCTTCTAACAGAGAGCATTTAATATAGGAAATTGTTGCATGAGCAATGGACTCATTGAAAGAGGAGGCTGGGGCAAAACAGAGAATAATAGCATGACAGAAAGCCACTCACCAAGCTTGGGAGGGCCTGTGTCAGAGGATACCACAAGACAGGGCCTTCAGGTGGGAACCGCCGGAGGAGTCACCCAGCAGGAACTGGGATCCTGGCAAGAGAGATTGTCCAGCAGAGCTGGAGCCATGAAGGAGACACCACCATTTCCAAAAGTGTCTCACAGAGCCAAGTGGCAAGGAAATGCCTGCACTCTCCGCTTTGCTGCCCTCTCACCTTCCTGCAGTGCTTCCATCACCCAAGCCAGCCCAGAAATAAGAAGGCAGGGCGCCTGCACGTGGCGTTTTCTGCTGTGCAGAGTGAGGAGAGCAAAGCCGGTGTGAGGGGCTGCACTCATGTTCTCAGCCACTCTCCTCCCCCTGCTCCCACATGCCTTTTGTCTCATGACCTTGAAATCACTCTTACTAAATGGGCAGTTTCTATTTCCACACAAATCTGGGCCCGGATATGTGACTTGCATTGGCCCCAAGAGTGAGGCAGAGTGACCACGTGCGAGTCTGGACCAAGGCCTCAAGCAGCCTTGAATGTTTCCACTTTTGCGTTTCTGCCATCATCAGAAGCAGCACATGTCAGGGCTGGCCCTCCAAACCCTAGGGGGATAATGAGAGACATATGGAGCCAAGCTTCTCCAGCCAAGCCTAACCTAGAGCAGAGGCCACAGCTGACCCTTGGATGAATGAACGGGGCAGCCCATTCACAGATGATGTGCAAATCCAGCCAAGATCATTTAAGTTTATCTTAGATCTGCTGGTTCCCAGCCAACCTGCAGACGTATGGGTTATAATTACAAAGTGTGGTTTTAATACGTAAGATTTGGGGGTAGTTTTCAATGCAGCAAGGGTAAACGGATAAAGATAAGATGCATATGAAAGCAAACCAGGTGTTGACTACACTAACATATCACATAACTATAAAACCAGAGAAAACCTATAAGGGTTTCTGAGACCTAGCAAAAGGATCTTCTTGGTTGCCTCAAAACATCCCGCTTTATGTCCGCTAACACTAAATTAGTGAGCCAGGTGGTCTCGCTTCCCATAGGAATGTGACTGCTGTGGTTGGTGCAGGACACAGGTACGTCCCCAAGCCGTGAGTGACCGGCCAGCCATGAGAGCAGGCTGCCTTGGTAATGCCACCCCAAATGCAAGGACTGCTCAGATGAGTTCACCTAAGCGGGGTCCAGACTGATGGATATGAACTCCTTGGAGGGCAAAGAGCACAAATGGCACTCCAGAGAGAGGAAATGGCCTCAGCACAGGCACCTGGGCAGGAGGGCAGGAGCATCAGGCATTTGAGTTGCCTTGAATCCACAAGTGTGGCAAGAACCCTGGGTGCCTGTGGGGATCCATAAGGGTGAGACTGTAAGTCTGGGCTGGAGACATAGGGAAGGGCCATGGACAGCAGGGACCATGACCCTGGCCAAGGTGAGCCACAGGGAGGGTTTGACCCCAAGACGCATGTGAGATTAGGCAAAAAATGTGTACCATTACAATTACTCTTGAAAATCTCTAAAATCCCAGTTTTTTGTGTATTAGCTACATATCCCTGTGTAATAAATTATCCCTAAGACTTAGTAGTTTAAAACAATGAGTATGAATTATCTTGCAGGTGTCTTCTGAGGGGAGTCAGGAATTTGGGTGTGGTTTAGCAGGGTGGCTGTGGCTCGTTTCCTCCTGGGGTTGCATCAGGGTGTCTGCTGGGGCGGTGGTCTCATCTGAAGACTCCATGCAGGGAGGATCTGCTTTGATGCTCATTCCCACGGTCATAGGCAGAATTCAGTTCCCCACAGGAGTTTCAACTGGGGCCTCACAGAATTCAGTTCCCCACAGGAGTTTCAACTGGGGCCTCACAGAATTCAGTTCCCCACAGGAGTTTCAACTGGGGCCTCACAGAATTCAGTTCCCCACAGGAGTTTTACCTGCGGCCTCAGTGTCTGTCTGTCTTTTGGAAACGTGCCTTCCTTGGTCCCTTCTCATATGGTTCCCTCCAAAGGGCAGTTCACCACATGGCAGCTGGCTTCCCCCAGGGTAAATGAGTGAGGTCAATGTCTTCATAAGATATTCTGAGAAGTGAAGACCCACTGCTTCTGCCATATTCTATTTGTCATAAATGATTCACTATATCCAGTGCACAATCAAGGGGAGGGGACTCCAAAGGGTACAAATACCAGGAGGCAGGAGTCATCGGGGTCATCTTAGAGGCTGTCTACCACACCACACCCTCATTAGCCATATGATGTGGTGACAGGATGCTTACTCTGGGACAGGCACATGGGCACTGAGACTGACTGGAGAGCGTCAGTCAGGCTCCCATGCTCACTGGATGTTCTGAATGGTTTTCTCTCTCACCTGAGTATATATTAATATGTTATGCTGAAGATGTGTAGTTTAATATATTTAAATTAAATATGCATAAAACATGGCACTGCTCTAATTTTATATATGTGTGTGTGTGTGTGTGTGTGTGTGTGTGTGTGCCTGTGTACATATGAAATAAATAATTCCAGAGGACTGACAGTGAGTTAGAGGAGGAAAGTGAGGAATGAATGGGTACAAGAAACCAGTTCAGAAGAAATGGTACAGGTGGGGAACAGAGAACATCTTTGGACAGAAGTAGATGGAGGGAAGTATTTGAAAGGCATTTAAGATTTCAGAAGCGTTTGTGATGGACCAGTTTGATCCAGAGAGAAGAAGACAAGGGGTTAAGATTTCTTCTATATTAAATAGAATTTCTCATGTATTCAATCTAGGTCATGCTAATAAATCAAAGCCGGTGTCTGTGGTTGGGAGGGTGCAATTCACGGGAGAAGGACAGATGCCCTTTGTCTTAAGTCCAGGATTCCCCTGGGATTTCTGCACCACAGCCTCGGCCGTGCCTCCCAGTGTGCATGGTGCAGAGCTCAGGGGACATGAGCAGCACCGCTGCACTGGGCAGAGGTGAGGGGCTGGAAGGTCAGGCCCCTGGCCATCCTAGAAAAACATTTCCCATTGCCTGCTAAAATTTAGGGTACAGGTGGCCACTTGATTTCTTTCAATGTAGGCCTTCCTCTTTGAGAAGAGGTTTTATATATATGTGCTTTTTATGATGCTATGTTTTGAAGTGCACTATTCCAAGGGTTTGGAGCAAGGAAAGAGGAATAGTGGGTGAGTGGAGGGAGTTGGCTGGGTGTCTGGACAACACGGTAGGGTCCCCTCAACCTTTCCCATGTGTCTGCATTGCCTGGCCCTCCATGCTGGGTACGGCCGCCTGCTTTGTGCTTCAGCTACCCAGAGACGCCTCCTTCCCTACCTGCCTCCTCAGCCTTTGACTGGAAAGATGCTGAAAGATGCTCATTTGCCACTCAAGATTTAACAAGTCTGATGGTTGTTTTCCTTCTAATATCAAGAAGTTCACATTGCCAGGTGCTCTGGTTCATAATAAGAGTTATTTCTCCCTGGAGAGACATTTTCTGATCTTGTTAAAGATGAGATTGTGACAGTATCTATAATTAAGAATAGTTAGATGCCAATGTGGGAAGACGTGTTTGAAAACCTCTGGATGATAATCTCCATTTAATCATTAAGTTAAATTGAATGTGACTGAACACTCAATCTTGCCTCATGTGGCCCCCTTTGTGGCAGCATAGAGCTCTCTTTGTGCATTGGACAGTCTATTGGTGATGGATTCTGTCTGAGTAGGTTCGTAGGGGTTGTTCCCAGTGCACCGATTTTAAAAGTGGCTTTTCCTTTTACACCTGCATACAGTGTTCATTGACTCTCATTCCCAATGTGTTTTGCATGCCTCCCAGTGGAGAGAGGGGAGAAATACAGACAGGACTCCATAATCCGCATGGGCCCAGGAGGCTTGGCAGAAGCCAATTGCTGGAATCACCAGAATTGTATGAGCCTCGCATTTCAGTCAAAGGCATCACTAGGGACAGTGTAGTTACTGCAAGATCTGCTCGACACAGGAGTGGCTGGAATTAGTAAGTGGTCATGGTGTGAGCTCCTTCCTTCTATTTAATAATTTTAAATTTTGAATTATTTGTCTTTTTATTGATGCCTAGACTTCTTCCAAAGTAATCTGGAAACACAACACTGAGGCTGTAAAATAAAAAAGCAGTCAACATAAATAAAAAGATGAGAGACCACTTCCAATGCTCAAGTGGGGCAGCTGGGCACCAGGGGGAAGCACAGATTGAGCCTGATGGGAAATCCTAGGCCAGGTCCTACTGCTGCGACCAGAGGCAGCAATTAACCCTGAGCTTCCAAACAGCCAAGGGAACACAAACCAGGTCACATGGCCCTCAGGCCTGATGAAGAGGAAAGGTTGCCACCAAGACAGTCACCTTACTGGTACTGAACGTGGAGGGGAATTTTCCTGAATGTTCAGCACAGCAGACTTACAATGAAGACAGGTTCAATAATAAGGTTGGTTTTTATGTTTTATTATTTTTTATTTTTCAGAGACAGGGTCTTGCTCTGTCACCCAGGCTGAGGTGCAGGACCACAGTCACAGCTCACTGCAGTCTTGACCTCCTGGGCTCAAGTGATCCTCCCACCTCAGCCTCTAAAGTAGCTGGGATTACAGGTGCACACCACCACGCCAGGCTAATTTTTGTATTTTTTATGCTTTTTGTAGCGACAGAGTGTAGCCATGTTCCCAAAGCTGCTCTAGAATTCTTAAGCTCAAGCTATCCACCACCTTGGCTTTCCAAAGGGAAAGGATTGCAGGCATGAGCCCCCGCAGCTGGCTGAAGCTAGAAAGTTCTCAGCAGCAGGATTTAGCTGAGGATTTCACGTCAGGCTCAATCTGCACCTCCCCCTGCATTCAGCTGCCTCACCCAAGGATTAGACCCAAGGATTTTTTTTAAAAAAATCTTTGATTCCTAAAAACTAGAAATGAAATTCTGAAAACAATGCATTAAGTTTCAAGGATATATGTCTGGGCTGCTATTTAATAATGTGTTGACATCAGTAAGGAGTAATTCACTTTGGTTCCCTTGGCACTTTTCCCTGGACGTTCTAACCCTCCAGATAATCTAGAATTTTCTCTCTTTCCTTCTTGTTCAGTCTTCACCAAGACCAATTTCCATGGCCTCTACACCAGCCAGTGAATCTCAAGGTCACCCAGGAGGAGTTGCTGTGGCAGATTGAAGATGACTGCATTCTCTTTCACACTCACTCCAGTGTTAACTGTTTGCTTCTGGTCCCTCCAATTGAATCTGGGTGGGATCTGGAATTGCTGTGACCAGTAGAATACAATGATAGAGATAAGCCTGTGCATTAAGAAATGGCAGCTTTCACTTGCCATCTCTAGGATGTTTGTTCTGGGGGAAGCCCCCCAGTCTGACTGCACTAAGCTGCCATGTTCTCAGGAAGCTCAATTAGCTTCAGGAGCGGCCTTGCAGCTATGCCAGCCAGCACCAGTAGTTCCAGCCATCCCAGCCCAGGAGACAGACACATCTTGGACATTCCAACTTCAGCCACATCACTTGGAGAAGTATCAGAGCCAAAGATATGTGAGCTCAGTGGAGCTGACTCAGCTGGCTCCAGCCCATCAAGCCACTCCAGCTGAGGATCCAGGCTGTGCTTCATCCAAATTCTGGAACTGGAACTGCAGAAGCATAAGCCTAGTAAAACGTTGGTTACTTCATACCATCATATTTTGTTTCTTTTTGTTTGTTTTTGTCTGTTTTATGCACAGATAACTAACCAGAAGGTTTGCACATTGAAATGTATATCCTTATCCATTCTTCCATCCAGTTGTTACTTGGAGTTATCTGAGGACACCCCACATTATCCAGCTGGCTAAAAGGAGAATTAAAAAAAAACAAATATGGAGCGAGACTGAGAGAGAGATGATAGAAGGAGAGAGAAAAAGAAGGCAGGTGACAGAGAGAGGAGAAGAAAAAAGAGAGAGCTAAGGAAAGAAAGGAAAGAGAGGGGTTAGAGAGAGATAGACTAGATGGATAACAGATAGATAGAAAAATAGATATTTGGTGAATTAATGGATAAATGGGAGAAAAACGAAGCATTGGTGCCTTAGCAATGTGAAAAGAGGTGCCCTGTCTCAGATGGGCCAGCGAGGCCAAGCACCTGGAATTCAGGAAAGGAGCCTTGTTCAAATGTAATGATAGTTTATGTCTACAAGAAAAAGGGGCCCAGTTGGTCCAAATTAGCATTTTAAAAAAGAAAACATTTGTTTTCCTGCCACTACCGTGGACCAGCAGAATTCACCACACATTAGAGGTTTTCTAATTCACTGGCAGAGGCAATTTACAGCAAACTTCATAAAGCAAAGGGCCCTGCTTGATGGTTGAAGAAGAATGAAATAAAATAAAATTGCTTGGTGTCTCTCCACAAGGCCACCCCCAAGGCCAATTGGGCTTCCTCACAGCATGGGGGCTTAGTGTGGTCAGACGTTTAACACAGGCAGCTGGTTTCCCCCAGAGGGAGTGTCCAAGAGACAGAAAGTGGCGATCATTAAAAAGTCAGGAAACAACAGGTGCTGGAGAGGATGTGGAGAAATAGGAACACTTTTACACGGTTGGTGGGACTGTAAACTAGTTCAACCATTGTGGAAGTCAGTGTGGCCATTCCTCAAGGATCTAGAACTAGAAATACCATTTGACCCAGCCATCCCATTACTGGGTATATACCCAAAGGATTATAAATCATGCTGCTATAAAGACACATGCACAAGTATGTTTATTGCGGCACTATTCACAATAGCAAAGACTTGGAACCAACCCAAATGCCCATCAATGATAGAATGGATTAAGAAAATGTGGCACATATACACCATGGAATACTATGCAGCCATAAAAAAGGATGAGTTCATGTCCTTTCTAGGGACATGGATGAAGCTGGAAACCATCATTCTCAGCAAACTATCGCAAGGACAGAAAACCAAACACCGCGTGTTCTCACTCATAGGTGGGAATTGAACAATGAGAACACATGGACACAGGAAGGGGAACATCACACACTGGGGCCTGTTGTGGGGTGGGGGGAGGGGGGAGGGATAGCATTAGGAGATATACCTAATGTTAAATGAAGAGTTAATGGGTGAAGCACACCAACATGGCACGTGTATACATATGTAACTAACCTGCCCCTTGTGCACATGTACCCTAGAACTTAAAGTATAATAGTAGTAAAAAAAAAAAAAAAAAAAAAAAAGAAAGTTTCTCAAGCCTCAGGCTTGTCCCTCTCATTGTATTCTACTAGTCACAGCCATTCCAGATCCCTACCAGATTCACGGGAAGGGCCCAAAGACCTCCTTCTCATGGAGTGAGTGTCAAAGTGTTTCTGCTGCAGCCCCACTCTCTAGAGAAGAGAATGTGAGGCTTGGCCTGGAAGGCTGATGTCAGAGCAGAGTCAGGGATCCTCCCTGGATCTTCTTCCATCGCTGAGTGACAGCCAGAGCCACGGGAGAGATCTTTCATGATGGAAATAACATTTTCCTTTTTATTGGTGTATCTACTGCAAATAATTTTATATTCATTCTTGTCACACCAAGTAAACTTCCAAAATATGTTCCGGGCTGCCACAGCCTGTTACGCAGAGTGGCACAAACTACATGACGTGTTATCAAGCTGCAAGCCTTGGAACTCCGAACAAGTGAAATAATAACAGCCTTCATAAATTGTATAAGTTCCAGGGACTGTGCCTGAGGTCTCGAGCCAAGTATAGACAGACGTTCTGCTTCAGAGAGAGCACATTCATTTTGGAATTCCTTTAGTCGTGTGTCAATTGACAATGAAGACTTTCCGTGAAAACTGCCTTAAGTCGAGAATATTAAGAGAGGCAGTAAGGCCTGATTATGAACAGAGAAGAATGTCCCTGAGGTCACACTGGCATGAAAAGTTGCAGCCCAGGGATAACTTTGCAAGAAACTTGCACTGCGATTCCCAAGTCACCTGAGTAGATGGCGGTGGGTGTTCATTCTCACCCTTTATGGCTGAAGTCAAAAGAGAGATGAAAATGAAATGATGGGTGCAGACAAGACTCGTCCTGCCCCCAGGTCAGAGGTCCCAAGTTTCTTGGAATGAGACATTGTTAACATCATGTTTGCATTCCATTTTCTCCCACATGACAGTGATCTTGCCATCTTGCAGAGGGACCAAGGGAGCTGCAGACCACTGAAGGCATGAATCCCTATTCAGAGTCATGTTTCCACTGGTGGAAGCAGGTAGGAACCCAGGTCTCTGTCCCCTCCTGAGAAAGCTGAGCTGCTCACCTTCTCATGGAGCCTCCTCAGCCTGATGGCCAAGGTGTCCTGACCTGACCACACTCATGTTTCCAGACTCAGGTTCTGTTGCTTCTTCTCACAGGCTACTTGCTTCTGCCAAGCTAATCTCTCGCAATTCCCCATGCACAGAGTCCACTGCTTGGGCTGACTCTATGTCTGCAATCCTGGAAGATGTTGAGAGCCCTTGACCTGTGTTTGGACTCCATGCTCTGACCCATCTCAAGTCTGTTCAACCCATTCCCTTAGCTAGGGAGCCACTGCCTTAACACTCAGGCCCCTGAATTACTGTTTTTTGTTTTTTTTTAGATGGAGTCTTGCTCTTTTCACCCAGGCTAGAGTGCAATGGCGCCATCTTGGCTCAATGCAACCTCCACCTCCTGGGTTCAAGCGATTCTCCTGCCTCAGCCTCCTGGGTAACTGGGACTACAGGCACCCACCACCACACCTGGCTACTTTTTGTATTTTTAGTAGAGACAGGGTTTCACCATCTTGGCAAGGCAGGTCTCAAACTCCTGACCCCCAGTGATCTTCCCTTCTTGGCCGCACAAAGTGCTGGGATTACAGGCATGAGCACCTCTGAGGTAGGCCCTTTGGGGACTGGAGCCATGCCTCACTCTCTGCCCCTGGGGGACCAGGTCCCCAGGTCCCTGTCTCAGTCCTCTCTCTGCTCCTGGGGGAACAGGGACCTGTCTCAGTGCCTTCTCTGCCCCTCTCAGGGTGTGCATGATGGAGGAGTTCAAGAATTGCTGAACCAAGAGGTAGAACCCAAATGGCTTATGTGGCTCAATCCTTAGGTGTTTGGAATGGAAACTTACCTGTACCTACCACCTCTCTCTTGCTGTGTTCCCCCAAGGGTCCCCACTGAGTGTCCGGGGAGCCTCAGTAGACTGAGCAGGTCCCTGAGAATGGGCCTGAGCAGCAGGTCTTGGCTGGCATAAGAGCAAAAGCCAGGTCATGGGGGGATCATGCTCCACTGGGGAAGGCTGGGAGCTCCTGGCCAGCTCAGGTAGGGGGATACAGGGACCACAGCTCACTGTAGCACAAGCAAGAGCAGGATGGATGCAGAGTCTCCAGGGTGCCCCCAGGTGACAGAAGCTGGTGTTGGGGGCCTGTGTCTCCCAAATGGCCCTCAGGGGTCGTGTACCAGAGCAGAGAGGGGAGGGGCACTCTGTGGGGCCTCATTGGCCTGGGTGTCCTTGTATTTGGCTGGGGAGGGGTCGTTTCTTTGTTGGAAAGGGCACTTGGTCCCAAGGTCTGACCCTGCCACCTGGCAGCTCCATAAAATTTGAAAAACACATGCTTTCCCTCTCGGAGTCCACTTGTCTGCAGGAGGGGCTGCTTTGAGAACCAGTACAGTAATATATGCCACAGTGTTTTCCATTTGCTTTAATAGTTTGCTTATTATGATTCTCAATTTGCCTTTATTGATTTACATTGAGAAGTAGAGAGAGAATAAGGAGAAGGTTGATCAGATATTCAAGAATAGGGAACACCCACGTAGGATATTAAGATCATCTAATTAAGGGAATTCAGTTTTATCTTTCTCTGCTATTTCTCCAAAGACCCCTGCCCTACTGAGAAGCTGGCCCCTCGGCCCCTGTTTCTGTTCCCATGGTAATGTCTGCCGGCCAACCAACTACATACTGCTGTACAGAAAGTGACTCTGGAGAGGGCATGAGCACCTGCCCAAGGTGGATTAACTGAAGGACCTTCTCTCCATCCGTATTCTTCTGTACTGGAGGTGATAATAGAACTAGGTGACGTTCATATCAGTGTTAGCTAAACTCCAGTGGATTCATCATTACTGCCCTGCCTCCATTTGTTCACCTGTCATTCATTCCTAACTGGCCCCCATCAATCGCGTGCCCTCATCACTCAATGGAAACAGTCATTGTAAAAATCACAGGGATGGCGACATCTCTGAGTGGTTTTCTTCTGTGGCCCTTGTACTTGGACTCTCAGCAGCACTCTGCACTGCTGACCTTCTATGTGGAGACTCTTCCTGAGATGGTGTAACTCAGCCCATCTTCCTACATACCTTGGCTGCTCCCTCTCCATTTGCAGACCCTCCCTCCTCCATCAGGCCACCAAATATCAAAGATTCTCAAGGCTCCTTCCCTCTATTTACAGCCTCTCTGGGAAATCCCATCTCTTTCCATGATTTTAATTGCCACCTGCAATCAATCAAATGCACCGTAGTACATTTCTATCTTCACTCAGACTTCTTTGTGCTCCAAACCTGTATCCATCAAACGGCCATTGGACATAGCTGTTTAATCTCAACATATAAAAAAATTAACTCACAATCTTCTCCTCCAACCCTGGTGCGTCCCAGCATTTTCTTTTCTAGGAAGTATCTCCACCATACAATCAGTTGGACAAACTAGAACTCTAAAATCCATCACAAACTCCTCTCTCTCCTTTATCCAACCACCAAAAGTAATCATGAACCAAGCCCTAGAGAGATTACTTTCTGTGTTAGTCTTTTCTTGTGTCACCATAAAGGAATGCCTGAGACTGGATAATTTATAAATAAAAGAGGTTTGCCTGGCTCACCATTCTGCAGGCTATAGAAGCATGGCTCCAGCATCCACTTCTAGTGAGGCTTCACGAAGCTTCCAGTCATGGTGGGAGGTGAAAGGGAAGCAAGTGCCTCTCATGGTGAAAGAGGAAGCAAGAGAGAGATAAGGGGGAGGTCCCAGACTCTTACAACCAGGTCTCATGTGAAATCACCCAGAGAGAACTCACTCATCACCAAGAGGATGGTGCTAAACCACTCATGAAGGATCCACCCCCATGATCCAGTCACATCCCACCAGGCCCCACCCCCAACACTGGGAATCACTTTTCAACATGAGCTTTGGAGGAGACACACAACCAAGCCTCCTCACCTCCTAAGTCTGTCTCTGCCAGATCATCACTGTTGTTTTTCTCCAAGCTACCACTGTATTCTGCCCCACGACAGCTGTCCTCTTCTATCAGATCTCTCCCTCTAACCCAACAGAGAGATCTTTTAAAAACTGGCTGGCCCTGGTTCCTCATCCCAGTGCGTTGGGAGGCCAAAGCAAGAGGATCATTTGAGGCCAGGAGTTCAAGACCAGCCAGGGTACCATAGTACAAAAAGTTTTAATGTAAAAAATACAAAAAAAAATTTAAGAAGAAAAAAAATAGCTGAGCCCAATGGCTCATGCCTGTCATCCCAGTTTCTTGGGAGGCTAAGAGGGAAGAATCGCTTAAGCCCAGGAGTTTGAGGCTGCAGTGAGCTATGATTGCACCACTGTGCTCCAGCCAAGGTGACAGAGCAAGACCCTGACTCTAAATAAATAAATAATAAATTAAAAAGTCAAAACTGATCATGTTGCCTTCTTGCCTAAAATCCTTCCCATTTTTACAGACCTTAAGATGACTTCCCGTTGTTAGAATAAAGACCAGAATTTTTAACTTTTCCGTGAGTCCCTGCACAGACTCCACCATCCCCACTAATTCTCATGCCTCCTTGAGGAGGTTCCTAGGGCCAACCACACAATCTTATAGTGTGAAGAGCACAGCCCTGAACACATGAGATTTGTTTTAGTCATGTTTTATCCCTGTGCCTAGCATTATGTTTGGTCCAAAATTAGTGTTCAAACAATATTTATAAATACATGAGTTAGTAATTGTTTTAGACATTTCACCATTCTTGGATACCCCCAGCCAAGAATGCACTGAACCTGAAAACTCCAACCAGGCCAGGCTCACAACAGACACCTCAGAGCAGGTACTCAAAAGGTAGCTGCAATGATGGCTCTGCGGAGAGCTTCCCTCTTTGCCAGGACCAGTGTTGATGAGTCATTGCTCACAGTGCCGCAGAAAACCTCCCCTGAGAGGCTGCCAGAGTACCCAGCTTTCATTCCCTCCATTACCAATCCCACATGGCTCCGGTTTAGACCGTGAAATGTACCTGTCTTCATGAGCGTCATAAATCGCGCTCTTTGCCTCTGGTCCTCAGGATGAATTTAGATGTCTTGTTATTGCCCACTGGGCTACCATGCTTTGTTTCTCTTTATTTCCATTTAAGTTCAGCTGGATGGTTTGTCTCACCTCAAGTCTGAAATTGTGCGTTTTCAATTGAAATGTGTTTATGAAAAGGACAGAGAACAGTTTGACTGTAAATTTGTGGCTTAGCATAAGTATCGGTTGGTTAAATGAAGTCTACAATTGCTTTCACAGGAACAGTGACTCAAACAAACAAGCCATTGCTGTTTTCATGAAAGTGTTTTAGGGTCTAGGGCTGTGAATGGGACACAGAGTAACTGAAAAGGGTAGATTCAATGGGGTATGAACAGGGAGGAAAGGGGGTAGAGTCTGGGGAGACCTAGAAGTCAGTCCTCATAGCAGGTGAAAGATCCCCGGCCACCCCAAAAACCCACCAAGCTCTGAGCCTGAGGACGCGGAGGTTTGATGGTGCATGAGTTCCAGATGGAGAGCTGAGACTCCTTCCATCCTAAATGGTGGGATCAGATAACCCAACAGTTAGGGACCTTGGGGGCAGGTGTCATAAAGAGCACCAAGCTGAACACAAGTCTCTGCAAACACCTGCTCCCTTTCACTCCTCTCCCCAGCAGGGAGTGCATTGGGAGGAGAGGGTGGAGAAGACAGGGTGGGAGCTGGGCCAAGATGGGCAGGACAGGTCTGGGAATCCCAGCTTCAGACCACAGATCTACAATCCCACATGCACCATGCCAGGGCATCTGTGGAGAGTTGAGGCAGCTCAGGGGCACAGAGGTCGTCTTCAAACTGTACTCTCATCTCTCGTTCCTTCATGCATTCTTGCTAATAAAATATGAGACAAATATCAAATGGCAGAAACAAGTGCCTGTGCTCACAGTCTCCATTGCTCAATTACAGCCAGTTCTCCTAATGAACATGTTAGTACAATCATATATTAAAGACCTGGCACTTTTTATGAGTGATAATAGAACACTTTGCCTCTCATCTGAAGACTTTATTTGCCCTGAAAAGCGCAGTCGGGCTTGTTCTGATTTATCTTGCAGTAGCTTCCTGGCTGTACGAGCCCGGTCAGAGCCCAGCAGTAGGGCACCTCAAATCAATTAAGGGTGTTTAGTATCTGATGACAAGAAAACAGCCCCAAGATCAAGAAGGCATTCTCAGAAAGACTCATCAGCTCTCATTCCAAAGAAAAAAGGATGTAAAGTCATTATTGCTAAGGATATAAAAATCTTCAAATGCCATTCTAATATGATATTTTGACAGATATTTGTTTTCATGAAAAGTCATGAAGTCCACAAGAGAAACAGATTGGAAAATGATTAAATGGACACAGTGTTTCAGAGTGAAGCTCCTGGGACCACGTTCCCTGAATGATGATGTTGTCCGTTGCAATGTGTGGTTCAGGCAGAAGCTCCCGGTGCTGTCTTGCCCCATCCAGAACCTTGAAGCCTATCCTGGCAGGAGACTTCTCCCTTGCCAGTGAGCCCTGGGGCAGAATGCAGAGGGGCTGCTGCAACATTAGCAATGGAACCAAGAAAAGAGTGTAAGAAAAGACTGTGGTTGAGATTTCCCAGAGCAGCAGTTTCCATTTTTTTTCTTTATTGAATTGCAATTACCATATTGATCCATGATGTTATCACAGTCATCAGTAATCCATTACCCTTTATCCAGCACTTTTAGAATTTTCAGAGTTTTCATATATTATGCTTCTTCTAAGTGACAAAAGCAGAGATAAGATTCTGCATTGGACTGGAAGTTTCTCCTGGTTCAAAGAGGGCATTTTTATAGGGTCTTCTCACTTGGGCCTCTAGTTACAAGGTCTTTCATTACATTCTAATTTGCAGAAGGCTTATCTAAAGGCAAAGTGGCACTTAAAAACTGAAAACCTCAACAGAATATTTTAGGCTTAGTTTCTGATTTTTAGCTTCCCACATTTTCACAGAGCAGCAGCACAAACCATTTTGCACTTTGCCAATTTAGCTACTCTTGGCTCAGCAAGGTTCCAAAATGTGAGGTGTAATGCACACTTCCCACATCAGGTACTAGAAAAAGTTGCACTCCAGAGCCAGTGTGACAGCTCCCAGGTGAACAACATGGTGCTTTCAGTGAGCCTAAGCTGGGTCTCATCACTGGATTTTGTGAGAGTTTTGTTCATAACTTGATTACGAATGCTACCCAAGGTGCAGAATAAGGTCACATGATGTATTATGAAACCATTTCAGGAACACAGAGAAAGGGCTGGGGGACACATGGGTTTATGGACGTGGACACAGTCCTGCCTGTGAATATGCACAGATGCTTGGCAGAGCCCACGTTGGGGGAGTGAAGACTTCAGGTTTGAGCTCTTTGGGATGGGCTCTGCTGGAGAATCTCCAGTAAATGAGATCTTGGTATTAACAGACTCTGTAACATATCTCTTTCTCAATTTAAAGGCAAAATTGTCCACACACTAAATTGAAACAACAATGAAAGATCAACCCTTTCACATTGGTAGAATGTCACTAAAAATCTGAGTTTAATTAATTAATCCCCACTGTCATTAGAAATATGTTTGAGAAATAATGTCTCAACTGTATTGATCATGGCTTCCCCACCTGGGGTTTGGAGGACTAACTTCCTCCTTACCTGCCCCGCAGGGCTCTTCCAGTTTTCAGTGTTCATGATACATCTTACTCAAGATGCCCAAGAGGCTTCCAAAAAATTAAGACACTGATGAGGTGTCAAGAGAAAGAGGCACTCACCTTGTGTAAGATCTAACTTTTTAAAATGTATTAAAACTCAGAATTATTGTCAGATGCATACTGTTTATGCATACATAAATTTGTCTATAATTTTGCCAAGGAAGCTAAATAAAATGTAAACTATAAATTGGTGATGTGTGGCCTTCTGTAAGCAAAGTAAACAGTAGTAGATGGGATCATAAAATTAGACCCAGATTCTTATTGGCCATCATAAAACATGGATGAAGCACTAAAGCCAGCAACTTACTTTACAAAATAGCAAAACTCCTCTGGGTAGACAGCCTGTGCTTATTCTCAAAGGTTGCACCAGTTGTCGAAACCCATAACTCAAATCCACTACAATAAAGGGAAAATGGGCACCCCCTGAAGAAAGCAGTAAGTTTCCAGGGCTTTGGATCATTCTGTTTAATATCCAAAAGCTAGGTCTAATGCACAGTTCACACGTTAGCAGCTGCCCAATACTTGCTGGGAGTCTGAGTATTGCAGGTTGTATTAATCACTCTTCTGGGATTTTATAATTTTCCTTAGACTGTGATATGAAGATGAAATGAGAATGGGAGATGAAACATGGAATTTTTGAGTAAAGTGGATCTATGAGACCATTTATTTTCATTCCTTTCCTCCTCAGCTGAGAATGTTGAATATCGAAGAACCAATTTGCCAGGGTGATGGGGAGTATCCTGTTTCATTGATCTTTCCACCACACTCTGCTGCTTTCCTGCTAGAGAATGTTTTCGTGTCTTATAACAATCTATTGCTGGCATCTGGACAGTCTGAAATAAATGCTAGTTCATATGTATGCTTCCACTCCTTCATCAGTACATAGTAAAACATGTATTACAATCCC
Organism: Homo sapiens; assembly: GCF_000001405.40. Classification (NCBI taxonomy): domain Eukaryota; kingdom Metazoa; phylum Chordata; class Mammalia; order Primates; family Hominidae; genus Homo; species Homo sapiens. The sequence goes on along the minus strand of NC_000010.11, from coordinate 130,674,857 downwards.
TCCTCAATCTCGATTTTGCCTTCCATTCTTTTATTCAAAAATATTTCTCATGCACCAAATATTTGCCAGATATTATGCTGGAATGTTTCCTGGTCCCATAGAGCACGTGATCTACCAGTGAGTGAATGGACACATTTTGCCTGCCCCGTTAACAAACACTGATGGAATGATGGCACCCAGGATGTGAGGATGTGAAGAAATGGGCAAACGTAGTCACTGACAGGAGGAGTAGAAGTTGAGTACAATATTTTTGGTGGGCAAATTGAAAAAAATATGAAAAACTGTTATGTCCTTTGGTCTAGCAATTTTACTTCTAAGAATTTATGCCAAGTAAATAATTAGAAATACATTTGATAAATTATATTCTAGGATTTTCAACACAGTACAATTTACATTAATGAAAAATTATCTGAACATTAATCAATAGCAGAATGCATAAGTAGATTATGGTATGTCTATATAATAGAATTGTATAAACCTATTAAATCATATTATATGAGACCACTGCTTGACATATAATAACTTCACAATGCTTTACATCTATAAATTCATCTTTATGATATCGAATCTTCCTATCCATGCACATGGTATATCTCTCTATTTATGTAGATTTTCTTTAATGACTTTTTAAATAAATTTTCATAATTTTTACACATATTTTTATATTTATCCCTTGATATTTTCACAGATATATTTTGTAAGTGTTGCTAGCATTAGAAATGAAATTTAATTCAGCATATTGATAAAGCAGCCACCATGGCTGTCTTTTGGTTAGTATTTTTCTTGTATATATTTTGTCTAATCTACAAAAGCATACATCTTATCATAACCATTTTTATTTTTTCAAAAGATAGCTAATAATGATGGTCACAAAAACAGGCTGAAAAGTCTTACCCCAAAATGTTAAAAACACATACTCCTGGGCAGTATCACCAAAAGAAATTCTATTTACTTAATTATTTTAGTGCTTGTAATTTAAAAAAAAAATTCCAGTTTTCTGCTCTGAATATATATTAATTTTGTAATTTGAATAAACACAGCATGACATTTTTATTCAAAGGTAGTATTTTTCTCAACCTCCTCTGTGTACTCCCCCATTCTATAAACTATTAGAGCATATAAACATGTTTTCTTCTGTAGATCCCAAATATCTGCACATTAGACTACATATTTCCATTGTCTACTCTTTCCTTGTAATTCCTTAGTTACAGCTCAATAAACACTGCTTCACTCAATCTCTCTTCCCACAACTCCAAAAAAGCAGCCTCTAAAGCTGGAGATATTATATATGCATAAATATTGAGTCTGAACCCCAGAAAAGAAGATCACTGTCTGTAGACCACTGAGAGGAAAGATTCATCTTGTAAAGTAAAATGAAAAATTCAGACCCAGGATGAGAACTTTCCATTAGTAAAGGTGCATTTCTTTCATGCTCAAGAGAGCAGTTGACACAAGTGTGGGTTACTATCCAGAGAGGCAAGGATTGGATGGAACACATGAAGAGGTTCATAGACCACGACCTTCAAAGATGAAGATGCTCACAGCTTCATCCTCCACACACAGCAGATATTTGAGATCATCAAAGCAGATGGAGGTTCCATGCAGCCCAGTGGACTGTTGACTCCAATCTCCCTATCAGAAAACCATGTCTCTTTCAAAGAGCAGGAGGAGGCAGAAAAGGAAGAGAAAAAGTGCAAGATGGTGCTAACATTGCCACTTTTGAGGAAGTGACACAGAAATGTACTGATATGGTTTGGCTGTGTCCCCGCCAAAATCTCAACTGGAATTGTATCTCCCTGAATCCCCCCATGTTGTGGGAGGGATCCAGGGGGAGGTAATTGAATCTTGGGGGCCAGTCTTTCCTGTGCTATTCTCATGATAGTGAATAAGTCTCAAGAGATCTGATGGGTTTATCAGGCGTTTCCACTTTTGCTTCTTCCTCATTTTTATCTTGTCACCACCATGTAAAAAGTGCCTTTCACCTCCCACCATGATTATGAGGCATCCCCAGCCATGTGGAACTGTAAGTCCAGTTAAACCTCTTTTTGTTCCCAGTTTCAGGTATGTCTTTATCAGCAGCATGAAAACAAACTGATATAGTAAATTGGTACCAGCAGAGTGAAGTGATGCTGAAAAAATACTCGAAAATGTGGAAGCAACTTGGGAACTGGGTAACAGGGAGAGCCTGGAACAGTTTGGAGGGCTCAGAAGAAGACAGGAAAATGTGGGAAAGTTTGGAACTTCCTAGAGACTCGTTGAATGGCTTTGACAAAATTGCTGATAGTGATATGAACAATAAGGCCCAGGCTGAGGTGGTCTCAGATGGAGATGAGGAACTTGTTGGGAACTGGAACAAAGGTGACTCTTGTTATGTTTTAGTGAACAGACTGGCGGCATTTTGCCCCTGCCCTAGAGAAACATGGAACTTTGAACTTGAAAGAGATGATTTAGGGTATCTGGCGGTAGAAATTTCTAAGCAGTAAAGTATTCAAAAGGTGATTTGGGTGCTGTTAAAAGCATTCCATTTTAAAAGGGAAACAGAGCATAGAAGTTCAGAAAATTTGCAGCCTGACAATGCAGTAGAAAGGAAAAAACCATTTTTTCAGGAGAAATTCAAGCCAGCTACAGAAATTTGCATAAGTAGCAAGGAGCCTGATGTTAATCCCCAAGACTATGGGGAAATGTCTCCAGGCCATGTCAGAGACCTTCACACAGCCTCTCTCATCACAGGCCTGGAGACCTGGGAGGAAAAAATGATTTCTTGGGCAGAGCCCAGAGTCACCATGCTGTGTGTAGCCTAGGGACTTGGTGCCCTGTGTCCCAGCCACTCCAGCCGTGGCTGAAAGGGGCCAACATAGAGCTCAGGCTCTGGCTTCAGAGGATGAAAGCCCCAAGCCTTGGCAGCTTCCACATAATGTTGAGCCTGCGGGTGCACAGAAGTCAATAATTAGGGTTTGGGAACCTCCACCTAGATTTCAGAAGTTGTATGGAAACACCTGGATGCCCAGGCAAAAGTTTGCTGCAGGGGCAGGGCCCTCATGAAGAACATCTGCTAGGGCCATACAGAAGGGAAATGTTGGATTGGAGCCCCCACACAGAGTCCCTACTAGGGCACTGCCTAGTGGAGCTATGAGAAGAGGGCCACCATCCTCCAGACCCCAGAATGGTAGGTCCACCGACAGCTTGCACCATGCACCTGGAAAAGCCACAGACACTCAATGCCAGCCCATGAAAACAGCCGGAAGGGACACTGTACCCCGCAAAGCCACAGAGGCAGAGCTGCCCAAGACCATGGAACTCACCTCTTGCATCAGCATGACTTGGATGTGAGACTTGGAGTCAAAAAACATCATTTGGAGCTTTAAAATTTGGCTGCCCCACTGGATTTCAGACTTGCATGGGCCCTGTAACCCTTTTGTTTTAGCCAATCTCTCCCATTGGGAATGGCTGTATTTAACCCAATACCTGTACCTCTGTTGCATCTAGGAAACAACTAGCTTGCTTTTGATTTTATAGGCTCATAGGCAGAAGGGACTTGCCTTGTCTCAGATGAGACTTTGGACTGTGGACTTCTGGGTTAATGCTGAAATGAATTAACACTTTGGGGGACTGTTGGGAAGGCATGATTGGATTTGAAATGTGAGGACATGAGATTTGGAGGGGCTAGGAGCAGAATTATATGGTTTGACTGTGTCCTTACCCAAATCTCAACTTGAATTGTATCTCCCAGAATTCCCCCATGTTGCGGGAGGGATCCAGGGGGAGGTAATTGAATCACGGGGGCTCGTATTTCCTGTGCTACACTTGTGATAGTGAATAAGTCTCATGAGATCTGCTGGGTTTATTAGGGTTTTCTGCTTTTGCTTTTTCCTCATTTTTCTCTTGCTGCCACCATGTAAGAAGTGCATTTCGCCTCCCACCATGATTCTGAGGCCTCCCCAGCCATGTGGAACTGTAAGTCCAATTAAACCTCTTTTTGTTCCCAGTTTCAGGTATGTCTTTATCAGCAGTGTGAAAACGAACTAATACATGTACTTGTAAAAACATGAAATACCAGAGGGGCCATACAGAAGCCTGTGTTTTTCATCTCTTAATTTTCTGGCTTGACTCCTTAGTCTATGGTTAACTGGGTAGTGGCTGCCTCTGGAGGGGAAGTGTATTAGTCAGCTCAGACAACCTTACCAAAATACCATGTCTTAAACAACAGAAATGTATTTCTCACAGTTCTGGAGACTGGAAAGTCTACAATCCAGGTGCCTGCAAATTTAGTTCTTGGTGAGGGCTTTCTTTCTGGCTTGTAGATGGCTACCTTCTTGCTGTATCCTCATATGGTGGAGCAAGGGAGATCTGGGGTCTCTTTCTTTTCTCATGAGGACACTAATCCCATCATGAGGCTTCACCTTCATGACCTAATTCCCTGCCTCATCTTCAAATACCATTACATTGAGGGCTTCAAAACATGAATTTTGGAGGAACACAAACATTCAGCCCATAGCAGAAGGCAAGCAGCAGTGTGCATGCCCAGACCTCTCACCCTGCTCCCAAATAACCACCTAGAGCTGGTGAGGACAGTTCTACTTTTGCTCCCAGAAACGTCTGAAATGCTGAAACAGGGTGCTAGATAAATTGACTCCACGTTCAGCTCTCACCCCTGAAGACAAGCATGGATGTCCTATTTCATTTCCCATTCCAGATGATGCCCGGCTATGTCAATTCATAAATCCTTAGCAATTAGATATGGAAACTAGGGGACAGTATTTATTTCCAAAATGTAAGTTAATGACTGAGAGATTATTTTAATTAGCATATCCTCCATATGTAAAATCTTTTTCATTAGGAAATTTTTAAAATTAAATATATTTTGTCTTGTAGGAAAGTCTGAGGAAGTCTAACTCTAAAACTCTCTCTTTTTCCTCCTTGCTCTGGTCAGAAAGCCCTGCCTTGCTCGGGGTTGAGCCACCATCTTGCTGGAATCTGCTCCTGTGCTGGCTTTGGCTGGAATACATGAAGCGGCTTCATTTTTTCCCAAGTTGAATTCTTCTTTCCTGCAAATTTGAGAGAACATTACAAAATTTCCAGCTCTTTTTATGGCTATCTTTGGCAAATTTGAATCCAGAACTTCTCAAATAATAAAATGTAGAACACGTTGTTGTTGCTAGTTGCAGACATTATTTAGGGGAAAGAAGGCAGACAGCACACAGCACACGAGAAAAAAGGAAAGAAAATGATTGGGTTTTGGCTTATCTAAATGACACTCAGTTTGTGCTTGTTATCTAGGTGCCACAACCTATGAACTTCAACTAAGCTGAGAAAAATCACCCATCAGGAGTTTGAGCTTTCATGTGTTTTTTCTCTCATTGACATCCATGACCTTTTGAGGCCTGTGCTGTTTTGGGGATGTCTGACCTCTGCCATGGCCTTCTTCTCTCCAAAAGCTGCCTTTTCTCAGTGCTCAATTCCCCAGGGCTTCAGTTAACCTTCATTGCATTCAGTGACACTGAGGCCTGAGCCTGCCACATGGTGCAAACCATTGCATGCCTACTCCTTTCTCCACGCCAGCCCCAGCATGAATCTGACCCAGCATCACTCAGCAAGGTCTAAAAACCAGCTGCCTCCACAAGGACTTCATGTACCACAGCCTGGTCCCCAAATGCTAGATTTGTGGAAGCATCTTCTGAGTGCCATGTTGGGCACCAAGAGGGTGGAGGTTCAGTGTGGATGTGGTGCCTGAATCTCACACTCATTCCTCATTGCCTACAGGATTCTGACCTATAAAATATAAATGGGCAGAACTAAGCAAAATGTTGGGTAGTGGGGTTTAGATGGGGAATTCTGGCCCAGAGAGCTTATGGAATGGAAGAGGTGACAGATTTTCTGGAACCAAGGCAGGCATGTCTTTGAGTGACAGGGAGACAGCCAGGAGGAGGGTTTGCGTGGGAGAAGCCATCTTCGAAACCTTCTACCATGAGGAACACACGGGTGGAGTGTGGGCTCACACCTTCCTTATCCTGATTAGTCTCCTTCCTCCCGGGAGAGGGAACATGAGTGCTGGTGGAGCGACCAGCAGGGCTGCCATATCCAGTCCTTCCTGGGGAAGAAGGGTTGACACAGGCCAAGGTGGTTGCTTGTGGGAATTCCACCAATGTTTCAGTGTTGACCACCATGTTGGAATTGGAATTCCATATTCATCATTTTGTTAGAGTGTCATATTCTTTCTATTGTTTGAAAGTATGATTCTGATCACAGTAAACTTATTTTGTGTGTATGTGTGATTCTTACTATTTTTATTAATGGAGGCATAATTTTATCGAATGCTTTTTTTAGTTTCAGCAATCTAATTTCATGATTTTTATTCTGATATGATGAATTTCACCCTACTGATAGAATAAATTATGTTCATGGATTTTCAATTATTGAATCAATCAACTCTTTATTTCAAAAATAGCTTGCTTAATGGTGTTCTATCACCTTTAGAACGCATGGCTTTCATTTTTCTCTGGACTCTGGAAGAGTCCCTTAACTTTCCTTCTACATTCCTGGTGCAATTCTCCACCCCAGGGGGTTCTGTTCCTTTCTGCTGCTTTTATTTCTGCAATTGCATGTTGGATTTTGATGCGGTCGTTTCTGACTTCTGTAAACTCCGGTTACCTCCCTACCTTGCTCACGTCTTCCTCTCCTTTTCTCTCTCCTTACCCCTGTTGCATTCTGCCTCTGTCCTTTCACACGTCTTCAAGCTAAGAGTTTCAAATATGTAATACATAATTTTCAAAGATGTGCCTTTCCCCCCAGTCTTCAGACCAATGCTCCTTTTCCTTGTATCTTAGTAAGTTTCGAGTCCATGATGTGTTGCTATGGTCATTTCCAGGTCTCTGGCACACAGAACCCCAGAAACTCAACAACTGCCCGAAGACAGTGCACCTGGAGTGGCTTCAGCCCCCAAGGCTGGTCCCGTGGATCCAGGAAGCCCCCTGCATTGTACAGTAATTATAGCCACGCAACCCACCACACCAGTGAGATAATACAACCTTGCATTTGTGGAGTGCTGTGTCTTCTCTTAAGTTAATGGTACAAAAGCCATTTTTGTCTTTTCCTGTATATCCATGATATTTAAATAACTCATAGGTTTAAAAGGTCATTTTGTTACAAACTATCCCCAAATCTCAACAGGCTAAATCAGTGAGGGTTTGCTTCTCACTGATGCTGCACCATCACAAACAGCTGGGGAAAGAGACGGTGTTTGCCGAGGCTGGGTCTCCATCCAGGATCCAGCTGATGGAGCAGCCCTGTCTCAAGCAGAGGCCACAGAGCCCAGCCTGGCCATCACCAGCCCAGCAATGGCACAGGAGGCTGATGCTCATAATCCCTGGCCTGGACAGGCAGCCCTGCCCTGTGCCCAGAAGGAAGAGGAGGGGAAACATGGAAACATCAGAAGAGCACACTAAGGACTCCAGGGTTCTTGAGTGAGCTAGAGGCTGAGCACCAGCCTGGCCAGGCCCCTATCTATAAACCCAGGGTTGCCGAGCATGATTTCTGGATGGACACATGTCCAGGGGACCAAGTTCTGCTCACTCAGGACATGCCTGTAAACCTGGCATTGCCAAGTGTGATTTCTGGGTGGACACATGCCCAGGGGGCCATGCTCTGCTCACCAGGACATGGCTGTAAACCCAGCATTGCCGAGCATGATTTCTGCATGGGAACACATCCAGGGGGCCATGCTCTGCTCACTCAGGACATACCTGTAAACCCTGCATTGCCAAGTGTGATTTCTGGATGGACACATGTCCAGGGGACCAAGTTCTGCTCACTCAGGACATGCCTGTAAACCTGGCATTGCCAAGTGTGATTTCTGGGTGGACACATGCCCAGGGGGCCATGCTCTGCTCACCAGGACATGGCTGTAAACCCAGCATTGCCGAGCATGATTTCTGCATGGGAACACATCCAGGGGGCCATGCTCTGCTCACTCAGGACATACCTGTAAACCCTGCATTGCCAAGTGTGATTTCTGGATGGACACATGTCCAGGGGACCAACCCCTGCTCACTTGGGACATGCCTGTAAACCCGGTGTTGCCAAGCCTGATTTCTGCACGGACACATGGCCAGGGGGCCCCGATCTGCTCACTCAGGATTCCCTGCTCCTCCAGGAATGCTCCTCTTTCCCTCTTTTCAGCCTGTGGCCACACAAATCATTCACGAATATTAAAGCTCCTGATTTGGTTCCCTCAAGGGCTGCCCCTTCTTGGTCTCCACCATCAGCTTGTCTCCATCAGCAGGATAGTCCAGAGAGCTGCATCCTGGGCATCTTACCACCCCGATGCTTTCCTAAGGACCCCGGGCACCTTCTCCAGACCCCCAGGGTCCACGTGATCATTTCCTCTCAGACCTATGCCCACGGCACTGCCTCTACCACTGGATGTAGGTGACCCATGACCCCACGGGTCCACCCCGCCCTCTGCACCCCAACTCTGCAGCTCCCGATCTGGGCTGCTTTTGCCATGGGTTCTCAGGTGCTGCAGCTGCTGCCCTGGATATCTCCTGGATGCCCACACCTCCCCTCCTCGTTGCGGCTCTTCCTGCAGTGGCTCTGGAATCACCCACTTATCTCACCTCCATTTCCAATGCCACCCATGTTCCTGATGACCCACCGATATGTTTTGCCTAAATTGCAATGACAGCTGACAAATTAATCACTAGGCATCCAGTCCAATCCATGCTCTACGTGGTAACCGGAAAAATCTTTTAAAATGCCAATCTGATCATATCGCTGCCCAGCTGGAAGCCCCATGACTTCTGATTACCCTTCGGCTGAAGTCAAATCCCCAATCTGACCTCCCAGGCTGGGTTTACCAGCATTCCTCCCCCTGTTGCCCCAGCCCTGCCTGCCTCTGCTTCCTGGACAGGACAGCCACACGGGCGCACAGCACAGGATCTTGTGTTTGGCTGAATGCTTTGCTGTCACCATCTTAAAATTCCCAATAATTTTTAAACAAGAAGTTCTGCCTTTTCCTTTCCCATTGAGCCCCATAAACTATGCAGCCAGATTTGTTCTTGGAGAGGCCTTTCGACCACACGAGACTTTGCGCAAGCCAGTCCCTCTGTCGGGAATGTTCTTCTCTTCCCTCCTCCCCACCAGCCTTCAGGTCCTGGGATTTACTTCCCCAGAAAAACTTCCCAATCCCCCCGGCTTCCAGAGGCCCCAGAAGTTTCTTTGTAACCCTCATCATAGTTGTAACCAGGGTCGGTCTCTCCCTAACCTGTAAGTTCCCAAGGGTGGGACTCCATCTGTTCACGAATGCAGTGTGGCCGTGTGGCATGACCAGGAAGGAGACGGACTCAGGAGACACGTGGCCCAGGCTCAGCTCTGACCTCTTCTGCTTCTTGGCTGTGTAACTCTGGGGAAGTTAATTAAGCTGTCTGTGCTTGAGTTTCCCAACAGGCTAATAATAACACCCAGCTAAATTAGCATTTTAGATAAACAACAAATATTTAGGTATACGTGTGTCCCTTAAAATCTTGGGACATACTTATACAGAAAAATAATGCCTTGTTTCTGTGAAATCCAAACTGTGAAGGGTTACTGTGAAGATGAGACGTACCCTGCAGGTGGGCGTTGGGTTGCATTCTCCGTGTGCCTCGGGAGGACCGTGCCCCATTCTGTTCACTGTTGTTATCAGGAGCCCAGAGTCAGGGCCTGGAATTTGGTCAGTAAGTAAGCAATTGCTGAATAGATGAATGATGACTTCAGTGAGAATTAAATGCTGTGAAATACATAAGACACTGAGTGCAGTGCCTGTTCCACAGTGAACATTAGATAAATATTGGCCATTATTATCTTATTGTTCGAATAAAAGTTTCATGGTAAAGGAGTGTTTGTCGGAAAAGCTGTTCTGTAATGAGGCCCAAATCACCCGGCCAGATATAGAAGTGTTTCCTGGAGTTAATTTTTGTTGAACGTTTGCCTCAAGAGAATGTGGAATATATTTTTCAAACTCATTACGGGAAGTAGGTTTGCACCTGGATGACTGCCCTGGACGCTCAGGCCCAGCTCCCCTCTCCTCCCAGCCTCCAGCGCTGGCAGTCCTGACAGTTATCTGCAGGGTTTGCACCAGCCTCTGAGAACCCACCACGTTGCCCTCCTGGACCACCAGCCTGGGGACCTCCAAGAGGCAAGGCATGGGCTTGGGAGCCCCTTGCTCTTTCTTCCCACCCTCAACCCAAGCCCCAGGAGCCTCACCAGTCTCTCATCTCCAGATTTAGTGAGCAGAAGTGCAGGGCACTGGGTGAAAGTCGAATTTTAAATAAATAACCATTTTTTTTAGTGTGAGTACACCTCATACAATATGTGGAATATACTTATACTAAACAATGATTCATTGTCTATCTAAAATTCAAATTGAATTGGGTGCCCTTGTCTATCTAGCAGCCCTATGCTCGTGTCCCCACCCACCCTAACGCCTCCAGGCCTGCATCTATCTCCCCTCAACCCATGAGAGGCCAGCAGGAGGCCTGGCTCATCTGTTGTCCTCACTGCCACTGTCTTCATGCTCAGACCCCTCTCCCATCGTGCTGGGGCGCTCCCCTCCTAAGCTGACTGCAGGAAGTTGGTCTGAGTCTGGGTTCTGAGGACCGGGAGATGGAAGATGATGGGCCTCGTGGCCGCAGAGGTACTTCATCTGCTTGCCTGTCTTGGATGTCATTTATTTTCTGTTCAGGAAAGCTCTTCCAGGACCAGAACATTCATTTGTCTCATTGTCCAAAGAGCCGTCTGCTCTTCCATGAAAGCTCCCTTCCTGGAGCCATGGGTCCTGGCCACCACTTCTCCCTGCTGCATCACAGCTCTCCAGGTCCCACACGCATGACAATCCTGCAGACAATTTCTTCACCATTCAATTATAAGCCTGTGACTTTTCCTTCCTTTTCACAAGAATGATGGACTCTCCTTGAGTTTTGTTTTAGCTCACACAGGAGTTTCTTCTTTCTATCCCTTTTCCCCATGCCCCAGGTGGTCTCACCAGTATGACCAGATTATAACAGGACTCCAGGAAGTCACTATGCTGCCTTCACAAATCTTGTAAATTGAGAGACTTTTTCTCAATACTGAGCAATCAGGGGTAGATTTCTGTTCACTAATAATATGATTTCAGAATATTTAAAGGATCTCTTACCCTTGTGAATCTTTGGCTTTAGAGTTACAAATTAGCATAACATGTTCTTAAATTAGAGATTATCAGTGAATAACTACCTCTGAATCCTAATCAAATTTTTCATGTCAGCGAGGTGGTTCACTTCAAAGTGGAAAAGGGCTTTTAGCTCCTCATAATGAATCTTGCTTTTTGCCTCTAAGTGCAATCACTCCGAGGCTACAGATAATTTAATTACCACGATGGGCACTGTCTGCTTTAACCTGCCTTTCAAAGCAAAGCAACAAAGAAGAGAAAAACTGTGGCTAGAAGTGAGGAGACCCCCACCGCCTCGTAGGGCGGGCTGAGGAAGCTCTCCCCTTACCTCTCAGTTTCTCTCGTCGATTCATTCACATTTTTGAGGGCTACTGTGTACCAGGTAGGGAGGGAAGAGCAAACAGGAAAGACGTGATTTTTGTTCTTGTGGAATTTACGTGATGTCCCTTAGTCATAAGCCATGCTGATCCTTCCCTATCACCCAGAAGGAAAGACAACCACATGCCAATAGTGCAAAATAGAGTCAGGTCAAATTGAAAATTATGTAAAGTCATTGTGTGTACAAAAGAACAGTCCCTGAACTGAGGAGACCTCACGCCAAAACTGCAAGAGGAAGCTCAGAGGTGTGGCCTGATGCGCTGCTTTAGAAAGCAAAAACGAGGATGCATGTGGCCCTCGCCTATGCATAAGCACGTATGTGACGTCAGCACGCGACAAGAAAGCAAAGCGTCAGTCTCATGGTCAAATCGAGCCTTTTCAGAGAAATCAGGATGGTGTAAGTTTTGGTTACACGGCCACAGGCGGTTGGGCTAGAAGTATTCATCCAAACTGTGGCCTCCGTTTTTACTTTTCTTTAACACAATCCAGGGTGGACTGTTTTGGGTTTGTTTTTGCAGATGGTTTTAAGTTCCACGAGTAATCAATACAGTTTTTAGTCAAACTAATTTCAACAGTTAAAGGCCTGGTCTGATCTCTGATCATTTACTCCTTCTCATGTTCATGCCATCATTTTTCTGAGAAAAACTCTCTTGGATGCAACCACCCTCCATGGGAAGACAAGGAGTGTTTACCTAGCCCTTTGCTCCA